>NC_000006.12:28544848-28847878 GCF_000001405.40 Homo sapiens
TTACATAAATTGAATAGTCAAAAATTGTCCTACAGAGAAAGTCCTAAACCCAGATATTTTCACCTGAAAGTTCTTCAAAACAATCCAGGGAGAATAATTTCAATTGGATACAAACTTTTCCAAACGTAGTGACAGAGGGAAGACTTTTCACCTCATTTTCACCTTCATCCTAATACCAAACCAGAAAAAGACAATGAGAGAAAGAAAAATCACAGGTCAATCTCATTAACGAACATAAAATCAGAAATAATAATAATAAAAAAAAGCTGAATCCACCAATGTTTAAAAATCATAACAAATCCAGATTTATACCAAAAGCAGGATGTCAATTTAACGTGAGAAGAACAGTGTTATGATTCAGTACATTAAGAAATTAAAGGAAAAAAATAAGTTCACCTCAAAAGAGGCAGAAAAACATTGGATAAATTTCACTGTCTGCTCACAATGCAACTGTTAACAATCTAGAAATAGAAGGAAATTTCTTTTACTTAATTTTTAAAAGATAAAAATAATCTACAAAAAACAACTCTTAAAGGTAAAAAGTTTAAAACACTTTACTTGAGATTGGGACTACAAGTGGTATACCAGGAATTGCGACTTCCATTCCTTCCCAGACAAAAGGAAAGTTAAAAAGTTATAATTCTTAGAAAGGAAGAAACAGAACTATCTTTTCTTTCTGTTTTTTCTTTAACAGATTGTTTGTGTGCAAAATTAACAAATTTAAAATTAAATTATTATATTATTAAGAGTCTTAACACATTTTCCCTTGATAGCTGTAACAATTTATGAAAGCAATGACATGCAATGCAGAAAAACCTAGAAGTCACAGGAAATGAGATATTTTGATATTTCAATTAAAAAAACACAAAAATATGGCATAATTTCATTTATAGAAACTACAAACTAAGCATCCTAAAATATCTATTGTTTATGGATACAAATATAATTAGTAAAGCTAACAAATAAGAGCAAGAGAATGATTATTTCAAACATTATTATAGTGGTTATATCAGCATGAGAATGAGAGAGATATACTATAGAGTGGGGTAAATGGAGTTTCTAAAATAATGGTAATGCTGTCTTTCTTAATGTGACTTCATATTTTTTAAGAAAATTTTTAATTGCAGTATAAGAAACATACAGAAAAGTGCCCAAATACAAGTATATATAGATCATTGAATGTATATGAAGAGAATGTATCTTTGAACTCCCACCCAGATCTTCTGTTTCAATGTATTGCCACTGTTTCCATCAAATAAGATCCCAGAACTAAGTTTTGTCACTTGAGCTGTGTCAAGAGATAGAAAATTATCAGTCCCTCCAGAAGCCACCCTCATGCCCCCTCTTAATCACATTCTCCATAAGGATAACCATTTTCTTGACATCTAATATCATCTTTGAATTTTGCATATTTTCATACTCCATATAAATAGGATTATATAATAAATACTCTCTTATGCCTGGCTTCTTTTATGCAGGAATATGTGAAATTCATCCATGTTGTTGCATTTAACAATTGTTCTTTCTCACTGCTGTGTATATATTCCGCAATATGAATATACCAATTTTTTATGTTTGTTTACCCATTCTGCTGGTGATGGATGTTTGGGTTGTTTCCAGTTTGGGGATATTATAAACCGTACCTGTAGGAAAACTCTTGGACTTGCTTTTTTTTTTTGGCATATATGTGCACAAGTTTTACTGGGTATTAAAATAAAGAGAATAAATCGATTTTTAATGTTTGCTGACAGCTTTCAAAACCCATTATTCTCTTTGATCTATCTGCCTCACATTTAGGTCAGCCTATAAGAAAGTGTATTTAATCTATGGATCACTTTTGGTAGTGTGGACATTTTAACATTATTAATTATTCCAATCCATGGACATGAAATATCTTTTCATGTATTTGTGTCTTCACCAATTAATTTCATCAATGTCAATAGTTGGTTAAATTTGTTCCTAAGCATTTATTCTTGTTGATGCTATTGTAAATGGGATTCTTAATTTCCTTTTTGGATAGTGTTCATTGTTGGCGTATAGAAATGCAACTGATTTTTGCATGTTGATTTTGTACTCTGCAACTTTACTGAATTGTTCTAACAGTTTTTTGGTGGGGTATTTAGGGTTTTCTATATATAAGATCATGTATACAAAAATCAACTCAAGATGAATCAAAAGCTTAACTCTAAGACTGGAAACCATGAAAATGCTACAAGACAGCATCGGAGAAACTCTCCTAGACATTGGCTTAGGCAAAGAGTTCATCACCAAGAATCCAAAAGCAAATGCAACAAAAACAAAGATAAATAAACTAAAAAGCTTCTGCACAGCAAGATAAGTAATCAGCAGAGTAAAATAAACTAAAAAGCTTCTGCACAGCAAGATAAGTAATCAGCAGAGTAAACCAACAACCCATAGAGTGGGAGAAAATCTTTGCAAACTATATATCCGACAAAGGACTAATATCCAGAATCTATGAGGAACTCAAACAAATCAGCAAGAAAGAAACAAATAATCCCATCAAAAAGCGGGCTAAGGACATGAATAGACAATTTTCAAAAGAAGATATACAAATGGCCAACAAATGTGAAAAATGCTCAGCATCACTGGTAATCAGGGAAATGCAAATCAAAACCACAATGTGATACCACCTTACTGCTACAAGAATGGCCATAATAAAAAAATTAAAAAATAATATATGTTGACGTGGATATGGTGAAAAGGGAATACTTTTGCACTGCTGGTGGGAATGTAAACTAGTACAGCCAATATGGAAAACAGTATGCAAATTCTTTAAAGAACTAAAAGTAGATCTATCATTTGATCCAGTAATCCCACTACTGGGTATCTACCCAGAGGAAAGTAAGTCATTATATGAATAAGACACTTGCATACACATGTTTATAGCCACCCAATTTGCAATTGCAAAAATATGGAACCAGCCCAAATGCCCATCAATCAACAAGTGGATAAAGAAAATGTGTTATGTATTAAATATACACCATGGAATACTACTCAGCCATAAAAAGGAATGAAATAATGGCATTTGCAGCAACCTGGATTAAGTTGGAGACCATTATTCTAAGTGAAGTAACTCAGGAATGGAAAACCAAACATCATGTGTTGTCACTTATAAGTGGGAGCTAAGTGGAGACGCAAAAGCATAAGAATGATATAATGGACTTTGGGGACTCAGGAGGTGTGGGGGGAGGGTAAGGGATAAAAGTCTACACATTGGGTACAGTGTACACTGCTTGAGTTATGGATGCACCAAAATCTCAGAAATCATCACTAAAGAACTTATCCATGTAACCAAAGACCATCTGTTCCCCAAAAACCTATTGAAATAAAAAAAAATACTAAGATCATGTCATCTGCCGATAAACTTAACTTCTTCCTTTCAGATTTGGATATCTTATTTCTTTTTTCTTGCCCAATTGTTTTGGCTAGGACTTCCAGTACTATATTGAATAGAAATGGTGAGAGTGGGCCTCCTCAGCTTGTTCCTGATGTTAGAGGAAAATCAGGTTTTCACTATTGAGTTTGTTAGCTCTGGGCTTATCTTATATAGCCTTTGTTATTGTGAGGTACATTCCTTCTATACCTAACTTACTGAGAGTTTTTATCATGCAAGTTGTTGAATCTTGTGAAATACTTTTTCTACATTTATTGACATTATCATATTATTTTATCCTTTATTCCATTAATGTGATATATCACATTTATTGATTTGTATATGTTTAACTACCTTTGCACTCCAGGGATAAATTCCACTTGATCATGGCGCATGATCCTTTTAATGTACTGTTGGATTCAGTTTGCTACTATTTTATTGAGGATTTTGGCATCTATTTTCATCAAGGATATTGGCCTGCAATTATCTTGTAATGTCCTTGTCTGGCTTTGGTATCAGGGCAATGCTGACCTCATAGAAACAGTTTGGAAGTATTTCCCCCTCCTTGAGTTTTTGGAAGAGTTTGAGAAGGATTGTTACCAGTTCTTTAAATGTTTGGTAGGATTCAGCAGTGCAGCCATAAGGTCTTGGGATTTTCTGTGTTGGGAGGTTTTGATTGCTGCTTCAACCTCTTTACTTGTTATTGGTTTGTTCAAATTTTCTATTTTTTCATGGTTCAGTCTTGGCAGAATGTATGTTTCTAAGAATTATCCATTTCTTCTAAGTTATCCAATTTGTTGGCATATAATTATTGAAAGTGTATTACAATCCTTCATATTTGTCAGTGGAAAAAAAACACACTCAAAGTGTTGTTTTTTTCTATTCTCTCACCCAGCAGCCTCAACACCAACCAACGTCTTTTGTGACCAAATGTTTCTGTGTAGGGGGGTGTACCCCACACACCAAACAAGCAATCAATTTTGTAGCAGAAACCAACTCAGCATCCTCCAACCCAGTTCAATTCTGACATTATCCACCTGGAAATAGTTTCACATCCCACAGGTTGAGAGCTCAGTTTCACAAAACTGCCCCCACTTCAGACACAAGCCACAAGTCTGGGCCTCCAGAACTCCTGACCAACCAGCTTCAAATTAGGGTTCCCATGACCCCCTCTTTGAGTTTGATTAATTTGCTAGAGCAGCTCACAGAACTCAAGGAAACACTTATGTTTACAGGTTGATTATTAAGGATATAATAAAGGATGCAAACGAACAGCCAGATAAAGAGATAAACAGGGTGTGATCTGAAAGGGTCCAGAGCACAAGAGCTTTCCTTCCCATGAAGTTGGGATGTGCTATCTTCCCAACATGTGGAAGAGTCTGTCCTCCCATTGTAGGCCCAGAGCAGGGCCTTGAGGGCAAAATTTCCAGAGAGGTGCTCTGGAGACTTCAGCATTTGCTGCCCAGGGCTGCTTCAGGAAGCTGCTTGCCACACTCTGGCACAGAGCTCCTTGGATGCTCCAGCCATGGCTCTGGAGGGCACAATGGTAAACCTCGGTGATGTCTACATGTTGCTGATTCTGCAGACATGCATAGTACAAGAGATGTGGGGCCTCCACCTAGATTTCAAATGGACAGCCTGGGGGCCCAGACAGAAGCTTGTTGTAGGGTTAGAGCCACCAAAGAGAGTTCCCACTAGATCAAACCTAGTGGAGCTGTGGGATCAGGACTGCCTCCAAAACCCTAGAGGTGTAGAGCAACCAGCATGTAACTCCAGCCTGGGAGAGCTTCAAGCATGAGACTCCAACATGTCAGAGCTGTGACATGGCCTGCACCCAGCAAAACCATAGGGGTGGGGCAGCCCAAGGCCTTGGGACCTAACCACCACCCCATTGTGCCCAGATGGAGGGACATGGAGTCAAGGAAAAGAATTCTGGAGCTTTAATACTTAATGTGCTCTTCCTGTTGGGTTTTAGGCTTACTTGGCATTAGTTATTCTTTTATTTTTGCCTATTTCTCCCTTTTGGAATGGGAACATCTATCTTATACCCGGGCCACCACTGTATTTTGGAAGCAGATTACTTGTTTTGATTTCATAGGCCCACAGCTGTAGGAAATTTGCCTCAAGATGAATCATGCCTTGAGTCTCACCCACACCTTATTTAGATGATACTTTGGAGTTTTGTGTTGGTGCTGGAAGGAGTTAAGATCTTAGAGCTATTGGGATGGAGTGAATGTGTTTTGCATGTGAGAAGGACATAAATTTTGAAATTCAGGGGTGGAATGCTATGGTTTGAGTGTGTCCCCTAAAGTTCACATGTTGGGAACTTAAGTTCCCAGTGCAATACTGTTGAGAGATGGAACCTTTAAAAGGCAATTAGGTCTTGAGGGTTCTGCTCTCATGAATGAATGAGTGTCATTATCACAGGAGTAGGCTCATTATTCCAAGAGTGGGCTCATTATGGTGAGAGTAAATTTGTTATAAAAGTGAGTTTGACTCTCTGTCATTCACGTGCATACTCTTTTGCCCTTCTGCCTTCTGCCATGAGATAATGCAGCACAATGGCCCATGCCAGATGTGGCACCCTCAATCTTGGATTTACCAGTTGCCAGAATTGTAAGAAAAAAAATTTCTTTTCTTTATAAAATACTCAGTCTGTGATATTCTGTTATAGCAACACAAAATGGATTAAGACATTCCTCTAGTTGGCAAATTTCAAATAATCTGTCTTTGAGTTCACTGATTCTTTCTTCTGCATGATTGAGTTTGCTATTGAAATCCTTGATTTAATTTTTCTGTTCTGTCATTGTATTCTTCAGCTGCAGTATTTCTGTTAGGTTCCTTTTCATGGTTTCTAGTTATTAAACTTCTCCTTTTGTTCATGCATTGTTTTCCTCATTTTTATTTAGTTGTCTATATACATTCTTTTATAGCTTATTGAGCTTATTTCAGATGATTATTTTGAATTCTTTATCAGGTAATATGTAGATCTTTATTTCTTACAGTTCAGTTACTGAAGTATTAATAGTTTTCTTCAGTGAAATCATGTTTGACTAATTCTTCACGATCTGTGTGGCATTGCATTGGTGTCTGTGTATTTGAAGGAAGAAAAACTTCTTCCAATCTTATAGACTGGTTTTGGCAGGTACAGACATTCTCCTGTTGAGTTGCCTAGAACAGAAGATATATTCCTCTCAAGTACACATGAAACATTCACCATGAGGACCACATTCCAGGCCATAAAACAAACCTCAAAAAATTAAAAGGGTAAAAATGATGCGATGCATTTTCTCTTACCATAATGTAATGGAATTATAAATCAATGGCAGGGAAAAAATGTGCAAAACACAAAAATATGTGGAAATTAAGCAACACTCTTGTATAACCAGTGGGTCAAATAAGAAATACCAAAGGAAACCAGAAAATATTTTGAGATGAATTAAAAGGAAGACACAACATACAAAAACTTATAGGATGCAGATAAGGCAGTGCTTGGAAGAAAATTTATAGCTGTAAATGCCTGTATCAAAAAAGAAGAAAGATGTCAAATCAGTGACCTAACTTTCTACCTGTAGCTTTATGATAATTTTTGAAGTCAGGTAGTGTGAGCCCTTCTACTTTTATCTTCTTAAGCAATAAGCAGAATCTTTTACGAGCTTATATATACCCAGATACTTTTTAATATATAAATTAAAAATCTCAGAAAAGAAAACCAAGGAACTGCTGAATATGGTTGCCTTTAAAAGAGTGGCCCTAGAGAGACATGCTGTGGATTTAGGGAAGAATAAGCAAGTGTTACTTATGTAATACACACACACACACACACAAACACATATTCTTTTGAGTGATATATTCCATTTAATATGACAGGAGATGATACCATTGAGCAGTTAACATTATCTCTGTTTTATCAGTTATGCAATGATGATATTAAAATAACTGATTTATAAGTCACCTTCCCGCTCTAGCAATAAATATATTGATTATAAGCAAACAAAGTTATAAAGATGAATCTGGGTTTATGAGAAAAGAGATGAGGTTTCAAATTGAAATGTTTTAAAGAACTTTGGTATAGGAGCATTAATTTCTCTTGTATAAACTAGCTTTGTCATATTTGTTAAGCTGTCACAGTTTGAGGAAATGGTAGTGGGCAGAAAGAAAAAATTTCTGACACAAGGAGATAAGACAAAGAGAAGGAAGAGGAAGAACAGTTGCAGTTCTAAGGCACAAGGTGTCCTAGATGTTTTTCCTGATGCATAGGTACCACTTGAATAGGACAATAGTGAGACAGCTTCCCTTGTCCTCCCCACTCTGATCCCTGCCCTATCCCACGGAGCTGAATTCCCCATCGCTGCTGTCCACACCTCCTATTGCTGAGTTGGGTAAACACCAGGAAGTCACCTATGTGGATTCCTGTCTCATCTTTGGGAGCTTTACAGAAACTCCAATGTTCAAAAGTGAAATTGAAAATAAGTGAAACAAAGATTTGTTTGGTAAATCATTCTCTTTAGCTCTTAAAGATTCTGCACAATATTGAAGAATAAAAAAGTAAGAAGACTCACATTACCAGACTTCAAGAATTACTGTAAAACTACAGTAATCAAGACAGTGTGGTATTGGTAAAAGAATAGACACGTAGAACAATAGAATAGAGACTCCAGAAATAGACCCCCACAAATATAGCCACGTGATCATTGACAAAGGAGCAAATATAATTCAATGGAAAAAAGGACAGTCCTAGATAGGTATTTGCCCATCTGATTTGAAAACTCTTGTCCACACAAAATGCCTATACATGAATGTTTATAGTAGCTTTATTCATAAGATTCATAGTATTCTTCAAAAACTGGAAGCATATAAGATGTCCTTCAATGGGCAAATATATTTACAAGATGTAGTACATTCATACATTGGAATTTTATACAGAAATTTAAAATGTGCCATAAAACCATGAAAAGGCATGGATAAACCTTAAGTGCATATTGCTAAGTGAAAAAAAAAGTCAGCCTGAACAGGTTACGGACTATGATTCCAATTATATGACCACTGACCTTCTGAAAAGGCAAAACTACAGAGATAGTTAAATGATTCTTGATTGCCAGGAGTTTGTGGGGAGGGGAGGAGGGTTGAAAAGGTGAAGCGCAATAGATTATCATTTAATTCAGTAAGCTCATATAGAAAAAAGAGGAGGAGAGTCAAGGTGAAACACAAAGTTTTGATATCAAAGTGGAAAACGAAGAGAGAGGGAGATAAAGGAAAAGAGGGTGAGATAGTGAAAGAAAAGGACACAGAGGGACAGTGAGAGCGATGACTGGAGCCAGAGTGCAAGGGAGAGAAGAAGGAGAAGGCGGGGAGCTAGAGAGAGAAGGAGGGAAAGGGAGAACAAAGTGAGGGCGAGAGGGATGAGACAGAAAGAAAAGGGAGGAAAGAGGAACAAAGGGAAAGACAGTGTGCCCAGTTATCAATGTATTGGCTGCCAGCTCCAAATCGCCCCTTCCGTGCCCTGCTCTATGATACTGGAGGTGGACCCTGAAAACATTTCTATTTGGCAAAATGGTAATGTTTAAGCTGTGCTAGGGGAGTACACTGCAAGAGGAAGGGGCCTCTGGACCCCATGATTTTTCTGCTTGTTCCTGCTGAAACCAAGATGTTAATCTGAGCGGGTATGCCAAACTTAGCCTGCCCTGCTTGCTTTTGGCCGCTGTCTTTTTGTGATTTTTTCCCCCTGTGAAGCTGAGGGCTGCTCCGCTGAACATTAGAACTTAACCCTCACCGGCGACCTTGTAGATAACGTCTATAAGTCACCATGGTAACGGTCGCTTCAGTTGTTTTTCAGGAACCTGGGGCAACTCCTGTCCAGTTTAAACCGGTTGAGACTACCGACCTTTCAACTGGACCCACGCAAGTGCCCAAGAGGTGGCCAAAAACTCCACCCTCAAATCATACTAACGGCGCCATTTTCTGTACATTATGTCCAATGCAATACCATGAACTTTTGCGCAGAACGAACCTGTTACTTCATTTTCCCTAACTGCCAATCACTTTTCCCCACACCTTAGACCACCCCACTTCCCTAACTCGTAATTATCCCTAAGACTTCTCTTCCGGGAAACGGATCTGAGAGCTGCTCTTCTGCCTTCTCCCTGGGCAGCCCTGTGAATAAATCTTTTCTCTTTTGCACAAACTGCTTATCACAGTGATTGATTTTCTGTGCGTGGGCAGAACAAACCAGGTCAATAACACTGCTGTGTGCGGTGGGGCTGTGGGACACCCAGGATGATCATCCCCAGCGAGTTTGTGAAACTCCCGGCTGACGACTTTCCAACGAACCTTACACAAGCCCTAGCAGGCGGCTCCCCAGAGAGCTCATTCCACACTCTCATAATGGGTGATTGCCTGCATGCCAGCTCCAGCCTCTGGCACAGAGAACTTTTCAGCCAGTGGCAGTGGGAAGTGCTTTTTCCGCTTTGTTCCTGTCTTGGATGCTCTGCCTCAGGCCTAGAGGCAGTGGCTGCTCTGGAGAGTTCTCTACTCTTACTAGACAGTATCCTGCTACTAGTTAATAATTCTTTAAGTTGAACATTTCTTGTTCAAATTGCCATGCGGTTTCTGCCTTCTGACTAGATCTTAACTGATTAAATTAAGTAGTGGATAACAGAGAAGGAAGCTGGGAGAAAAGGAAAAATGAAAGGGAGGGCAAAAGAAATAGAGTAGAAAGTTGAAGTGATTAGTGTGGGTCCATACAGCTTGATGGAAAATGTTCTGACTTTGGATCAGAATCAAGTCCGTAGAAGGAATCTTTCAGCCTCCTTCTGAGAATACAGCCACAGTGTGTGAATCTGAGTTATCTTAGTTCAGCTCCTTAACTTTACAAAGGATAGGATCATTTTCTCTTTTATTTGATGCCCATGGAGATGAAGTCCTCTTTTTGTGTGTAATAGGTGATCAGTAATTTTAGAGTGAAATGAAAGAAAGTAGCTCATGAAAGAGAGTTGTCTTGCTGATATGCCACCCCCTTTTCAGATGAAACACACAGGAGCTGGTAAAAACGACCTCTGAATCAGCTGGCCTGCCCTATGAGGATAATGTGTTGTTCTTTTTTCCTCCTGAGCAAGCATGACCCTAGTTCTCCCACACTCTGGGAGTAAATAAACAGGACTGTCAAAGAGGTCCTCACCACAGCCTCCAGCCAATGTCTCAGGAACCGAGGCTTACCTGAGACATAGAAAGTGAGGTGATGTGGTTGCTTAGATTTATCTTTTCATTTGTGCTGCTCCTGGCACTCTT
Source organism: Homo sapiens (assembly GCF_000001405.40). Taxonomy (NCBI): domain Eukaryota; kingdom Metazoa; phylum Chordata; class Mammalia; order Primates; family Hominidae; genus Homo; species Homo sapiens. Next base: position 28,555,530 of record NC_000006.12, read on the forward strand.
ATTGCTATGAGATTACTAAAAAGTTTCCTGGAACATATTTTCTAAAATAATTAATTGATACACTGATTTGATCTTTACCAATTATATGAATGGCATGAAATTATCACATGTATCCTGAAAACAGGTGCATCTATTACGTATACATTTAAAAAATTCAAAGGGAAATAATCTATTACAATCTCTTCCTCTCTTACATATCAAAGGGTACTATATTGAGTCCAAAGGGAAATTACTTTCTTTCTTTTTTTTCTTTTTTTTTTTTTGAGACAGAGTCTCACTCTGTCTCCCAGGCAGGAGTGCAGTGGCGTTCCTTCTACCACAGCCTCTAAGTAGGTGGAACCACAGGCACTCACCATCATGCTGGGCTATTTTTTTTCTCTTTTCTTTTTTTTTTTTTTTCTTTGAGATGGAGTCTCGCTCTGTCATCCAGGCTAGAGTGTAGTGGCACGATACCAGCTCACTGCAATCTCCGCCTCCCGGGTTCAAGCGATTCTCCTGCCTCAGCCTCCAGAGTAGCTGGGATTACAGGCACCCGCCACTGTGCTGGGCTTATTTTTGCATTTTTAGTAGAGACGAGGTTTCACCATGTTGGTCAGGCTGGTCTTGAAAACTCCTGACCTCAAGCAATCCACCTGCCTCGGCCTCACAAAGTGCTGGGATTACACATGCTGGGCTAATTTTTAAATTTTTTGTTGATACAGAGTCTCACTGTATTGCCTAGGCTGCTCTTGAACTCCTGGGCTCAAGTGGTCTTCCTGCTTCAGCCTCCCAAAGTGCTGGAATTACAGGCATGAGTCACCACACCTGGCCAGGGAAATTATTTTCTTTCTTATTGTTTTTAACTTTAATGTTTTGAATAGATAATATGACATAGTTTACAATTTTTTTAAATGTAAAACAATATTCAGTAACATGTCTTCCTCTCACCCCCATCCCAATGCCCTTGCCAGTCCTGGGTTCTTAAGACCTCAGTTGACTAGTATCAGGTTCAGGTGTCTCCTTACAGGGCAATTTTTGGCATATAAATTCAAACTTGTATATTATTTTCCCCACGTTTACACAAATGGTAGAGTGCTATTTACACTTCTCTGTACCTTACTTTTTCATTTAATATATTCATTCAGTAGTAAATGTTATTGAGCACCAACTATGTGCTGGACATTTTTCTAGACATTAAAGATACAATAGTAGGGTGAAGTGAATGATATATTTCCTGCCTTCGTGGAGCTGATATTCTAGTGGAGAAGACACAATAAATAAATCAGATAAAAATGAAATATATTATGTTAAATAATAATAAATTCTAAAGAGAAAAGGCAGAAAAGAGGGACAAGATATGTTGAGAGGTTTGAAATTTTATCTAGTGTGGTTTTATCTAAATGAGGAAATTTTATCTAAATGAGGAAAAGCCTCATTTAGATGATTTTTTGAATAAAGACTGAAAAAAATAGAGGAGCCAGCCATGAAGATATCTAAGAAAAGGGAATTCTAGGCAGAGGGAAGAAAAGTGAGGATGCTCTGAAGCAAGAATTGAGCCTGCAGTGTCCAAGGAACCCCAAAGGGACACTGAGGTTGGGGTGGAGTAAAGGAGTGTAGGATAGAAGATGAAATCAGAGAAATAAAGGAAGAGGCCCAGATCCTACAGGATGTTAGGATTTTCTTTACAAAGACTCTTCTTGACTCAGATCTTTTTATAATACTCTAGAATCACAGATGCCAATACAAATGGGAGTGGCATTGTGGTTCCTATTTTTATTAACTGATTAGAGCATGACATGGAAGATTTGGGGGAAAATGCTAAAATCTGGTTGGACAACAGCCACCTGGATACCCAAATGAGGTACAGGATATGACTGAATATTATCAATGGCCTATCTTAGAAGACAATTTTTAAAATACTGCTGGCTAGGGGTGATGGCTCACATCTGTAATCCCAGCACTTTGGGAGGCTGAAGCGGACAGATCACGAGGTCAGGAGTTTGAGACCAGCCTGGTCAACATAGTGAAACCCCATCTCTACTAAAATATACAAAAAATTAGCCAGGCATGGTGGCACCCACCTGTAATCCCGGCTACTCAGGAGGCTGAGGCAGGAGAATCACTTTAATCCTGGAAGAGGAGGTTGCAGTGATCCGAGATCGCGCCACTGCACTCCAGCCAGGGCAACAGTGCGAGACTCCATCTCAAAAATGAAATGAAGTCCAGGCGCGGTGGCTCACGCCTGTAATCCCAGCACTTTATGAGGCCGAGGCAGGCGGATCACCTGAGGTCAGGAGATCAAGACCATCCTGGCTAACACAGTGAAACCCCGTCTCTACTAAAAAAAAAAAAAAAAAAAAAAAAAAAAAAAAAAAAATTAGCCGCGCTTGGTGGCGGGCGTTTGTAGTCCCGGCTACTCGGAAGGCTGAGGCAGGAGAATGGTGTGAACCCAGGAGGTGGAGCTTGCAGTGAGCCGAGATCGCGCCACTGCACTCCAGCCTGGGCGACAGAGCGACACTCCGTCTCAGAAAAAAAAAAAAGAAGAAGAAATGAAATAAAATAAATAAAAAATACTATTAAACCATAGTTGGCCCAAGAAGTACAGCAGCTGGGCAAAGCCATGCAAACACAGTGAGCTCAGAGATGCTCAAATAAATCTAAATCCGTTTTTGAAACAGAGGATTTGGGGCTCTTTTCCAACACTACAATTTGTCATTGAAAAAACAAGTCCTTGAATAGCAACCTGACATTTATCAAAATTGAGTTCTAGGAAATTTCTCCACTGGCAGTTCTCAAAGTAATTAATTCTTACCAACATACTCCAGGGGAAAAATGTTTGAAAAGAAATCATGGCATTTTAGTTAATGAGTGGAGCCTTGGTTACAGGCATGAGCCACTGTGCCCAGCCTCTTTTTACCTTTTTTCATCTCCCTGTGTTTAAAGATACTCAATTTTGGGGCTTTTAAGCTTGTAGTTTGGAAAATATGAGTATCAGTTTTATAAATTGATAAACTGGGCTAGTGCAGTCACTGTGGAAATTCAGTCAACAAAATCTATTGTTGATATGTGTCTTGGATGAGGAGTAGAAGAAAGGATAAAAAATGGAATTGCAGTTAACTAAGAGGAATAAAAAGAAGGTTGTTTTGGCAGCTGTCCCATGTACACCCAGCTGCATCCCCATCTGAGACCTTGCTTGACAACTTTGCATAAAGCCAATAGGTACCTCAGTTGCTGCTGAGCAGCAGCCTTGTCACTACTCCTGGCTTTGAACTGCCCTCCCCACTTCCGGGTCCTCATGTCTTGCTACTCAATGCATGGTTTGCGGAAAATAAATGTTGACACCATTTGAGAACGTTAGAAATGCAAAATATTGAATTCCATCCAGACCAAAAGAATCAGAATGTGCATTTCAACAACTCCCAGGTGATTCATACACCCATTACAGTTAAGAATCACTGCCCAAAAACAGTGGTTCTCACATTTTGATGTGTGCTATGGTTTGAATGTTGGCATTCCCACAAAATTCATATATTGAAATCTAATGCCCAGTGTGGCGGTATCATGAGATGGGGCTTTTGGGAAGTGATTAGGTCATGATTGCTCCACTCTCATAAATGGGATTTGTGCCCTTATAAAAGAGGCCTGAGGGAGCTTGTTTGCTTCTTCCATCACGTGAGGACACATAGGAAGTGTCATCTGTGAGGAACAGGCTCTCACCACACACCAAATCTGCTGGCCTCTTGATCTTGGACTTCCCAGCCTCCAGAATATGAGCAATAAATTCCTGTTGTTCATAAATTACCCAAAGATACTTTGTTATACCAGCCGGAACAGACAAGGCAGTATGCTGCAGAATTACCTGGAGGGCTTTTAAAAACAAATATTGCAGTTTCTGATTCATTAGGTCCTGGGGTGGGGCCCAAGAATTTGTATCTGTGACAAATTTCCAAGTGCTACTGATCTGGGATCACCCTTTGAGAATCATGATCCTATTGAAACAGTGTATTTGTGACCCTCGTCACCCCATTCCTTGGTCTCTACCCATTTCCACACAGATAATTGAGCTCTAACATCTGGATAGGAAGTTGGCAGCAAAGACAAGGATTTCTGAGAAGGGGCATTCATTCCACCAGTATTACTTAAATTTTTTTAATCCACAGGATATCACTAGATTAAATTTTTGTTGAGTGCTTACTGAATGGTATTGCTACTAATGTGATAGATGGTGTAGAGGAAAGTATGAGATTCTGCTCTTAGTGACAGTATACTGTCATGTGAATATGAAAAAGTTATTCCTGGTTTTCAGTATTGGAATATTAGGAAGTATTTGTTTTCTGCTCTCTCCTTCCCTTTGCACATAACGAGGCAAGCTACCTGGGTAGAAGTGCTCACAGGATTGAGGACAGTTTATTTAGGAAGAGGAACAGCCATTTCATAAGACATAAAAGTAGGATTAATTACCACAGCAACTTTTGCAGAGAATATAGTCTCTAAAGTGATCCTCAGTGGATTCCAAGTATCCTTGCTTCCCTCCTTTTCCTTTTTTCCTTTTTTTTTTTAAATGCCATCTTAGACTCAGACTTCCTTTTTCAAAAGAAGGTCCTTTTTCATCATCTAGGTAAATCTGTCCACTTGTGATTTTAACTCTATTTTTACTTGCCTCCTTGAAGTCTAAATCCATCAGTAACCCCTATTTCTGTCTCCAGTCTCTTCCTGTCATTCTCTCTCTCTCCCCTTCCTCTCTGAGCCATACTCTTATACACTGCATTGAAAATACCTTCTTATCAGCTTCCTTCAAAAGGCTGAGAGTTTCTTGAATAGAAGACTATATCATACTCATCTTTTGATTCATCTTTATCCCTGGTAAAGTCATATAGTAAGCCCTCAATAAATATTTATTAAGGAAATGAACAAAGCTAAAATCTGTCTACACTAGCTGTTACCTCTTTCTTACTTCTTAATAATTCGATTCACTGTAATGTTTTCATTTCTACTACTCCACTGAAACCACTTTGAATTGAACAGAGTAATCAATGACCTCTGTTTTTACCAAATTGATAAACTGTATTAATTAAAACTTATGGTATCAAATGGCACAAATCCTAAACTAGCTTAAGCAAAAAGGAGAATTTACTAGGTCCTATTGATAGAATCCAAGGAAAATTCAAATAATTGAACTTTGGAAAGAACAAGAATATAGCTGATTCTTGGTGACAATTGAAACCTGGAACTCTAGTGATGTCAAGGGCTTTCTATTATATCTACTTCCTTCTGCAAGTTGGCTTTACTCTGTCTCTTGAATTATCTCTATTCTGTACTCTCTACAGAATCGCTGTCTTAACATGAAAAAGAAACTCTCAAGCTTTACATCTTGACTTAAGCCAAGAGACAGAATGTATGCTGATCCTTTTATTTGCCCTCACATCCAAAATCCTTGGAAGTCCATCGCAAGCCTAGCTTATATCAGCTGTGCAACATGAAACAATCAATTCTGGTCAGGTCGGTGGATTTGTGTAAGATCAAGGTACTTGCCAAAGTATCCAAGAGGATGTGGCTGGGGTACGTAGGAGAAAATAAGGGTTCCCAGGAGAAGGGCAGGAGAATTGCTGAAGAGGCTGTCCAAGTTCCCTTTAGACCCATCTTACCAAGATTTTATCTTATCAAGGATTTTATATGGTTGACAATTACTCACATGCATGTCTCTCATTTCGTGGCTACCATTAAATTATTACTTCCCAGCTGTCTTCTGACTTCTTACCATTTTCTTCTCTGTATCTTTTTTTTTTTTTTTGAGTCCTCTTTTTCTGTCTGAACCTTATATGTGGTGTTACCAAGTGTTTGGTCCTAGAATATTTCTTCTATCACTTCATACATTCTCTCTTAGATTATTTTATTCAGTTTCATGCTAACCAAAAATTTTCACCCTAGCTCCAAACTCATGATGTAGACTGATTGGAGACCTGAATTTCCCAGCAAACGCTCCAAACTCATCAAGTCAGAAAAAGGTTACCTTCTTCTTCTTTTTTTTTTTTTTTTTTTTTTTTTTTTTTGAGATGGAGTCTTGCTGTCTTGCTATGTCGCCCAGGCTGGAGTGCAATGGTGCGACCTCAGCTCACTGCAACCTCTGCCTCCCGGGTTCAAGCAATTCCAGTCCTCTGCCTCAACCTCCCGAGTAGCTAGGATTATAGGCGCCCACCAAACACGCCTGGCTAATTTTTGTATTTTTAGTAGAGACAGGGTTTCACCACCTTGGCCAGGCTGGTCTTGAACTCCTGACCTTGTGATCCACCTGCCTCAGCCTCCCAAAGTGCTGGGATTACAGGAATGAGCCACTGCTCCTGGCCAAGATTACTGTCTTCTATCAATTCCTCCCTTGTTCTCTGATCCCAAATCAGTGAAATAGCAACTATAACTGCACTGAGGTAAAATATAGGCCATCATAAGGACGAGGCAAAATTCTTATGCTGGTATGATGGAAGTATCCATGTTAAAAAAGCAGATATTTTGAAGCTTTTAAAAAGAGATCACTTATACATATAATTACAGATATTTTCTTTGTGAAGTAGATTTTCATCTCTGTGACACTTGTTTCAGCTTATCCTCTTTCAACACAAAGAAAATTTTCTTCTCCTTTAAAAAATGAAAGATCAGTATTTATGTCAAGGGTTTAGACAGTATACTTTTCCTAACCCACAAGATAATTTTTGGTTTTGTATATAGTAAAATTAATTATACTACTATCAGTAAGTTCGTAGAAGGTTAGTTAACCAGGATTAGCATGGAAATTCATGAAAAAAGCATAATTTATAACTTTAAGGAAAAATCTCAAAATTCTTTAACATGTATCCTTAACAAACAGTTTCCTGTGATAAAACATTTTACTAACAAATACTGAAGGCAATTAATATTAAAATCTTTAAATTTTACATAAAAACTTCTTGTTCATCTCAGCAAATAAGTTAGCCAGAAATTAAATTTCATGAGGACTATATACATAAAACTTAAGTATGACTTTAACCTCACCTGGTAAATGCACTATACTTTTGTGACAATTAGGATATAAATATTTCCCTAACTTCTCCCCTTTCTTTATAACAAAGAGTGTTTTTATAAATGACTGTTTTTTCAAAAGCACTTGAGTCAACAATCATCTTTCACTTTCAAGATTTTTAAACTCATTGTAATTATAGTTTTAAAAGTAAATTTTATTTTAATCAAAGTTGAATTACAGTTTTTTTTGTTTTTTGTTTTTTTTTGAGACAGAGTCTCGCCCTGTTGCCCAGGCTGGAGTGCAGTGGTGTGATCTGGACTCACAGCAGCCTCCTCCTCCCAGGTTCAAGCAATTCTCCTGCCTCAGCCTCCTAAGTAGCTGGAACTACAGGCATACAACACCACACCCAGCTAAATATTGTATTTTTAGTAGAGACGAGGTTTCACCAGGATGGTCTCGATTTCCTGACCTCATGATCTGCCTGCCTTAGCCTCCCAAAGTTCTGGGATTACAGGTGTGAGCCACAGCACTTGGCTGAATTAGAGTATTTTAAGCCTATAAATGTATATTCATTAGACCCATCCATCACTTAATGATTTTGCAAACTACTATCTCAGTCTTGATTTGCACTGTTGTCATTTTTGGGAAATAACTTTTCAGATATTCTTAATACACATAGAATACAATTTCCAAATTAAGATTGTTCTATGTAAACTGTTTTATAATCTCTTTGTCCCAGTCAACACAATATTTTGACCAGCTTCTCATGGAAGAAAATGCATCTAAATCTTTATTATTAGGATTGCTTAGTATTTAAATATATGAAAGAAACACTACTTGAGTAAGCAGTTCCTCTAAAGTTGGCCTGTCTAGATGGTTTCCTTCTCTGTCTTAGACTAATATAAACTATCCTAATGTTTTAATCTCATAATTAGATTTGTATATATATTATATAATTCTAACAATTATAGTTGGCCAACTGTTTTTAAACTTTTCTGTACTTATTTCTAAATCATCCTCCTGAAAGGCTGTAAAAATTTACTCTTTCCAGCAAGTATCCAGAAAATGTTTGCCCTCATATTTATCAATGTTGACAGACACTGAGGGTTGCCAACCCGAGAGCTATTTTCTACTCTTCTTGGAAACAGGGTTCCTACTGCATGGTAAAGTACCCTGGCATAGGGGGTGAATCATGATTTTTCTAAGGTATTTTTCATGGCAATCTTATTCCCCTTAAGTAAACATGTGTAGGGTAAATTATGTGAGGCAATTAAGGCTACTTAGCTGAAGGGGGAATCTGCTAGAGATTTTTAAAAAAGACTTTTCCTAATTGATGGAAGAGAGTTCCAAGAAAAAGCTCTTTTGCCTCATGACACTCCCATTCTTAATTACTGTTTTGTGAGTAGCTAACACTGCGGGTGACAAAGCCCACTTGTGACCTCCAATGATGAACCTGAGGGCAAAGGCCAACAGATGGAGGAAGGAAGAGAAAACAGGACAAAAACACTCTGTCCCTGCTGACATACATTTCTCGGCCATTGAAATAATGTTCAGACCACTTTATCTTGTGACATAAAATATGTGTTCATGGTTTAAACTACTTTGATCAATTCTAGAATATTCTTATCCTTTATCTTGACAATTACTTCTCCCTGTTCTCTCCTTAGGAGCAGATATTGGAACACTTTGGTTTCTCCTTGATAACTTTACTTCTTTCATTATTTTTTATTCTTTCTATTCTGCTTTCAGCATAATTTTGTCAGATTTATATTTAACTAATTCTTTTATATTTTAAACTTCAAAAACATATAAAATAATATTTATAACATATTTATAAGCCATTTACAAAAAATAATAAGCTGAACATCCTTGTTCCCCCCACTCATGTTAAGAAACAATATGACCTTAGTGGCTCTGCCAAAATCACAATCCCTCCCTTCTTCTGTCACCCAAGAGAGATAATCCCTATCCAAAATTCTCTCTTTGTATTTTGTGGGCTTTCTCTTGCTTTATAGTTTTACCACGTAGCATCTCTAATTTATGCTGTTTAGTTTCTTCACATATATAAAATTTTTATAAAGTTTTTTAATATAAATGGTACAATATTTGTGATTCTTCTGCAACTTGGTTTTCTTTCTCAATATTGTATTGTTAAATTTAATCCATGTTGATGCATGTAAATGTAGGTCATTTATTTTTAAAGTTGACTTTATTGAGGTATAATTTACACAGAATAAATGCACCCATTTTATATACTTTGATGATTTTTAACATATATGCATTTACATATATATATACCCACTACTTAATCAAGATATAGTCCACTTCATTACCCCCCAAGATTCTCAGTAAGCATTCATTTTTGCTACTGTATTCTAGTTGTTGAATATAGTACAAATTTTAGTTGTTGAATAAATATATTACAACTGTCTTGTGAATAAACATTTGGGTTGTTCCCAATATGGGTTATATATTGATGTTATAAACACTCAAAGACATGGCTCCTCACAATGCATGTAAATAAGAGTGGATTTGAAAGATTGTAGGGCATGCACATCTTCAACTTTACCAGATAATGTCATATTGTTTCCTAAAATGCTTGTACCAACATGTACATAAAATTCAGAGTATAAGAGCTTGAGTTTGATTCACATTCTTGCCAACACTTGATACTTTAATTTGGGTCAGTCTGGTGAGTGTAATTGTAATTTAAATATGTATTTCTATGATTACAAATTATTTTGAATATCTTTTTATTTTTTGAGATAGAGTCTTACTCTGTTGCCCAGGATCACTGCAACCTCCACCTCCTGGGTTCAAGCGATTCTCCTGCCTCAGCCTCAGCTGGGACTACAGGCGTGTGCCACCACGCATGGCTAATTTTTGTATTTTTAGTAGAGATGGGGTTTCGTCATGTTGGCCACGCTGGTCTCAAACTCCTGACCTCAGGTGATCTACCCTCCTCGGCTTCCCAAAGTGCTGGGATTATAGGCATGTGCCGCCACACCCAACCTGGTTTCAAATATATTTTTATATGTCTGTTGGGCATACAGACTTTTTCTTTTTTGAAGTGCCTATTTTGCTAATTTTTCTATTTAGTTGCTTGTTTTTTCTCATTGATTTATAGTAATTCTTTATATTCTCAATAATAATCCTTTGTCAAGCATATGTGTTGCAGATATACACTCCAGTTTTGATTAATGGTTTCACATTTGATGGTGTCTTATGGTAGGCAGAAGTTAATCATTTTAATACAGCTAGATTTCTTTTTTATAGTTTGTGTTTTTGCATCATAAGAAACTATTTCCTTCTTCAGGTTCAAAAACGCATTCTCCCACTTTCTCTTCAAAAAGTTTTATAGCTTTGACTTTCACATTTAAGTCTAAAATATTTAGAATGCAGGGATCCAATTTCATTTTCTTCTAAATGGACCATCAATTTTTTCTCTTCCTCACTGAGGAGCAAACTTCTGTTATATACCAAGTTTCCTTATACCCACAAGATTGTTTCTGGATTCCCTATTCTGTTCTAATGGTTTATCAATTGCTGTCTTAATATCATGTCTTAAGCACTATAGCTTTATAATAAGTTTTGTTATCTGATAATGCAAATTTTCTCCTGTTTTTGTTTTTAAATGTCTCTAAGCAAGTATTGACTTTTGCTCTTATTCTAGACACAGTTGTAGCATAGTATGAAACCTCTATTGGTGTATTTGAGGAAAGAGAGCATTTTCCTTGGATTTTCCCTCTGCCTCCTGTGGTAGAGTTGCAAAGGAGGAAGTAAAAGCTGAAAAATAACAGAAGTAGGGTCAGTGGCCAGACTGACTGACGCCACTGACCAGGCCTGAATGTAAAAGATTAACCCCCACCCTAACCGCATGTGCGGTTAAGCTCTGGTCGATTCCAGACATTGTATGGAGAAGCATTGTGAAACTTTCTGTTCTGTTCTGCTAGCCCTCACCACTGATGCATATAGCCCTCAGTCAGGTAGCCCACGCTTGCATAATCAATCATGACCCTTTCACGTGGACCCCTTAAAGTTGTAAGCCCTTAAAAAGGCCAGGAACTTTTTCTTCAGGGAGTTCTGTTCTTGAGACGCAAGTCTGCTGATGCTTCCGGCCGAATAAAGCCTCTTACTTCCTAAATCCGGTGTCTGAGAGGTTTTGTCTGCGACCCATCCTACTACATATTTATTTTATCTTTAAAATATTTTTAATTTAAAAAATTTGAGGGATAGACAGGATCTTGCTCTGTAGCCCAAGCTGGAGTACAGTGACACAATCATATCTCACTCTAGTCTCAAACTCCTGGGCACAAGTGATCCTCCTGCCTCAGCCTCTCAAAGTGCTGGGATTACAGGTGTGAGCTACTTCACTTGGCCTCTACTGGTATTTTCAATACAATTGCTAACTGGCACCTTTATAATATGGAGCCTTTCAGATATGTCTGTAGCAGGACAAGCTGCAGACAAAACCCCTCAGACACCGAGTTGTAGAAGGAAAGGCTTTATTCGGCTGGGAGCTTCAGCAAGACTCACATCTCCAACCACCAAGCTCCCGGAGTGAGGAATTCCTGTCCCTTTCAAGGGCTCACAGCTCTAAGGGGGTGCGTGTGAGAGGGTCATGATCGATTGAGCAAGCAGAGGGTACGTGACTGGGGGCTGCCTGCACCGGTAATTAGAACAGAACAGAACAGCACAGGGATTTTCACAGTGCTTTTCTATGCAATTTCTGTAATCTATAGATAGCATAACCGATTAGGTCAGGGGTTGATCTTTAACTACCAGGCCCAGGGCGTGGCACTGGGCTGTCTGCTTGTGGATTTCATTTCTGCCTTTTAGTTTTTACTTCTTTCTTTGGAGGCAGAAATTGGGCATAGGACAATATGAGGGGTGGTCTCCTCCCTTACATCCACTTTCTTGAATCCCTACTCCCATTTATTCAGTTCACACCATTATCATAAATCTATTCCATTACAAAATTCTTCCTAGTGTCCTGCTGTCCTTCAGCATTCCAATCTATTTTTTACATTGTACCTGGAAAAGCTTTGCTAAAATGTAACTCAAGTCATCTTCTACTTATCAATCTTTTATTGACTTCCCAGTGCCCCCAAGATTATGGCTAAACTCCTCAACTTGGTTCATCTTTATGAACCAGCTTCTGTTCTGGCCATCTTTTTCCAACCTACATCATCTTGCATTTCTTTGTGCTCCTGTCACTCTGAGTTCAGTTTTGGTTCCTCAAATCAACTGAAAGAAGGTTTTTCTGCTTTCAAGTGGAAGAAGAAAATGGCAATTTGAAAAATTTGCTCTCCCAAAGAGATTTCAGCCACAAATTCATTTGCATTTAAATCCTAAAATAAAGCACATCATTATTTCAGCATAAACTCTTAAAAGTCATGCAATCCAGCCGGGCATGGTGGCTCACGCCTGTAACCCCAACACTTTGGGAGGCTGAGGCGGGCAGATCACCAGGTCAGGAGTTCGAGACCAACCTGGCCAACATGGTGAAGCCCTGTCTTTACTAAAAATACAAAAATTAGCCTGTTTGGTGGCGCATGCCTGTAGTCCCAGCTACTCTAGAGGCTGAGGCAAGAGAATCACTTGAACCCGGGAGATGGAGGTTGCAGTGAGCCGAGAACATGCCATTGCACTCCAGCCTGGGCAACAGAGTGAGATTCCATCTCAAAAAAAAAAAAAAGAAAAAAAAAGAAGTCATGCAATCCATAACAACCTCAGGCTTTTCACCTTTATATAATTTTAATGAGCCGAAGGTTTGATTATTAAAACAACTATAACTCCTATTACTCTCTCAATCATAACAAATTGATCATAAATTCAATTTAACACACATATGTCAGAATACAAAGCACACAGTATGTTCTTTGAACCAGTAAATAAATGTCTTATTCTTTATCATAATAATTTCTAATTGTATAATGTTTGAAACTTTCACAATCTTTCTATCTTGGTGAACACTGGCAAAGACATTCTGGGAGTTATTCAGGAGAGATTCACTGCAGAAAGTACACAGCCATATATCAGAGAAGGGACACTTTCTAACAGGGATCCTTTTAGAACCTGACTCAAGATTCTTTTGTCTTTGAAATATCTAAGCAGCCAGCCAAACCAGAACAGCCAAACTCCAAAAGCCCAGAGTTTGACTGCACCACTGAGATCACTCAAGTAATCTCTACCCTCCTTTCTCTGCCATAAAAGCCCCACCCTGGGTTTCCCCTCACTTTGGTTCTTTCTCAAGTTTCTCACCAGCAGAGCTGAAGGAGAAGTGGTCTTTCATCCAGGTGGCTGGGGTAATATAGAGGAATCTGGGTATAAGGTTGCAAAGGCCATCAGGCCCCTTAGCTGCAATTCCCTCTTGTATCCTGCTTCCTCAAACCAGGGCTAGACCAAAGACTTCAAAATATGTGCACGCGCGCACACATACGGGTACCAAGGGTAAATTTGTAATTTGCCCTCTAAGCCCCAGAATTCAAGCTTTCTCATTCTTTCATGGGGACCATGTGAGAATTCTCCAAGATATTTGTGGGGGCCTTACCCACAAATATATAAATAGATAGATAATGGCTTTTACCTCCTTCATCTGTCCATAGCTATAAATGCCCACAGGCTTTGTTGGAGAGTTCTCCAGGCTGAAGGACAGTTTTCCTGAATGTGACACTAGCCGAGAGGTCAGAATTAATTACATTCCTTGGTGTCACCTGACCCACAGGAAACTTGCGTATCTTTGCCACCCCAAATTGTGAGACTACAGACTGAACTACTGCAAGTCTAATCGCCTCCCCTCCCCACCCCACCTTCCCTTTTATTTTCCTGATAAAGTAGGCAGAAAGCAGATGAACAAGTTTGCTGCCTAAATTAACACCCAATCTGGAAATAAAATACAAGTCTTTCCTTCCTGAAGGCATCTTCAATCACTACCAGTGATTCCTTTGGCAGAAAGCACAATTTTGGGAGCTAGTTCTACGACTTCTTAATCATCCTTCAAGTTAGGTCTGGGTGTGTGCATGGAGGCAGTGGGTGGTGGGGTTTTCTGATTCTAGTCATTGTCAGATTTCTTTAAAAAGTGAAGTACTTAGCGTTCCCTTGACCCATCTTTGACTCCTCCCTAGTTGCTGTTCTTTGAGTAATAGGAAAAGCCCAACACAACCTCCTGTTATACATAAATACAATTTTTTAAAACCAGCACATATATACATGATAGATGGAAATAAACAGTACTGCATACAGTAGTTGTAAGTATACACAAATAAAGATACCTTTGCATTGTATTCATATACCACGTTTATAGACATGTGAACTTGCTGCAAAACAAGCAGAAAATAGGAAGAGAAAATCAGGTTATCTACAGAATCACTAGTCATCAAATTCACGTTAAGAATAGGCAGTAAGATTTCATGATCTCAATAAAAATCTCAATAAAGCTGTTGCCCTAAAAAAATTTACAGTGAGACAATAAAACAGGGAGGTAAGGGAGGAAAGACAAATATTCCTATGTCTTAAAAAAAAGGTAAAGCAAGTTAGCCTCCTGGCACTGAATCATTTGCAGAAAAAAATAAAAATAGTTGTTCAAGTATATGAGAAGGCTTTGTACCAATCTCAGACATCCAATACTTTATATTTCTTAGAGAGAAAGTGAAGGCTTTGTACCAATCTCAAACATCTAATACTTTATATTTCTTAGAGAGAAAGTAAGGGAATTTAGTTCTCTTTTAATATGTACTCTTAATTCCCTCTTAATTTCTTCCAGACTACTTTAAGTTTTTATAGAAATAAATATAAAATCACCACATTGCCTTTTGAAATTAAAAATGGGAAACACAATACTTTATTCAATCAATAAAACAAACTGTAAAACATTTTAAAATCCCTTAGTTCTAGAATATGGTCAGATAAGAAAGAGGGCATATAATTTGTCAGTGGGAGAAATTAAACCACTGTCTTCTAAATCTATCCACCATGATAAGGTTTTTTGTTTTTGAAAAGCTGTAAGATTAAAACAAACACACAATAAAACATAATCCAATTAAGGTTTCAGGACTAAATATGAACCTTTCCTCTACTTTCAAAGGTTTGGAGGATCCTTGAAACTTCCATTACCAAAAGGTTAAATTATTAGTAACATTCTGAATCACTAAATAGCCTTCCTTTCCTTAACTTTGAATATCACATTTATTTGAAACGAAGCACTTACTGTAAATTGCTACCCTGTCTAGGAAAAGATATTTTCTTCATGGATTCTGTCATGTTTTGATGCTAAAGAACCTGTTTTATCGGACTAATTTGCTTTCGATTATTCTAAATGAGTTCACAGACACAAGAGCAGATATTTGTGGCATTTTTCTGAATCATCTCCAAACAAAATAGAGGTTGTTAAATCTAATTGAGGTGCCAATAATTTCTGACTTTGTCCCAGAGCACCTTAAAGGCAATCAGTTCTAGCAAAATCTAGAAACCACCTAACATAAACTTGTCAGTATGGCCCAATCGCCCATCCTTATGAAATCAGAATTTATCGGCCGGGCGCAGCAGGTCACGCCTGTAATCCCAGCACTTTGAGAGGCCGAGGTGGGAGGGTCATCTGATGTCAGGAGTTCAAGATGAGCCTGGCCAACATGGTGAAACCCCATCTCTACTATAAATACAAAAATTAGCCAGGCATGGTGGTGGGTGCCTGTAATCTCAGTTACTCGGAAGACTGAGGCAAGAGAATCACTTGAACCCAGGAGGTACAGGTTGCAGTGAGCAGAGATTGCACCAATGCACTCCAGCCTGGGCAACAGAGCAAGACCCTGCCTCAAAAATAAATAAGTAAATAAATTTATCAATATGAATCCAAGGCCATAACACCATTACAAAATAAGTGTTCCCTTCCATCTTTGTCTAAACATGCACCTACAAAACAAACAACATCAACTTCCAACCTAACCACTCTGGATCAGTTTAACAAACTTCATACCCTACTGACCTGTCCCCTGCATTTGAATTCTAAGCCTACCCCTTTGAATTCACTTCCTTTCACTGACCTTGTCTATTTCAAAGAAACCATCTCCCATCCTGAAGTTGTCCTACAATCTTAACATGCTAATGAAATACAAGAAGAAGACACAAAATATAAGATCAAATGTTTTAATATTAGAATCAACAGATTTAAAATTATATTTTAATAAATACGACAAATATGAGGAAAAATAGAATTATAAAAACTGTACACATTCTTAATTGAAAATATACATATAGGCAATTTATATAGAAAATTGCTGTTTCACTCATAACTTCTCATACTTCCATAACTGTAACTAGACAGAAAGTTTAAAGTGAAATAGCAAATTCCTCACACTCAATGCTTATATGCATACTTTGAACCAATACCTTACATATCAATATTTAAAGCTTTTAATGTGATAAGTGAGCTTGCTTCTTGCTTGTTAATTTGTCTAATCTAGGTTGGATTGATGACAATGCTACCCTCAGGGGATAATGTATATTTAAACTGTTTCTATGTTTTGTTTTAATAACACTTAAAGTAGAGAATCCGGTCTCACAGAGGTATGTTGAGGGGAAAAGAAGCAGCAATTTTAAAGCAATCTCAGCAAGCTCAGGATAGTCATTTTTAGCTTTTATCCAAAATGAAGGAAGTGATGCTGTATTTTCAAAACTGATTTTCAATCCTTCGTCGGTAGCCAGCTTCAACAACTTATCCTGTAGAGTTACAGTTAAATTTAAGTTATCTTTTGATGAAAGAAATGGATTTTGGATCCACAAATTTCCTATGCGTGGATCTTCTTTTGATGGAAAATAAAATTCAAAACATTCTAACAAATTTGTAAGATGTTCACTGATAACTTTTCGCAGATGTGCAATATCAAGATCATTACCTACTTCATTGATAATTGTTGTTAAATTATGAAACATGTCATAACAATCTGTAGAAATTCTGTTTTTCCAAGCTTCTAACTTCTGTTTTTGTCCTTCAACTTTATCTGCCATTGAAAAATAAGTTGCATTCTTCCCTTGCATAGAAGCATTAAGATCATTAAAAATACTGAAGATATCAGACAAATAAGCAAGTCTGGCTGTCCAATTCACATCTTTAAAAAGTTGGGACCACATGGGTTTCTTGCCTTGCAGAAACACTAAGAGTTCATTTCGTATTTCAAACATTCTTGACAGAACTTTTCCCCGTGATAACCACCGTATCTCAGCATGCAGTAACAGTTGCTTATGATCAGCTTCCATATTATCACATAATAAAGAGAATAATCTTGAATTCAATGAATTAGATTTTATATAATTCACAATTTTTACTATATCATTAAGTACACTATTTAGTTCAGCTGATATTTTTTTCATGGCAAGACTTTCTCGATGAATGAAGCAATGTGTTGTTTTACATTCTGGCGCAAGTTCCTTAATCTGGGTTACCACTTCAGAATGTTTTCCTGTCATTGAAGCTGCACCATCAGAACATACTCCTACACAAAATTTAAATTCCAAACCACATTTGTTAACAATATAATTCTTTACAGCTTCATACAGTTCTGAGCTAGTTGTGTTTGTAGGCAAAGAGGCTGAAAAAAAGAACTCTTCCTTTATATCATCATCATGTTCAAACCTCACATAGACTAAAAGAATTATCATGTTAGCAATATCTCTGCATTCATCAAGTTGCAATGAAAAATACTTTGCTAGTTTTATTTGTTCTATGAGTTGATCTTCCATATCATTAGCCAGTTCCTGAATACGTCGAGCTATGGTGTCATTGGAAAGTGGTACCTGAGCTACCTTCTTTGCTGCAGATTCACCCAACATTTCCAAGCAAACTTCTTTGATGCAGTCTTTCACTAGTGTCTCAGCAATTGTGTATGGTGTTTTAGACTTGGCAACCGGAAGTGCTACTTTATATGAAGCCCGCAAAGCACTAATGTTTATATGAGAAACGTTGAACACCTGCTTTGGTTGGCTTTTCAATTCACTACTCTTTCTTTCAAAGAATTCTTTTGGTTGTGAACTTATTTCTTTATGTTTTGAATATAAATGTCGCTTAAGTTTTGATGGTTTCATTGCTTCATTAGCCAGTACATCTCCACAAATAATACACTGTGGTTTTAGTACTTCACCATCAATTACAGCTACAAAACCAAACTCAATATATGAAGGATCATATTTCCGAGTGAAACTAGCATGAACTCTTTTGGTTTTCCCTTCTTCAGGATAACTTCTATTGTTAACATTTCTTTTATTACTACTACTGTGTTCAGAAAAGGCATGTCTTTTCTTGACAAAAAAGTCCAGTGAAGCTTGTTTCGCCATCTGAAATTAGGAATAAAAGTAAATAATATGAATTTTACTTTCCTCCTTCAGCTAACAGTGTTATACCACAAGTTAAAAACTAGATTTGATTAAAATAAAAAATTATTTTAAAGTTAAGTTATAAAAATAAATAAATGCCTATATTTTCTCAGAGTTTTATACATCTTTGGGTTATGGCTGATAAACGAAACATAAAGTATCACAGGTTGTAATGGGGACCTATTGTGTTTGACTAGTGTGTAACTGCCACCACATGTGACTCACCTTGAGAGTTTAACAATACCTAAATTGGTCTATATTCTATTCAGTAAGATGAGTCCATTAATCATGTGCTTGGATGTTGCAGTAATGTCAATTGTTATAAAGGTTTCTAAATATTTACGCTTAATTTTTATATTTATTTCCTTATGGACTGGAGTTTTTATACCAGTACTGCTCTACTGATCACATGTTGCGTACCACTAGTTTAAGTCATAAGTAACCTCCATATTTCAAAACATTAACCCTACTTCATAAAGCCTATTGATTTTAAATTTTTTTGGTTCTATTTCATGCTCTCCATTTAAATTCCCAAACTGAAGTCTTTCCCAACACAAACCCATATCTTCCAAGCAAATTTATCATCCCCTACCCCTACAAATACTTCTTCACTTGATTTGAGAAGAAGCATTAAAAGTAATTAGGCCTTCTTTGGGGGAAATATATCCAAGGTAATAAAAATGTGCTTTCATATACCTTGTCACACAACACTTATTCACAGTACACTGTAATGAGATTCTTCCCCTGCTTTCATCTACGGCAGATATTCAATCTTACCCAGTCTCCTACTTTGTCTGGTGAAAATGGTGTCCCTGATGGCTTTAGCATTTTGGAAGGTTTAACAGGCAAACTTCTTTGAATCTCATCATGTTTCCTCTTCATTGTGCTGGTTTCATAGCAAAGGCTACAAGTTATTTGCCGACCACAGCCCTCAGTCCCATGTTGAGAGGGCACTCCACAAATTGCATGGATATTTCCATCACATGATATACAACTATTAACACCTGTGCATTCTTTTTCACAAACTACACAGGATAAAAATCTTAGTCTGCTCTCAGGAGGGCTTTTTTCAGCCACCTTAGGAGTGACAGAAAGATTCTCTTCAATATCACTACTGTCTGTTCCAGTCTCAATGTTTTCTTCATACTGGGCTCTTAAAGTATTTTCTAACTCTTTGTCAGCCTGATCTAATTCATTTTCTGTATGCAAGCTGGCAACAAGTTCTTCAGTTAGCTGAGAATGGGACAAGCCCAGTTTAGCTTCAGAGCTAAATGCACTTTCACATGGAGTCTGTTGCATGCTTCTGTGATAGGGCTGATTTTGGGACATCTGAATGAACCACAAAAATTCAGTCCAGTGTGATGAGTTGTTAGTTTGCATCCAGGAGAAAATCCTCTTTCGGATATCCTCAGTTTGTTCTGCAGAACTCTGGCTTTGGCAGGTCTGAGACTTCCCATGGACAATTTTCAATTCTGGCCAAATATTACTGAGTTCACTGACAACCTGGCTTGAAAATTCCCTCCCATTGTCAGATTGTAGGACACTGGGTGCTCCAATAATTGTAAATATATCTAAAAGAGCATGTGCAACTTCCGTAGGCCTTTTAGACTTTAATGACCGCAAAAAAGTTAACTTTGTACAGAGATCTTGATAATGCAAAATAAATCTGTACTCCCCATCAGGATTCAACTGCATGTCTATAAGATCTACTTGGCATCTTGAACTAACTTCCTTAATTGATTTTGATGTTAGAACCTTCTTGAGTTTTGAATTTTTCTGTTGGCATGGTTTACAGAGGGTCAGATACAGCATTATAACTTCTTTTGTGATGTTCTTGTATTTCGCTTGTAACTCTTTCTCCATGCGAGTACGTCCACCATGTCCAATGCTGAGATGTGTATTATGCAGAATGTCAAATAAGTCCTCACTGTGTAAGTAATACCGTATTTTATCTGTTTCCCCATTTACAGCCTCAATTAGCTTCTCATTTCCTTGTACAAGGATAACATCAAATCTAGCCAAGCGACGGTAGTCAACTGATTCCTTTTTCGCCTTAGCTTTAGCTTCTTTCACTTCCTTTATCAACTGACAGTACTTTGCTTTAGAAAATATCTTAGTATTATTACTTTTGTTTTCCAGTAACCTTGCTAAGCTTCTGAAGAACTTTTCTCTCATGTTTTCTGGTTCAATTTCTGCTTCATTAGTATCTAAGCTACTGAGGTTATCACCACCCATGCTTTGAGACATCATGGAAAACCACAAAAATGACCCTAAAAACAAAGGAAAAAAATCAATTAGAATATTCAGGAATATAATTTAAAAGACATATATTGCCAAAGGAGCCAGTAGTGCTTGAGGTAGAAGTAGGGAATATGGACACACAAAAGGGGATACCATTTTCTTTCTTTTTTGAGACAGAGTCTCACTCTGTTGCCCAGGCTAGAGTGCAGTGGCACAATCTCAGCTCACTGCAACTTCTGCCTCCTAGATTCAAGCAATTCTCCTATCTCAGCCTCCCGAGTAGCTGGGACTACAGGTGCGCACCATGACACTTGACTAATGTTTTTATTTTTAGTAGAGATGGGGTTTCACCATGTTGGCCAGACTGGTCTTGAACTCCTGGTCTCAAGCAATCTGCCTGCCAGCCTCAGCCTCCCAAAGTGCTAGGATTACAGGCGTGAGTTACTGCACCAGGCCAGGGGGATACCATTTTGATTAAGGAATCCAACTTTGGTGGAATGAAGAGCGTAAATGAAACTCCAGCCAATAACAAAAAGTTTCAAACAATAAAGAGCAGAAAGCCAGGACATGAATTTCCAGAGCAGTTTTCAGGATTGAAGCACTGTTTTATGTAAAATAGGATGCAAATTAACATTTACTTGTTTGTTTACTATGCAAAGACTTTTTTTTTTTTTTTGTATTTTTAGTAGAGACGGGGTTTCACTGTGTTAGCCAGGATGGTCTCGATCTCCTGACCTCATGATCCACCTGCCTTGGCCTCCTAAAATGCTGGGATTACAGGCGTGAGCCACCACACCCGGTCTCAGACTTTTTTTTTTGGAGGAACCTCAGCAAGACAATAATAGATTTTTAAAAAAATCTCCACACTACACATTTTCTCTTTTATTCAGTCAGGTTAGCTATTACATCAACATTTGAGGAGTAAGTTCCAACCTAATATATTCATATCAGCTCCCTTTTAGGGCTATTAACTACAAACTCAATACAAATAGCTTCATTACTAATTTTAATAAGAGTACTGGATGAGTCAAAATCAGTGAAAAATTTCTGACTTAATAAAGCTTATTAAAAGAAATTTCTAGAATACTCATAATAACAGAAACACTAAGAATACTTCAAATTTGGCTAAGTGTTAAGGAAAAAAACTATTTTGGAAAAAGTAAAAAATAATAATTTGGAATTAGCATAACATCTCTAGATAGTTTTATAGTTGCTTGGAAAAATACTTTCACTCAAGTCAACATCATTTATACTATCAATTTGCATACCAAATAGTGAGACAGAGCAGGGACCCCTCTTAGGGGCCTGTCAGCCACCCCTAACCCCAAGCATGGTAATAACAGAAAATCTTGAGTTCCTTCAAGGGAAATTCCAGGCATCTAACTATCTTTAAGAAGTAAATGAGCAACTTGATAAACAAGAAGGTAATACCTTAAAACAACATCCAAAAAAGTTAGTCATGAGATGTTCCCTATATTAACTAAAGATAGCATCTTAACATATATCCCTAAGTTGTTTTTCAGAAACCCATACCTCCACCAAATGGATCCACTGGTCTGAAGACCTCAGATAATGGGGAACTGAGGACTGAACTCCAACCGCTGCTTTGTTCTAAAGTTCTTCCTGTGGGGCCTGGAAGAAGTCACACCCGCAAGCCAGAGCTAACCTTTTTTTCTGCTGATCCCAAATTTTCAGACAAAGCTTTGCCTCCTTAACCAATTGCAAATCAAAAAATCTTTGAATCTACCTATGACCTGTAAGCCCCTTCTCTGAGATGTCCATCCTACCTTTTTAGGTCAAAATAATGTACAGTGTCCACGTATTGATTTATGACTTTGCTTGTAACCTCTGACTCCCTTCTTTTAAAAAAACTTTACTTGCAAACCATTGGGGAAACTGGGTCTTAATTTTGAGGGGACCAATTCTCCTTGCTTGACACTCTGCAAATAAATGCCCTCTTTTCTCCTGTTGATGTGGATGTTTGGCTTTCCTGTGCCAGGCAAGTGAACCCGTTTGGTTCTGTAGCAGTAATGAACTACTAAATTTAAATCATCTAAAATGTTTATATTTTCTAAAACTAGGTTAAAATTAATGATATGTTACTGTGTGGTTTGGCCTCATTTAACTCTCAATTGTTCCAGTAAGGCTTCTTTGATCATTAAATTTAAACTCACAGTGAGTTTTCCTTTCCTGAAAATCATTATCTATTTATAACACAAGTTAGCACTATCGCAGTTTTTTCTTTAACTGTTTTATAGGTAGATGCAACAAGACTGTAAGTTTCTAAAGAAACAGAGATCACTTATTTCTCTAGTATCTTTCACATTATCTAACACGTTACTACATCTAGTGTTCAATAGAAAATTGTTAACTTTATAATAAAATAACAATAATGGTAAGTGCTATCTCAAAATGTGACTGAAAAAGACCATCCTATGGATAGCATTTCTTTCCATACTGATCCATTTTGTGCCATGCTATAGAACTAGAAGCAGAGAAGGAAAATAAATAAGAATGAATTAGAAGAAGAAATACAGGGCAATGTCAAGAGAACCAGGAAAATATGAGCCCCAGAAGTTTGTAGAATCAATATTAATGTCTAAGAAAATTGTTAGGGCTATAAGAGGAGAAAAACATTGTATCCATTTTACCTAATCCTTTTTAAATGGAAAAGATAGCTGTTCCAGAACCAGGCCAGACTCCACCTCTACTATACATTATACCAATAACAGACCTTAGAACACTAATAAACATAGACTTCAGAAATTCCATATTCTAAGGTAGAATTTCCAAATAGTATTTCCAATGTATACACAGTCATTATGTGACAAAAATTGTGGTCAGAGGCTACAGCAATGGGACCCATGACTACACTGACAAGTGCTCAGTATTTACATACAGAGGTATCTGATTTATCCACAGGTACTTACTAACTTCATTACAAAGTATCCATGAAAAATCTTGTGTTCAAGTATTTTTGACATTATTATCTGACTGTTTTAATTCAACTCCCTTAATAACATTACACTATACTGATTGGCTTTTCCTTCAACTATTAATACATTCAGTAGAAGCTGAAATGGAATGAGGTTTGATAACTTTCAATACTAGACCCTTCATTCTCCCAAGTCTCACCTTCTTTCTTAGAACTAAATTATTCTCACCATTATCTTGAAGTGGGTGTGGCTCTGGAGATTCACATTCCATTCTATCTTCCATAGACTGAAGCTGGGTGCCTAAAGACTCCTTTGCAGAATCCAGAGGGATCATTTCTTCCATAGAAACTTCCTGCCCATATGTGCCCTGTGAGACCTGTGGACAAGTAGGTGCATTTGGTAAACAATACAAATAATTGTAGTTTGTCATAGCTAAACTTGTATTCTTCCACTAAAATAGAATGTAAGAAGAAAATCAGTCTTTACTGAATTCTTAAGTACAAGATAAAACATGAAGAGAAATGAAAAATGCTGGGACTAATAAAGCCAGAGCCATACAACAGAAACTGATGTCTCTATAGGACAGGAGTTAAAACGCATCCCTTTGGTTTCTGTTTCTGGGAATAACAATGAAAGCACGTTAAAGAAATATCTCCTAAACCGTGATGACTGAAAAAAATTGTAAATGAGTTCCAGTGTGGTTAATTAAAAGTAAATATTGGGCTGGGTGCAGTGGCTCATGCCTGTAATCCCAGCACTTTGGGAGGTCGAGGCAGGTGGATCACCTGAGGTCAGGAGTTCGAGAGCAGCCTGGCCAACATGGAGAAACCCTGTCTCTACTATTAATAATGCAGATTCACCAGGCCTAAGAAAATGTACAAATTGTTAAAGGATTACAGAGTTATTAATGGTTACACTTACGCTACATCGAGTTGGAAAATGTCCATGGATAGTGAATCCCAAAATTGCACATAAACCAGAATATTCTAAAAGGGAATATCCAGTGACATAGGAGGAGATGAAAGCCTACATATTATTAGAATATCATGTTGGGATTTAAGATTCTGTGTCATGCTCCTTTCCTCCAACTTGGATACCACATAATAAATTTATTCTTGCCGGGCATGGTGGCTCATGCCTGTAATCCCAGCATTTTGGGACTAATAAAAGGAGGCCAAGGTGGATGCATCACCTGAGGTAACGAGTTCGGGACCAACTTAGCCAACATGATGAAACCCCATCTCTACTAAAAACACAAAAATTAGCCAGACGAGGTGGTGCACGCCTGTAGTCCCAGCTACTCAGGAGGCTGAGGCAGGAGGATCATTTGAACTCAGGAGGCAGAGGTTGCAGTGAGTTGAGATCATGCCACTGCACGACAGAGCGAGACTCCGTCTCAAAAAAAAAAAAAAAATTCTTAAACTGTGCAAAGCACATTTCAAAAAATCATTTTCTCAAAATTCATAAAATGGTTAAGCCAGTTCCCTTTGGTATGTTTTTCCCTTCTCTGAGCTTAATAAGGTATCTTATGTAAATTGCTTTGTATAATATAATAGCATGCATTTCAATTTGTCTAAATCTTTGCATAACTGCCAGAAACAGAATCTGTGAAAGAGGGCCACCTGCTGTTTATAATTAAACAATGTATCAATTCTGTAATGTTAGTATACACAATCCCAGCTTTTGGAGCAACTAAGAAACAAAATATGGATATGGTTCATTGTGCTGAATTATTCACTGACTCTCCCCCACCCCCCCACCCCCCCAAGCACAAACACAAATCTAGTCTCTTGATTCCTCTACTTTTCCACCAGCTGGACTAGACCAAAATGGGTGGGCCTGGTCTTAGAACCGGGAGGAACTCCACTTCTGCCTCTACCACAGAAGTTTGAAGAGTACCTTGGGTAGTGGTAATAAATTACAAAACTGAAGTTACTTCAAACTGGTCATGACAGTCATTAGTCTTTCAGTATTCAATTCCTGGGTTTGATTTTTTTTAACGCTGGAAAGAAGCTGAGTGCAGTAGCTGACATCTGTAATCTCAGCACTTTGGGAGGCCGAGGTGGGAGGATTGCTTGAGCTCAGGAATTCGAGACCAGCCTGGGCAACATAGTGAAACCTCATCACTGCCCAAAATACAAAAAATTAGCCAGGCATGGTAGCACATATCTGTGGTCCCAGCTACTCAGGAGGCTGAGGAAGGCAGATTGCTTGAGCCTGGGAGGTGGAGGTTGCAGTGAGCCAAGATCGTGCCACTGCCCTCCAGCCTGGGTGACAGAGTGAGATTCCATCTCAAATAAATAAATAAAAATGCTGGAAAGAAACTTTTGGTTGTAATATGGTAGAGTAAATATTGCTGTGTTCATTAGAAATGCACATATTTCCAATAAATTCGAACATCTAACTTACAGTGGCACAAACAAATAGGGGTTTATTTTTGTTACATAACAAGAAGCCTAGAAGAAGGTAGTTGCTGGCACCAACTCATTTATCTAACAGTTTTTCAGGGACCCTAGCTGTCTTCATATTTCTGCTCTGTCACTTTTAACACTAGCATTTGGCCTCATGCTTACCATCACTTAATGGTCAGAAGATGGCCAGATATCATATTAGTGTTCAAGACTGGAAGTGAGAAAAGGTGAAACTAAAGTAATCTCCCCTATCCTATCAGGAAAATAAAAGCTTCCCCAGGAACCTCCTCCCCGAAATATGCTTATTTCTCCCTGGCCAGAATTCTGTTGCATAGTTAACTCTAGAACAAGGAAGCCTGGAAAAGAATTTAATTAGATATATTGCCAGTATGAACAAAACCAACATTTTGTCGGGAGGAAAGAAGGGTAGAATAGACACTGGGTTGGCAGCTAAAAGTGTCTGCCAGTGGTATTTCCCCTGTGGGGGAAATCACACAAAAACAAGAAAAATGAGAAACATTTATACAAACTTGATATTCAACAACACTAAGAGATATTTATAACTCTGACCACATTAAAAAAACTATCAAACATGATCAGCGTATAACCTGAACAATACCCAAGGAACTGACCAAACACCAAGTCCTACCAGAAGCTACATTTTTCAACAAAGCTAGAAGGGGAAATTTTAAAGCAAGCTTATCCACCCTGCAGCCTGCAGGCCACTTGCAGCCCAGGACAGTTCTGAATGTGGCCCAACACAATCTTGTAAACTTTCTTAAAACATTGTAAGATTGTTTTGTGATTTTTTTTAAGCTCATCAGCAATCGTTAGTGTTAGTGTATTTTAGTGTGGCCCAAGACAATTATTCTTCCAATATGGCCCAGGGAAGCCAAAAGATTGGATACCCCTATTCTAAAGTAACAGGCATATCTTAAGGGGGAAAAAAACTACAGTATTTGTTATTTAAAGCAAAGAGAAAAGGGTGTGCTGACTAGACGTGAGAAACTGCTTATATAGGCATTTGTGCTGCAACATAACATATGAATGTATTAAAAAAACATGCTTTCTGCAAAACTGCAGAAAAGTGACAGGATTTATGGGGAAAATACGGTTAAAGGGTGGACTATTTTAACACCTACACAACTTTGTCACTAGAGCATTATTAAAACTATAACAACTCCCGGCTGGCGCACGGTGGCTCACGCCTGTACTCCCAGCACTTTGGGAGGCTGACGCGGGCGGATCATGAGATCAAGAGATCGAGACCATCCTGGCCAACATGGTGAAGCCACGTCTCTACTAAAAATACAAAAATTAGCTGGGCGTGGTGGCGCTTGCCTGTAAATCCCAGCTACTTAGGAGGCTGAGGCAGGAGAATCGCTTGTACCAGGGAGGCAGAGGTTGCAGTGAGCCAAGATCCTGCCACTGCACTCCTGCCTGGGGACAGAGTGAGACTCCGTCTCAAAAAATAAAAATAAAAATAAAATAAAATAAAAAACACTATAAAAACTCTAGTAAAAATATAAGACATTAATAAATCTTACTTTAAGTATAGGATTTTACCTTAGAAAGGTGATGTTATCTTGTTAGAAACAAGTGTGAGGAAAGGGGGGGCAAGGGTGGAAGGATATAATCATCAAAAATTCAAAGGTGGGTCGGGCACGGTGGCTCACGCCTGTATTCCCAACACTTTGGGAGGCCGAGGTGGGCGGATCACGAGGTCAGGAGACTGAGACCATCCTGGTTAACACGGTGAAACCTCGTATCTACTAAAAATTAGCCGGGCGTGGTGGCGGGCGCCTGTAGTCCCAGCTACTCGGGAGGCTGAGGCAGGAGAATGACTGAACCCCGGAGGCAGAGCTTGCAGTGAGCCGAGATCGTGCCACTACACTGCAGCCCAGGGGACAGAGCGAGACTCTGTCTCAAAACAAACAAACAAACAAACAACAACAACAACAATTCAAAGGTGGAAAGATATAATCATCAAAAATCCAAGTGAAGACGCTTGAACATTTGATGTTATATTCTTCCACCCTTGGATATAGTGATACTACAAGAAACATGATGTGGGTTCCCGTTTATCATCTTGTTTTTATTTATTTGACACTGGCTTATAAAAAGATACCCAGTGTTTGCTGTTTTAACACTTTCCTTCTTTCATAAAGAAGCTGTTTATATGGGTCCAATTAGGGCTTTATGTCATGAAGTGAAATCATGCTGCGTTCTGCATTGTAGTCATTATCTTTTATCTACTCCAACTGCTTCTCTATCATACTTGAAGCAGAAGATAACTGAGAAGTGAAAAGCTCTTGGGAGGCAGCTTGTAGCTTGTGGAACTGCATGTTCTTCTTCCTCCACACCTTCCATTTGTGCCTCAGCAACTAACTTGCAGCTCTTCTGTAGAAAGATCCTGTGTGTCAGATTGCAGCAGCTCCGCATTATCCTCACTAGCAACTTCTTCAAATCCAACCCCCTTTGCAAGAGCGATACAGCTTGGGTTGGTTTTGGGGAGATCTTCTGAAGGCTCAAAGGCTTTGGAATCATAAATTAAATCAGGGAGAATTGTATATCACACCCCGTGCAAACAGGCTTTTGTGAAATCATTCCAGGCCTCTACAATAATATCAATAATAAGTTTAATGTTGAATCATTTACAGAATTCAAAAAATGTTAGGGCACTGTCACCCCCTGTATAGGCAACCAATATCTTGAATGTTTGCTTTAAATAATAAGCTTTAAAGATTGCAATCACACCATGATTAAGGGGCTGCAGTAAAGAAGTTGTATTGGGAGGTAAAATGAGAACTGTGATATTTGAGGAAAGCTCAGTGACTACTGGAGGGTGGCTTGGTGTATCACTGAGAATTATAAGAATTTTAAAAGACAATTTTTTTCTCTTGCAATGTTTTATTTTTTTTTAATCTACAAAAAAATCACCCGAAAGATCAGAAAATATCTGCCCTGTCATCTAGTCTCTCTTGCTAGACCTGTAGTAGGCACCAAGGCTAGTCTTTACAATTCATTTTAAAGCTTATAGATTGGCAGAATGATAATCACAGGCTTTAGCTTTAAAATTCCACTGGCATTTGCACCCAGCATCACCATCAGTTGATCCTTTGTAGCCTTAAACCCCACAGTGTGTTTCTAGAGTACTTCCAGTCCTGCTTACTCCATTCTGGATCAATGCATCCAAATTCTCCACATATCCCCTTGAGGGCATCTGCTTCCAATAGAGACTGGTTTCATAAAAAGTAAAAATCTGAGCCAGGGGATGGCCTTCCTTATCAATCTAATTTCTTAATGAGGGGAAAATGTCTTTGCAGCTTCTTCATCTGCACTTACAGCCTCGTCTGCACAGACAGTTTAACACTGTGGAAAGTACAGTAGTTCTTGAAGATACTAAACCAGCCACTACTTCCACTAAATGAAGGCACTTCTGCGGGACTTCCATCTTTTTTTCTTAATGTCTCCATACATTGTGAAGGTATTTTCTTTAACTCTGAGAAAGACTGCATTGGATTGCTTCCTTGTTTGGTATTCAATCCACACACTTAACAAATGCTCCATTTCCTCCATTTCCTTATTCCTTGTTCCAACAGATTTCATAACACTGGCAGTTGTTCCAGCTAGATAATTTTATTTTTCCCATCATTGTCTCTAATTGTACATACATTTACTCCTTTATGCCAGTTGCATGACCAATCTCACAGTTTCTTTTCTTTCAAAACACTGTATAGTTTCAAACTTGTCTTCAATTGTTAAAGCTTTTCTTCTTTTATACTCACTAGCAGAAATTTTATCACAAGCACACTTCTATGGCACTTGCAAAACCCTCTGCTTGCTCCTTTTCTGGAATACAAAAAACTTTAGCAAAAAATACACAAAGATGGGAGGGAACAATGTAAATAAGTGCTTCCAAGACAGCCAGAGGAAGGATGTGGGGGCAAATGGGAATTATGTACAGTACTGTATGTATTCAGGACTTGCTGTGCTCAGCTACATCAGATACTCTGAATTCAGCTACTCCCACCTGGTGGCCCCAAACATCAACTTGCTGGGAAAACTCATACATGAGCTTACACAATTTCAGCATTATACTGACTCATTTCTGGCATACTGACCTCATTTTAAAAGATTTTGCATTCCAGAAACATGCGTTTTTAACAGATCAGACTGTATACATAAAGGGTTCACATTCTGAAAGAGTTCAGATAAATGTATGAATAGTATCACTAAAAAATATAAGAATGTCTGGCAATATCCACAATGTTCTAAAATTACTGTCAAAGAAGGCAAATATACTCCTTTAGAAACAACTCCACTGTAATGGCAAAAAGCTTTTAAAATTCTTCTAAAAATAATTTTGAGCTCAAAACATTTTACATACCAACTCTAGATACTGAAAAGAACCAAGGAAATCATGCAATTAGTATTTTCATTGTACAGATGAAGACATTAATGTCCCAGAGAAGGTGTAATATGCCCAAGGTTACACAGCTAATTAGTAACAGAGCCTAGATAGCTTCAAAAGACAGTAATTTTTTAAAAAAAATTTACTATTGTATATTTCTTTAATCTCATAGTCACTACATAAAATATATTTTCTACTGGTAAAAAATAGATCAAGCTTTTCCATTTGGTTAAATCATTTAATTATTTGTATCATACACAAAAACTGTTATCTCATATGCACGCATCTATTCATCTACACCAGTGATCAAATAAGAAATAATGCCCCAAACCAGGGTTTCCAACCACCAGCGCGAAATTACTCCCATTACTCCATTCTGGATCCATGCACCCAAATTCTCCACAGAAGATGGCACCTCCAATTTCTCACCTGCTGTCTAGGTTCATCAAGCTCCCTCTCCAAATCTTCCAGCAAAGTCACCACCTCTTCTCCACTCTCAGGATTATGCTCCCGCACCCAAGACTGGAGCTCCTCAGGCAGGATGGTCAGGAACTGCTCCAGCACCAACAATTCCAGGATCTGCTCCTTGGTATGTATCTCTGGGTTCAGCCACTGACGGCAAAGTTCCCGCAGTTGACTCAGAGCCTCCCTGGGCCCAGGTGTCTCCTGATAGCAGAACTGCCTGAAGCGCTGACGAGAGAGTTCCCTGGTATAAGACAAATTCCTACGTAGGGCTGATTCCTGATCCCAAGTGTGGTCTTCTTCTTTAACCTTTACTTTGATAATCTCCCCTTGTTCTTCTGGAGCCTGGCCAGCCAAGGCTGGGAAGACCCTAGAGACTGCTTCCATCCCGAGCTTAGACAGCTCAGGCAAAGGTTCTCTCCAGTTGGGGTCTAGGCAAATGGGTGATTTTACTTGAGCTCCTTTTTTGTTCTTGGTCAGGAAAGTTTTTGATATAAGAAAACACTCAACACAGGACAACTACAGACTCAGTTTAAAAGGACTTGTTTACGTGACAACACAGGGCAGTTACTCGGGCAATTCCATTGAAAGTGAAGCCATCCTCTGAAAAGACCAGAAATAGTGAGCACAGAGCGACTCACTAAAGCTTCAGGGTCACAAATTGAGCGGCAAGATACTTGCGAGACAGAAAACCGAGGTTATGACGGATACTTTGGCCCTAAATAAAGCCTGGGTGTATGAGCCTAGGCAAGGAAACGAAGATCGGAGCAGCCTGGGCGAGGGCGGAGAGGGAGAGGGGCTCACAAGCTGCCTGGGGAAGAGGCCCGATTGTCGCCGCGCACATGCACCCTTCCCTCGGCCGCAGCTCCCACCTCTGAGGAGCTCAGACCCTGTGGAACCCAGACTAGTGGGTCGAGGGAAACACTCTACAGCTCAGGTGGAGGTTCCGCAGACACACCCGCAGCTGTGCCCGTAGGTTCCGGCCGGGCCCGGTGAGCCACGCTCACTTCCGGTCCGCTCTAGGATTCCAGGTGGTGCCGTCTTCTCACTGGTTGTGCAAACACCTACGGTACCAGTAATTCTGGGGAGGCAAGTACTCTGGAAACGACGGAGAATTAACTCCGGAATTACCTAGTTATCTGGCATCACGGTGAAAAGAGTTCCACAGTGTGAGTAGTGCTGGAGTAGATGCTGCTGGTCTGTGTTTTCCTGTCACCGTGATAAACCATCGCTGGCACTCAGACCCGTGGTGCTCACCGCAGCGACCTGAAACAAAATGGAGAGGAGCATCCCTAAGGACTACCACGTCAGCGAATCTGTAGGATCGTCCCCCGCCTTTCCTCGTTAATTTCGGGCCACTTTCACCTTTCCCTTTCACCCTAAATCAGACTTAAAAAGAAATGTAAGAGTTAGTCCATTGTTTCCATTTTACGGATTAGAAAACCAAGACCACCGAGAATGAGCCTCAGTTGTTTAGTCACGGAGCACAGAGCCGTGACTAAACAACTGTGGGAAACTGGTCCCAGAAATCTAACAAAATCTGGACGGCTGATCAGCGCCTAGCGAATCACTGGAGTGGAGTAACCAGAACATTCTTTTCAAGCAGTCACTGGGTTCCTCCATACCTCTGGTAGCGCAGAGATGCCCAAGGAATATTTGTTGAATTGCTGCCTGGTTCCCTTCTCCATTCTCTGTTTCCTTCTGCTGTGGTCCTCATGTTGATTTCTCACATTTTGGCATTTCTGAGTAGAGAGTCTTTGAATAATCAGAACATCTCTTTTAGAAATCTCTAAATAAAAAAGAAATCTTACGCTTAGAGTCCGTGAATGGTCTTGAGTAAAATTCTGTATAAAATTTTTGTCTGTGTGCCTGTGTCATCCAACCCTGAAAAGATCATTTTCCCAGTCACTTTTAACGTGCTGAACTTATCTTTTGTTTCCCCCCCTAACTATCCTTTGCAATCAGGGATTCTACTACCTTTTTCTCATTCTGCAAGGCAGTGATCTCTGCCATGCTGAGCACAGTAGGCAGTTAACATGGAGTAAGCATGACTTCTAAGTCCTTTACTGACGAGCCTTACTGTTTTGTTTGTTTTGTTTTGTAGATTTGCATTTGTTAATTACTACAACAGTGATAGACACTTATAAAAAAAGTCAAATATTTAAAAAGTCAACGTGGCAAGAAGTGAAGTTTCTTCATCCTCAGTTCCATTCCTCAGAAAAATTGATGCCGAGTTTGTTGTATGTACCTCCAACCTATTTTTAAAATGTACATACAAAATTGAGTACAATATTATTATGTACAAATATAACTGAGTCACAATTATAACTCATTATAATTTGCAAAACTTAAATCATACTAGACTACAATTCACCAAGTTACTGGGCTTTTTTGGTTTGTTTTAAACTTAAATCCTCCCCCAGAAACTGCCAAGCCAACATGTGTTACATGTCTATCCCATTCTTTTTAGTGGCTGTAGAAGAGACTATTTTGATAGATATTGCTAAAAGATCTGCACCCCAGAGGGATGTTTATCGTGAGTCTCGCTAAAGTGTGTTAAGATCCTTTCCTTGCGCTGTGCTTTCCAAGGCCTTGGGAAGAGGTTGCTCTGTATGAAACATATTTTGTAAGATTTGCAAAAGTATGCTAGTATAGTGAAAATTAGTTAAGACAGCTTCCTCTCCCTACTCCAGCTTATCCTCAGATACATCATACAGGCCTTAGAGTACCCATAATTTTATGTTGATAACAGCTGTTCTTTTTCTTAAAGAGGACTTTCTAAATTGTTAAGTTTCAGACCTCACAAATCTGCCCCGGTTGATTTCTGGAAGCTAATTTATGCTCCCAACAAAAGCGCAGGAAAGAGTGAAGAGATCTCCCTGAATTTTATTTTGACAGTTACTCCTTCTTCAGCAGCAAAGCGTCAGCTTTCCTGTCAGCGTGAGTCTCACTGAAGCCTGACCTAACTCTTTCGGATCGGAACTAGAAAGTTTATTATCAAGGAGGTATTTAACCACGACTATACTTACCTACTGTACCCTTGTGGTTGGTCCCATGGTGTAATGGTTAGCACTCTGGACTTTGAATCCAGCAATCCGAGTTCGAATCTCGGTGGGACCTTTCAAAGGTGAACGTTTTACAGTTCCTGGCTTGGCCTCTGAATGTGGGAAAAATTCGTTCCTCCGCTTCCCATCGAATTCTCGTCGAAAACAACTTTGTGGTCGCGTGCACGGTATTGAACTCTCCCCTTCTATCCAAGCATGAAAGTACCAAGCTCTTTCGCCTAGAAGAACGCTTTCAAAGCGTATCAAATTCACGGGTTTGGAGACAAAGAGAAAGATGCTGCTCTTATCGACTTACGAAAAGCTCCAGCAGCAACGTGGAAACCCAATTCCTGTGATGGAGACAAACGCTTCCTCAAAATTTCCTAGGTTCGAAGCCCTCCTCGCTGCCACAACCAAGTCCTGCGTGTAAAGTGGCTGAGCCTTGGTCTCGGGCGTGTTTCTTTTGTTTGTTTTTTTGTTTGTTTTTTTTTTTTTTTTTCGCTGTGGACCTTGCGCCCCGGGTTACTTCTCGCCCCTTTTCCCTATCCCCCATCTTGATGAGACAATTCACCCTCATCTGCTTTCTCTAGTCCCCTGTACTTCTTAGTCTCTCCGCTCACCCCGACTGCAACGTCTGGAAATCCCTCCAAAGCCAGCAGCCCCGGAGGGCTCGGGTCCCTGGTATCCACGGCGTCGAGTCTTCCAGCCGGAGAGAAAAACTCACCTAGGACCGGACCTGGGCCTCGCCGCGCTGGGAGCTGGCATTCCCAATTCAGGACCAGACACGGTGGAGGGGCCCTACAACTTGTGTGGGAGACAAGGGAGATGGGGGTAAAAAGACCTCTGCCTTCAGCCGTTCGCCTGGCATCTCGCCTCTTCAGCTCCTAGTACCAGGGTGAAAGGAGGGGGCTCCCTGACCGAGTCCTCCCCAGACACTACCAAACACTCGGTCCGAAGCATCCGGGAAACAGTCCCTTGGAGCTGAAGGTCAAGAACAGAAAATGTAGCCGCTATCTTGCCTCCCCTGAACTGTGTGTGTAGACGAGGATTGAATTGGAGATAGAGTTGATGAAACCCGGAAGGTCTGGAAAATTCCTTATAGACACTAATTTAGCTGTTAGAATGAGGTGGGAAATGTGAGGTGTCAAGGTGAGGGAAAGGTGTGCCCTAGAGGACAGAGAGGACAAGAACTAAATTAGAAACAAGTATTTGTGTTTCGTACAAATTAATCTCTTCTATGATGTAAGAGACAACCTTTAAATCCAATTATTTATTTTCAGATTTCTTACTTTGACATTTTGATTTTCGCATACATACCAAAAAACCAAATCGAATCCTACTTTCACCAAGTCCATTAAACCATTAATAATTCATTAGCTCATATTTTGAATTACCATTGGTTACACAGAGACTCTGTAACTAAGTTTACAAAATTCATGAAAGCATTATTTTGGCTCCCGTTATGTGTGCTTGATTGTACTTCATATGGTCTGTAATGGTGCTAATTGCAGAGGGAAATAACATTTTCTTGTGGTGTTGCCTTAGCTAGTGTGGCCCCACCTTCTTTCCACTTTGTTGATGTTAGCGTGATGAGATCTCACCCAAAGTGTTCTCCCTTTTCCTAATGGCCTAACAGCCTCTTCTGCCTGTTTGGGATGCTTATAAGTCCAGCCATCCTTCCGACCAACACCATAGCCTGCCTGTGTTACTGTAAGTAATCATTATGATCACATCCATCGTCAAGCATCCACTTATCCTAGCTCAAACCAGTAACTCAGACTTTATCCCAAGCCTCTAAATTAAGGTAATGGACAAGACCTGATTGGAGATGGTGCCTGCACAACGTGACCCAGAACTGAACAGAAGGCCAAGGAGCAGCTGCTATGAGGAGGCGGAAGCAGCCACCAACACTGGGAGAGGCTGGGAGCATATGTAGATGCTCCCCCTGATGCCTTACATGTTCTGTGGGTCTACCAATTCCTTTAGGAAGCTGAGGAAATTCCCGTGGGTATTTATAAAAACTCCACCCTTGAACAAACTTTAGTTAGGTTCCTCTGAGCCCTCCTCTCAACTAGGTCCCATCCTTGGCTTGTCCAGCCCAATTTCAGCAAATAATCCAGTTGAGCCTAGTTTTAGCAAGAATCTTGCTAAGCCAATTCAGTAAGAATTCCTCACCTCAAAATCCTATCAAGTTTCTCTTTTTCCACCCTTGATATCTAATCAAGTTCCTCGTAGTCACTTTCTATCAAATGGTTGTCTTACCCTTACTATTAGCTATAGATCCCCAGCTGTCCCTGATGTATTTGGATCTGAGTTTATTTAATTTCTCTCCCCTATTGCAATTGTCTGGAATAAAGTCTTCCTTGCCTATTTAACTCCATCTGGTACATTTTTTCTTTGACAGTTTCATCAAAGATGTATAGGCATATCCTGGGAAAACTTCTTTTCCAAAGAAGATATCCAGCTAAGGATTGAGAATATGATCAGCTGCCGAGAGAAGATGTGTTCAGAATAGAGGACCAAGCAAATTAATGGTAGCTGATTTCCTGAGGAAATTAAAACAGACTTTAAAATCTGTCCATATCAAAAAATGTGTTACACCACATTAACAAAAATGAAGGATAAAAACCATGTGATTATATCCATAGATACGGAAAAAGTATTTGACAAAATTCAACACCCTTTCATCATAAAAACTCTCAAAAGATTAGTTTTATAGAGCCAGAGCAATTAGATAAGAGAAAGACATAAAAGTCATCCTAATAGGAAAGGAATTGAAATTAACTCCATTTGCTGATGACATGATCAGCAAATAGAAATCCTAAAGATGTTACAGAAAAGTTAGAACTGATAAATTCAGTAAAGTTGCAGGATACAAAATCAACATTAAACAATCAGTAGCATTTCTATATAATGATGAACTATCTGAAAAGGAAATTAAGAAAACAATCCCATTTACAATAGCAACAAAAACAAAATAAAATACTTGGGTATAAATTTAACAAAAGAGATGAAAGACCTGTACACTGAAAACTATAAAACTCTGATAAAATGACAAAAACACAAATAAATGGAAAATATTCCATGTTCATGAAAGAATTAATATCGTTAAAATGTCTACACTACCCAAAGCTATCTACAGATTCAATGCAATCCTTGTCAAAACTCCAATGTCATATTTTACATGAATAGAAAAAACAATTCTTAAATTTGTATGGAACCACAAAAGACCTCAAATAGACAAAAAAATCTTGAGCAAAATGAACAAAGCTGGAAGCATCACATTCACTATTTATATCTATTATAAAGTGATTGTAATAAGGCATGGTACTGGCATAGAAACAGACATACTGACCTTTGAAAGAGAATAGAAAGCCCAGAAATAAACCCATGTATTTATTGTCGATTGATTTTTGACAAAGGTGCCAAGAACACACAAAAGGACAGCTTCTTTAATAAATGGTGATGGGAAAACTGGTTATCCACATGAAGAAGAATAAAATTAGACTTCTATCTTACACCATATATAAAAATCAACTCAAAATGGATTAAAATACAAGACTGGAAGCTATAAACCTATATACTGAAAAAATTAATAAATAAGGGAAAAGCTCCATGACATTGTCTGGGCAATGATTTTTTTTTTTTTTTGACTCCAAAGCACAAGCAACAGAAGCTAAAGCAGACAGATGGGATTGCATCAAACTAACAAGTTTCTGCACTGCAAAGGAAACAAAGTGAAGAGGCAAACCACAGAATGGGAAAACATTTGCAAACCTTATATCTAATAAAGGGTTAATATGCACAATATATAAGGAATTCAAACAACTAAATAGCAAGAAAACAATCAACCTGATTACAAAATAGGCAAAGGACCTGAACAGACATTTCTCAAAAGAAGATATACAAATGGCAATACATATAAAAAAAAGATGCTCAGCATCACTAAGCATGGAGGAAATGAAAATTAAAGCCACAGTATCACTTCACAACCATTAGAATGAGTTTTTTTTTTTTTTGCTGGGCGCGGTGGCTCACGCCTCTAATCCCAGCACTTCGGGAGGCTGAGGCGGGCGGATCACCTGAGGTCAGGAGTTCAAGACCAGCCTGGCCACCATGGTGAAACCCCGTCTCTATTAAAAATACAAAAATTAGCCGGGCATGGTGGTACGCACCTCTAATCCCAGCTACTCAGGAGGCTGAGGCAGGAAAATCGCTTGAAACCGGGAGGCGGAGATTGCAGTGAGCCGAGATCTCGCCATTGCACTCCAGCCTAGGGGACAAGAACGAGACTTCGTCTCAAAAAAAACAAAAACTTCTTTTTTTGGCTTTGTTTTGCTTTTTGTTTTGAGACCGAGCCTGGCTCTGTCGCCCAGGCTGGAGTGAAGTGGCAAGATTACGGCTCACTCAGCCTCAACCTCCTGGGCTCAAGTGATCCCCTTGCCTCGGCTTCCCAATTAGCTGAGACCGCAGGCATGCGCCACCATTCCCCGCTGATCTTTATTTATTTTGTAGAGATGGTGGTCTCCTTATGTTAGCCAGGCTGCTCTCAAACACTTGGGTTCGAACTCCTGGGCTCAAGCGATCCTTCCACCTCGGCCTCCCAAGGTGCTGGGATTACAGACGTGACCCACCACACCCGTAACAATCTTTCACCTTTTTGACAAAATCTTTTTTATAAAAGCCGGGTTTTATCAAAAAGATGAAAGATGGTAACAAGCGTTGACAAGGCCATGGAGAACAGACAGCTTTTGTACATTGTTGGTGAAAATGTAAAGTAGTACAACCATTATGGAAAATAGTATATAGATATTTCAAAAACTAAAAATAAAATTACCTTATGATCCAGCAGTCCCACGTCTAGGAATATATCCTAAGGAATTGAAATCAATATATCAAAGAAATGTCTGTACTCTCATGTTCATTGCAGTTAATAGCCAAGACATGGAATCAACCTAAGTGTCCATCATCAGATGGATATATAAAGAAAATGTGCTAGGCCAGGAACAGTGGCTCAAGCCTGTAATCCCAGCATTTTGGGAGGCCGAGGCGGGTGGATCACCTGAGATCAGTAGTTTGAGACCAGCCTGGCCAATGGGGTGAAACCCCGTTTCTACTAAAAATGCAAAAATTAACTGGGCATGATGGCACATGCTTGTAATCCCAGCTATTTGGGAGGCTGAGGCAGAAGAATCGCTTGAACCTGGGAGGTGGACGTTGCAGTGAGCTGAGATGGTGCCATTGCACTCCAGCCTGGGTGACAAGAGCAAAACTCCAAAGAGAAAGAAAATGTGCTATATATACAATGAAATACTATTCAGACTTTAAAAAGAAAGAAATTCTGTCATTTTTCACAATGAGGATGAACCTGGAGGACATTATGCTAAGAGAAATAGCCAGACCCAAAAAGAAAAATACTTCATGATCTCACTTATATGTGGAATCTAAAAAAAAAGTTGAACTCGTAGAAATAGAGAGATTAGAATAATGGTTACCAGATGTTACAGGATGGGGTGGGAGTTGGGGAAGGAATAGAGTTGTTAGTCAAAGTAGTACAAAGTTTCAGATAGACAAGAGGAATGTTTTGAGATCTATTGCACAGTAGGGTGGCTATCGACAATAATTTAAAAAGTGAAATTAAATTAAAAAAGAAAACCTGTCCAAGTTATGAAATGTGTACCTGGGAACATCGAAGATAGAAACTGGCCAGAAGCGGTAATCCCACGCCTGCAATCCCAGCATTTTGAGAGGCTGAGAGGGTCAGGTCAAACCTAGGAGTTCGAGACCAGATTGGGCAACATGGTGGAACCCCGTCACTACCAAAAAAAAAAAAAAAAAAAAAAAAAAAAGCAGTCCCAGCCACTAAGGAGGCTGAGTTGGGAGGATTGCTTGAGTCTGGGAGGTGGAGGATCAGCCACTGCACTTCAGCCTCGGTGTTAGAGCAAAACCCAGTCTCAAAAAAAAAAAAAAAAAAAAAAAAAGAAGAAGAAGAAGAAGAAGAGGACGAGGAGGAAGAAGAAAGCAGCTTTCCTGAGGCAAACATTTACAGAAATAAAGAAAATTCTAGGCCAGGTGCAGTGGCTCACGCCTGTAATCCCAGCACTTTGGGAGGCCGAAACGGGCAGATCACCTGAGGTCAGGAATTCAGACCAGCCAGGCCAACATGGCGAGACCCCGTCTCTACTAAAAATACAAAAATTAGCTGGGCTTGGTGGCACGTGCCTGTAGTCCCCACTACTCGGGAGGCTGAGGCAGGAGGATCGCATGAACCCAGGAGGTGGAGGCTGCAGTGAGCTGAGATCACACAATTGCACTCCAGCCTGGGCAACAAGAGCGAAACTCCGTCTCAAAAAAAAAAAGAAAGAAAAAGAAAATTCTAGATGAATGGATATAACATGTAGATACTTCAGCCATGTACAAGCCTTAAGACCAACATAGGAAACATCTGAATACTTTATTAAATCACAGATTCAAGAACATCCCATCCCCCACTGCCCCGCCACTGAGGTTATAATGCAATAGATCATGATCGAGGCCCAGAATTCTTCATTCATAACACACACTTTGGGTCATTCTGATGTAACAGTCCAGAGGAGGGTGAGAGGAACAAGAATTTTAGTCATTACTGGTTAAGAGTGTAAACTAATAAAATCCTTTTGGAGGGCCATTTGGCAATATCTATAAATATTTTAAATGAGTATATCCTAAGACACAGCAAACTCACTTTTAAAAATTTATATTGCAGTATTACAGATATACACATTCAAAATTTTATGTATGTATATATAAAGTTATTTGTGCAGCATAGTTTATAATAGCAAAAGATACAGAAAACCCAAATTGTCCAACAGAGAACTGGTTAAATAATATATGGTAAAGTATGCATTGGGATACAATGCATCCTTAAAAAAGAATAAGCTTTCACTTTTTGTGATGATACAGAAAGCTCTCCAGGATATATTGGTTAGGGAAATGGGGCAGGATAAGGAATGATATTCATAGTATGTTGTCATTTGTGCTTTTTTTGAGATAAAAATAGAAATATATATGTTATGTAATATATATTCATATGTGCTTAGTGTAATCCTGGAAAGAATTAACAACAGTGGTTATCAGTAAAGAATGTAATTAGGTGGTTGGGGAATAATTATGGATGGGTGCAAGATTTTATATAGCTTTATAATTTTGGAATCATGTGAATGCAGTGCCTATTCAAAAACTTAAATAAAATAAATAAAATAAAAAATATATATTTTTTTCTCCCAAGGCCCACGATGGAAATCACAAGTAGAAACTATTCAATATGGACATTCCTCTCTGTCTTGCTTATGGAGGCATCTTTAGACATAACTGGGAATGTCGTATGGAGTATATTTTTCAGCTTTGTCACATCTCTAAGCAGAGACAAATCCTCCTCAAAGCTAGAGACCAGCAGACAATAATGGTTAAGTATTTTGTTGGGGGAGGGCAGTTTAAAGTTAGCAAAGAGTAAAAATTTCAGTAAGGTTAAAATTAGGCTGAAAATACCTGCAAAATATAGTATCAATAACTTGTTGTACATATTTATGTGGATGATTTTTATCATTTACTTTAAGTTTATTGACAATATTTTTCTATAGCCCTCAATTAATTATTCAGTTGCTCCTTCAGAAGAGCTGGAAACTCAATGGAGAACACATATATTTCTTGCCCTTAAGAAGGTTACCATCTGGAGGGAAAAGTAAACACTACCCAAATGTTTCAACTGGCTAATTTAACTTACAAGTATGATCAATGTTGCTGAGGAAGAATTGTCCCTGAGATTTGAGAGAATCTTGTACTCAGAACTGAAAATTAGCAGAGGCCAGTTAAGATACATTTAGTAATTTACTTGGTTTCTTGGCAAATTAATCTACCAAAGATAAACGCTAACTAGGCAGCACTCAGACCCATCCTTTCAGAGGGTTAAATAAAAACCTCCAGAAACGACGAGGATGGGATTCGAACCCACGCGTGCAGAGCACAATGGATTAGCAGTCCATCGCCTTAACCACTCGGCCACCTCGTCACATGCTAAGCGTGGCAAAGTCATTTTCTTCCTCCGCACAGTTAGTCCTGTAATAATATATTTTTAATCGCTCTTTTTCTGGCTTAATCCTGATTCAGTCCTTACAACCACACCCAGAATCGGGTATTTTTAGGTACATTTCGCAGCAACCACAAAAGTGATAAATGACACCTAGAGTGGTTCAGTTACTTGGCACATATCAAACGAACAGATAAAAACAGTACGCCTAGGTATTAAATACGTAGATCCTTGCTGAACACTGGAATGCATGGGACATAGGATTTGAACCCTGGTTTGCTGACCTGGCTCCAGCTAGCTCCTCTGTGTTCTCCCTTTGGAGGGACCGGATTATTCCTTCTCCTGATGAGAACATCTCCAGAGATTCCTGTTTTCTGGGAGGTGCCAGAAATTAGCAAACAAACTACAACGAACAATAAACCGGCTCTGTGATTCCTTATACATTTTTGCTTCTGAAATATGCCGGACAGCAAAGAGACGCTTTCATTTCTCTCTAGTTCTTTATCTGGGGTTTGGAATTATTGCATTGCTGAGATATGCAGCAATGGGTCAAAACGGGGTTGGAAAAAAGGTAGAAAGACTCCCCGATGTGAGCATTTTCGTTCTAGAGTAGTTTGGAATGTTACTGCGTAAGATGATTTAGCCTGGCTGCCACCAACACTTACAGGGTCGGGTGGGGCAATCCTTCCTAGAGCAGGAGCCAGCTAGCTTGGGTCGGGGTTCTGTCCCACTCACCGTGTGACCTGGGCGGGCCACTTAACCAACTCCATCCCATAATTTTTATCTATCCAGGAAGAAGCGGACTTTGGCAATTTCAAATAAACCCAGCACCAAGGAACCCATCTACTCACTAGAGCTTCTCGGCTTTTCTATATTTGGTGGAAAATATTGGAGAGATTATTTCTTGCCCAAATGCTGGGGTGTTTTTGTTTTTGTTTTGTTTTGTATTGTTTGTCCTTCCTTTGAAATCTTTACTTCTCTTTAGGCAGAAGGGACTGTCTTCTCTCCCCATCATGTTCCTTTACCAAATTTCATATATCCATCCTCACCATACAACTACCCAGCATGGAAAACTGACCTGGGTTAGAGGACTAAAGATTTGTTTATTTA
This sequence comes from Homo sapiens, assembly GCF_000001405.40. Taxonomy (NCBI): domain Eukaryota; kingdom Metazoa; phylum Chordata; class Mammalia; order Primates; family Hominidae; genus Homo; species Homo sapiens. The sequence goes on from NC_000006.12 coordinate 28,598,550, forward strand.
ATGATTCAAACAATTGTAGTTATTTATTTGAATGAGGACAGTTGTTATGATTTTCCGGTCCGAGGTGGGTGTATCACTTGAGGTCAGGAGTTCGAGACCAGCCTGGCCAACATTGTGAAACCCTGTTTCTACTAAAAATAAAATAAAATAAAATAAAATAAAATAAAATAAAATAAAATTAGCTGAGTGCGGCGGCGCGCACTTGTAATCCCAGCTACTCATGAGACTGAGGCACGAAAATCGCTTGAACTCAGGAAGTGGAAGTTGCAGTGAGCTGAGATCACACCACTGCACTCCAGCCTGGGTGACAGAGTGAGACTATGTCTCAAAAAAAAAAAAAAAAAAGAAAAAAGAAAAAAAGTAATTATAGCAAGGTTGCAAGACACAAGGTTACTACATAAAAGTCAATTCCTTTTCTACATACTAGCAATACTCATTTGGAATTTGAAATTAAGAAAGCAACACTATTTATATTAGCACCAAAAAAAGAAAAGAAGAAAGAAACAGAAGAGAAAACAAAAAAGAAAAAGGATACTGAGATATAAATCTAACCAGTTATGTACAAGATCTATGTGAGGAAAGCTACAAAACTCTGACTGAAGCAATCAAAGAGAATCCAAATAAATGGAGAGATATTCCATGTTCATGGATAGAAAAACTCAATATTGTCAAGACATCAGTTCTTTCCATTTGGTCTATAGATTCAACACAATCCTAATGAAAACCCCAGTGAGATACTTAGTTGTAGAAAAAACAAACGAACTCGAAATTTATATGGAAAGGCAAAAGATTCAGAATAGCCAACAACATGCAAAAGAACTATGCTGAAAAACTAACATTACCCAATGTCAAAGTTATAGTAATCAGGACAGTGTGGTGGTGGTGTGATATGGTTTGGGTGTGTCCCCGCTCAAATCTCGTCTTGAATTTCCATGTGTTTTGAAAGGGAGCTTGTGGGAGGTAATTGAATCATGGGGCAGATCTTCTCCATGCTGTTCTCATGATAGTGAATAAGTCTCATGAGATATGATGGTTTTAAAAAGGGGAGTTTCCCTGCACAAACTCTTCTCTTGTCTGCCACCATGTGAGACATGTCTTTCACCTTCTGCCATGATTGTGAGGCCTCCCCAGCTACATGGAACTGTAAGTCCAGTAAACCTCTTTCTTTTGTAAATTGCCCAGTCTTGGGTGTGTCTTTAACAGCAGTGTGAAAATAGACTAATACAGTTGTCAAAATAATAGAAAAATAAATCAATGGGAAGAAGTGAGAATTACAAAATAGACCCATAGTAAACTTACCTTTGACAAGAGAGCAAAGGCAGTTCAGTGGAGAAAAGCATGATTTTTTAACAAATTTTAATAAAACAATTGGAGATCCATATGTTAAAAAAAAAAAGACTTTAGACACTGACCTTAGCACTTTCATAAAAATTAACCCAAAATTGATTATACACCTAAATGTAAAACACAAAACTATAGAATTTCTAGCAAATAACATAGGAGAAAATCTAGGTAGCGTTGGCTTTGGCAATTAGTTTATAAAAACAACACCAAAAGCAAAACATCTGGAAAAAAAAATAAGTTGGATTTTATTAAAATTAAAAACTTCTCTGTGAAATACACCGTTAAGGGAATGAAAAGAAGATGTACAAAGAACTCTCAAAAATTTAACAAGAAAACAAACGACCCAGTTAAAATGTAGGCAAAAGATCTGGACACTTCACTAAAGAAGGTGGCGGCTAAGCTTATTTATAGATTCTCAACATCATACGTCACTAGGGAATTAAAAGTCAAAACAGCAGGTGGGGAGTGGTGGCTCATGCCTGTAATCCTAGAACTTTGGGAGGCTAAGGCAGGCGGACTACTTGAGGCCAGGAGTTCGAGACCAGCCTGGCCAACATGGCAAACCCCCATCACTACTAAAAATACAAAAATTAGGCGGGCATGGTGGTGCGTGACTGTAGTCGCAGCTACTTGGGAGGCTGAGGTGAGAGGCCTGTTTGAGCCCAGGAGATTGCAGTGAGCTGAGATTGCACCACTGTACTCCAGCCTGGGTGACAAAGTGAGACTCTGTCTCAAAAAAGTAAAATGTAAAAAAGTAAACAGAGTTTTAAGAAATTTATCACCCAGAAATAATATATGAACTTACTTTGGATCATAAATCGAACAACTCACCCATAAAAAATTTTTTGCATAACTGGAAAAATTGAACACGGACTAGGTATTAGATAATATTAAGAATTTTAGTTAAATATTTTAGAAGTGATAAAGTTATTAAAATTATGGTTTTGTTTGTTCGTTCTTTTTGTTTTCTGTGACACAGCCTCAGGAGGTCCTGACAACATGTGCCTTTTTTTTTTTTTTTTTTTTGAGACAGAGTCTCACTCTGTCGTCCAGGCTGGAGTGCAGTGGCGCGATCTCGGCTCACCGCAAGCTCCATCTCCCAGGGTTCACGCCATTCTCCTGCCTCAGCCTCCGGAGTAGCTGGGACTACAGGCGCCCGCCACCACGCCCAGCTAATTTCTTTTCGTATTTTTAGTAGACATGGGGTTTCACCGTGTTAGCCAGGATGGTCTCGATCTCCTGACCTCCTGATCCGCCCACCTCAGCCTCCCAATGTGCTGGGATTACAGGCATGAGCCACGGCGCCCGGCCACATGTGCCCATTTTTTAAAATGTTCTTTTCTCTTAGACATATACTGAAGTATTTAAACATCAAATTACATAATGCTTAGAAGTAGCTTAAAATACTTCAGTGGAGAAAAGGAGAGATGAATGAAATAAGAATGGTAAATGCTAATTTTTGTTGAACCTGGTTGATATGTGCATGGAAAGTCATTACACCATTCTCTCTAACTTTATGTAAGTTTGAAAGCTTTAATAAACAAAACTAGAAGAGCTTTTTTCGATGCAAGCGTTAGCTGTCAACTACCTGTTTTTGTCAATGATATTCAAAATTACTCTCACTCTTGTTTTGAGGGGAGAAGGGGGACAGGGTCTTGCTCTGTCGCCGAGGCTGAACTGCAGTGGTGTGATCTCAGTTCACTGCAGCCTCCGCCTCTCAGGCTCAAATGATCCTCTCACCTCAGTCTCCCAAGTTGCTGGGACTACAGGCATGCACCACCACACCTGGCTAATGTTTGTGTGTGTATTTTTAGTAGAGATGGGGTTTTGCCATGTTGGTCAGGCTGGTCTTGAACTCCTGAACTTCCGCCCACCTCGGCCTCCCAAAGTGATGGAATTGCAGGCATGGATCACTGCGCCCAGGCAGAATTCTCACTCTTAAGGCTCCACCGATGTTGAGGTGTTTGAGGGAGGGAAAGTTGTTGTTCTGTGGGACCCTGGTGCTGAAGACATGATCTGGGTAACCCCTAGCTCTTTCCTACCCACCCACCCCTCTATGCCCTCCATTTCCCTCTCTCTTCTGACATAATGAAGCATGCAGGCCTGAGTGAAGGAGTACCTTCTGGCAGCTATGGGAACTATGGCTATGCTGATAGTGCAGATAATGCCTGTGAAGAAGAAAGAAAGACTCACTGAAAGTTTGATCTGTATAGGTCCTTTGGTTTATTTTTTAATTTATTTTATTTTTATTTATTTTTTCTGATGGGTTATCTTTTCTCACATATGATGATGATAATTCATGACACTTAAATAGTGATGTTTTGTTTTGTTTTTGACACGGAATCTTGCTCTGTCACCCAGGCTGGAGTGCAGTGGCATGATCTCAGCTCACTGAAACCTTGGCCTCCCGGGTCAAGTGATTCTCCTGCCTTAGCCTCCTGAGTAACTGGGACTACAGGTGCTCACCACTACACCCACCTAGTTTTGTGTTTTTAGTAGAGACAGGGTTTCACTAGGTTGGCCAGGCTGGTCTCAAACTCCTGAGTTCAGGTGATTTGCCCGCCTCAGCCTCCCAAAGTGCTGGGATTACAGGCGTGAGCCACAGTGCCCAGCCTCTTTTTGCCTAAATCTTCCTAATAATTTTTGATGATAATGACCTCTCTTTCTTCTCTGCCCCAATACCTCATTCTTTAAATAAAGCTTATGATTTTGGCATGTTTCTAGTAGGGCCCAATTCATATGTGTATTAGTCTAGTTACTGTTTTATATTAACTTTATAAATTCCATTGACTTGGCTTATAATAGCTTTATGATTTTTGCTACTTAGGTAGGCCATTTGATTATTGTTGGTGACAGAATAATGTAATTACTAAACTCTGAATGGAAATAAAGTATTCAATAAACTCAGATTGAACTTGGAGTATTGTTGCTTTAATCTAGTGTATTTATGGAAAGCAAATCACAAAGGTGGACTGTTGAGTAAAAGAAAATATTAAAATATTGTTAAATACTCTGTATTGCTGCTACTTTGGGATTTACCCATTTATAGCCACCAAAAAAAAATTTTTTTTTTTTTTTTTTTTTTTTGAGAGGGAGTCTCACTCTGTCGCCCAGGCTGGAGTGCAGTGGCGCGATCTCGGCTCACTGCAAACTCCGCCTCCCGGATTCAAGCCATTCTCCTGCCTCAGCCTCCCGAGTAGCTGGGACTACAGGTGCCCCCACCACGTCCAGCTAAATTTTTTTTGTATTTTTAGTAGAGACGGGGTTTCACCGTGTTAGCCAGGGTGGTCTCCTGACCTCGTGATCTGCCCGCCTCAACCTCCCAAAGTGCTGGGATTACAGGCGTGAGCCACCGTGCCCGCCCAAAATAAATTTTTAAATAAAATTTTAAACACTTTCTCATTCTTAAAGTTTACTTTGATGGGTACACAAGTCTAGATTGGCAATTGTTTTATTTCAACACTTCCAAAATATATCTTATTGTTTCCTGGATTTTATCATGAAGATGCTTGTTAACATTCTAATTGTTCTTTCTTTGCAGAAATCTATACATTCTCTCTGGCTGATTTGAGACATCCTCTTATGTTTGTTATAACACAGTTTCAGTATGAGGTGTGTAGTTATAGTTGTTTCTCTTTAACGTGCTTGTGACACATTTGCTTTCTGACTCTCTAAGGGAAAATTTTCTCTCCAATTTGGGAAATTTTCCAGGTATATTATATCTAAATATTACCTCACTTACATTTTTTTTCTCTTCTTTTATTCCTGAACTCTAATCGTATATACTTCAGAATTTTCACATAATCTTCCATTTCTATTATTATTATTTTTTAAATCAGTATTCTGTGGCTGTGTAATAAAGTACTCCAAACTCGGTGGCTTAAAACAACATAGAACTCAGCTGAAATGTATCATCTCATCTCCTTGTAAAATCAGCTGGATTTACAAATTCAATGTGAGTTGGCAGGTCAGCTGGGACTCGCTGCTCCTGGATGCCCTTAATGCCTGGATGTCTGATACTTGGCAAGGGCTATTTTCTGGAGTTCATCAGTTTTCCTTCATGTGATCTCCCCAACAGGACTGCCCAGATTTCTTATACAGTGATAGTGTTCCAAGATGTTGAGAACTGAAGCTGCAAGCTTTCTTGAGACCTGCACTTAGAAGTAGCACAGCATCACTGCCACTGTGTTCCAATGGTCAAAGCAGATCACAAAGGCAGCCCACATTCCAGGGTTAGGGGAAAAAGATTTGGCCCCACCTTCTGATGGGAGGAGATGCAAAGAATTCGCAGTTGTGTTTATCTATCTCAGCTTGCTTCACATGTTCCATGTTCTTAACTATTTTTGTTGTATTCTGGGTTAAGGTTTTGGCTTTATCTTTCAGCTTAGGAATTCCTTCCCCAGCTGTAGCTAATATGCAAAAAAATTAGGAATTTTTTTTTGGCCAGGCACTGTGGCTCACGCCTATAATCTCAGTACTTTGGGAGGCTGAGGCGGGTGGATTACCTAAGGTCAGGAGTTCAAGACCAGCCTGGCCAACAAGGTGAAACCCGTCTCTATTAAAAATACAAAAATTAGCTGGGCGTGGTGGCACACCCCTGTAATCCCAGCTATTCGGGAGGCTGAGGCAGGAGAATTGCTTGAGCCCGGGACGCAGAGGTTGCAGCGAGTCGAGATCATGCCACTGCACTCCAGCGTGGCTGACCGAGCGAGACTCTGTCTCAAAAAAAAAAAAAAAAAATTTAACTATTACATATTTATTTCTTGAATCTAAATTTTTACATAATTTTACTCACTCTTTTGCATACTTCATTTGTAATCATATCCTTAATTTATTGATATATGTCAGACATAGCTATTATACATTTTGTACCTTAAAATTTAACATCTACAGTTCTTTAGGTTTCAGTATGACTTTTTGTATCTGTTGAGTCTCAAGCATAGTAATTTACCTTCTTAGGTTTGTAGTAATCTTTATTATTAACCTTATTGTGTGATCTTAACATAAGAGAGTTCTGCAGGCCTAACTCGGGGAAGTTTTCTTTCAGAGAGGATATATTTCTACTTCTGCCAGGAGCTAGGTGACAAATTTGACCCTGAACCACTTGGTCTCACTATAGGTTTTGGCCCATAACAAGAGTGTCAGGCTCAGCTCCTCCAACTCTCTGCTTTTCTGATATTAAATATTCATCCTCACAGTTGTTTTTCGATTGGTATCTGACTTCAGGTTAAACCCACTCCTCTGTTGGTCCAAGTTGGCTTCCAGCAGTTCTTGCTCCCAACTGTTCCAACTCCCAGGAACTTTAGGCAGAGTTCTCACAGCTATGGCTTTGACTGCTCACTACCCTGACCTGGGCTCCAGGTGTTTCTAAGTCACTTTAGCGCCCAGAAAATATTCATTTATTTTTGTTTTGAGTGACCTCTAAAGAATTCCTTAATCCTTTGTGAGACCAGAAATGTCACAAAAAGTGTACTATCCAGAGACTTTGTTGGGAAGATTTTTTTAAAGCAAGAACAAAAAAGTACAGACCAATGACTGAAAAATATATAAGCACGCAAGATTATCTATTTAGTATTCCAATGGAGAACGTATATCCTGAGCCTAGTCATGCGAAAGTATCAGTCAGTGAAAGACATTCTATTTTTAAAAATGAAATGAGGCCGGGAGCAGTGGCTCATGCCTGTAATCCCAGCACTTTGGGAGGCTGAGGCGGGCGGATCACGAGGTCAGGAGTTCGAGAACAGCCTGGCCAACATGGTGAAACCCCGCCTCTACTAAAAAATACAAAAAAAAAAAAAAAAAATTAGCCAGGCATAGTGGCAGGCACCTGTAATCCCAGCTACTCAGGAGGCTGAGGCAAGAGAATCATTTGAACCCGGGAGGCGGAGGTTGCAGTGAGCCGAGATCGCGCCATTGCACTCCAGCTGGGCAACAGGGCGAGACTCTGTCTCAGAAAAAGAAAGAAAGAAAGAAATGAAAATAACACTATTTTTTAAATGACATATCAATGTCAAAAAAAATAAAGACTATGCAAATATTTTTCATTAAAGAAGACTAAAAAAGACAGGACAACTAAATGCAACGCCTGACCCTAGACTAGATCCTATATGAGAGGAAAACATCAGGTCAATTGGTCAACTTGAAATGCAGACTGTAGATTAAATACAGCTATTGTATCAATGTTAAATTTACAAAAGTTCCTAATAGTACTGTGGGTATATAGAAAAGTACTTAAGTAAAGGAAATGGACGTGATGTATGCAACGTACAGGAGAGAGAAGAAGCAACTCATAAGGCAAATGGGGTAAAATATTAATAATATCTAAATCTGAGTAAAGGATAGAAGGGTATTTTTGTATTATTTTTATTTTTTCAACTTTTTAGTGAGTTATAAATTGTTTGAGAAAGAGAGAGGGAGAGATTTCAACGGAGGTGCCTCAGAAGTCAATAGTTGTGAATTTGGGTTGGGCTGGGCCAGCTCTTTAAAATATGAGAAGCTTCCCCCACCTCCCCTCACCATTCGAGAAACCAATAATTTTTCATTGCTCCATGGTTTCCTACAGATTGGTCGCCAAGCAACAGATGCCAGCCCTGCCTTACCTAATTCATCTTTTTTTCAGATAACGCTACTACCCCACCCCAACCCCCACCAGTTTGGCTTAGCAGGGGACCCTCAGAGTTTTGTCGGAGGTAAACTACTCTAGACGTGCGGATCTGGGTGCCTACGTGATGCCTCTCACCCGGGTCCAGATTTCCAGTTTGTCCTTGTGATTGATTCATGACATCTTGAGCTCACAAGAACGTTCCCTGCCATCACCACTAAGTGTTCAGTGGACGTTTTGGGCTTTTGGAAACGGAAGTGATTTGAGGGTCTTTGTTCCAAGAAAGGCGGTGCTGGGCCCGGGGACTGGAACTCGGTAGGCGAGGATCCCCTTTGACGCCCCCCTACAGTTTCCCTTCAAACACGTAGGTCTCAGCTGGTACCCTGGCTGCGCTACTGGCTTTGGCCTCCTGGGGCCTTATGGTTGAAAACAGCAGGAAATGAAGCTGGAAAAAGCGAGAGACAACAGATTGTCTGCTTTCAGGCTCCTTCCTTTGTAATTTCACTGTGTTGCTTTCTTTGGACGCTGCTTGTGCAGGACCCAGCCTAGCTGTTTCACAAATTGCGGAGTTTGCATTCATGATTTCATTGCAATTTACCGAATCTTTGAGAAATACTGATTATAAATCATGAAAGAAATGCAAAGCAACCTGTCTGTGGTTGGGGGTGTAGCTCAGTGGTAGAGCGCGTGCTTAGCATGTACGAGGTCCCGGGTTCAATCCCCGGCACCTCCACCAGTTTTGGGAGTGCGCACTTTCTCCTCTCAATGGACCGCCTTTCCACTTTCCTTTCTCCCTCCCGTTAAATAAACCTAGTCTCATTCATTCAATTTTCTGCTTGTCTGTACAGCCTTTGCAGTGTTAAGTATCTGTATCGATAGCATTGCCACACCAGGAAGGTCTTGAACCCTTTGTAAAAGCATTTTCGCAAATTAATCAGCCTGGTTTCTTTGGATTTCATGCTATGGTATTACTGAAAAACAGAAAAAATATAAAAATAATAAAAGACCCTTTGTTTTATTCACTGTTTTTTTTTTCTTTTCTTTTTTGAATTCTGAAGAGTTCTTAGAGCAAAGAACAGCATGGAGGTGGAATAGCAGAAACATATCTTATTGATGTCTTTCTTCTGAGCTTCCAACCACCCTATACCTTACCTTTTCTTGAATCACCAGATATGGAAGCAGTGGGCCCCGTTAGTATTGTGCGGTGATAGGTACATGAAGGACAATAAAATGCTGTCTGTCATAGCATGGGGTGCCTCCCAAGTCTAACCCGAATGAGACAGAATGGATTGGCTGGTTAAATGAAACCAGAACTACTGTCCTTTTGCTGAAATAGCTTAGTGGGAGTGTGAGAGACCAGGCATCCAAATATCTCTTGTTCAAGAAAATTTCAGTAAAAATAAATGACATGTTTTTGGGAAAAGGGCTTGTGGGGTGCCTGCATAAACTGGCCATAAAAATATGAGACAATATGTTGTGGAAAGCCACAAGAGTCCTCTGAGGAGGAAAGCCTCCTAATTGCCATCATGTTCCCATGCTCAGAGCGAGACCCGCTCTCTTATCTGTAAACACTGCGTTCAAGGAGAAAGACACTCCTTTGAAATACTGGAATGTGGACAGACTCCAAGTTAAGCCCGCTCCCACTAGCTACTCTCCGATAAGTTAAAGATATGCTATTTGAGCACAAAGGAGATTCATTTAAACCGCTATTGCTATAGATAACGGCTATGACGCACTGCCACCTTTTCACTGTTTCGCCCTGAACATCTGCTTCTTAGATCTAAGTTATTGTATTCTATAAATAGTGTGGAGACCAGAGGTCTGAGCCTTTTGCAGCCTCCATTTTGCAACTGACCCCCTGGCTCCCCACCTTTACTCTTGTCTCTTCTCAATCCTTTGTCGCCACCGGACTTTGGGTACCCTACGGGTGGTGTTGAGGCTGGTCCCCAACACATGTTGAACTCATTTTACAAACACATTTAACTAGATGACCACCTCCACTGCCCCAACACAAAAAAGTATCCCACGACACCTACACATGTTAATCAATCCAAATCAAAGGTGATTTGCCTACGCCAGAGCTAGTATGAAATATTGATTAAATACATAATATGAGAGGAAAGAAACCAGTTTTTCCCTTTTTAACTTACTGATTTCTAGAAATTATGTTTTATTCTGATAAATTATTCTGTATAATATATAATGTTAATAGATGTTTATGAGGCTGGGCATGGTGGCTTACACCTGTAATCCCAGAAATTTGAAAAGCTGAGGCAGGAGAATTGCTTGAGCCCAGGAGTTCTAGACCAGCCTGGGCAACATAGAGAGATGATGTCTCTTTTAAATTAGCAGGGCATGGTGGTGCATGCCTGTATTCCCAGCTAGCTACTTGGGAGGCTGAGGCAGGAGAATCGCTTGAGCCCAGGAGGTTAAGACTGCAGTGAGCTGTGATTGTGCCACTGCACTCCAGCCTCGGAAAACAGAGCGAAACACTGTCTGAAAAAAAAGCGGGGGTTGGGGGGAGGGCGCTGTTCATGGTATGTATTCCCATTTAAGTCTATTTATGGTATTTTGGGATCAAATACATTTAAATTGTTTTTCATGACAAGACAAGGATATTCATTATCTTCACTACTACTTAACATTGTAATGGAGGTATTAGCTGAAGCATTTAGACATGAAAAAGTAATTAAAGGATTAACTATTGGATAGAATGGGATAAAGCTATCTATGTATCTTGGTAGGATTATATATCTGGAAGCCACCCCTCAAATGAAAAACTTACTATAGAGAATTTGGTAAAGAAGCTGGTTGCAAAGTTAACATAAACATATACACTCATACACACACACAAAATAGCTTTTCCATATTCAACCTTTGGAGGTTTTTGAATATCAGTTTTATTTTGAAAGCTAACACATGAAGGAAAAGAATCAAGCATTTATCCTATCTCTCCTGTATGGAATGTATTTCAGGATAAACATATAGTTGATGAGGGAAAGATTTTTCTTCTCAGGAAATAACAGCTAATGAATGCAGGAGAGATTATAAAACTACAACATTTTGCAACTGGTATTGCTATAACACATCCAGGTCACAATTGGCAATGGCTGCTATAACCATGAGGTGAAATTGGATGAAGGACTCTAGAATGGTTGGATTAGGCTGATGTCACCTAAAACCAAAGCTAAATTTTATATCATCAAATGTGAGACAACCACATATCATGTAACCCATAATAAAGTAAAGTAGAACATACCCAGGACCACAATAAATACTTGTGTTGAAAATTAAATTTCTATAATCAAATAGATAAAAACCATTTGTTTAGAGTAAATATTGGAGATACAGCAATGTGTTTAATAACATTATAATGATGCAATCAGCTAAATCCAGAATGTGGAAAATTCTCCTGGACAAACTGACCTTCAAGAAATAAATGGCATGGAGTCCAGGCAAGTTGGCACATGCCTGGAATCCCAGTGCTTTGGGAGGTGAGGTGGGCTGATCACTTGAGTTTGGGAGTTCGAGACCAGCCTAGCAACAGGGTGCAACGCCGTCTTTACTAAAAATACAAAAATTAGCCGGGCATGGTGGCAGGCGCCTGTAATCCCAACTACTCAGGAGGCTGAGGTACAAGAATGGCTTAAAGCCAGTAAGGCTTTTTTCCCCCCAGGTTTTTAAAATAACCTTAATTTTTTTAAACAGGTAATATGTGCATTATAGTAAATTAAAAAACACAAGAGGCCAAGCATGGTGGCTCACGCCTGTAATCCCTGCACTTTGGGAGGCAGAGGTGGGTGGATCACCTGAGGTCAGGAGTTCGAGACCAGCCTGGCCAACATGATGAAACTCCGTCTCTACTAAAAATACAACAAATTAGCTGGGTGTGGTGGCGTGTGCCTGTAATCCCAGCTACTCAGGAGGCTGAGGCAGGAGAATTGCTTGAACCTGGGAGGTGGAGGTTGCAGTGAGCCGAGATCGCACCACTGCACTCCAGCCTGGGCAATAAGAACAAAACTCTGAAAAAAGAAAGAAAGAGAGAGAGATGGAGGGAAGGAAGGAAGGAAGGAGAAAAAAGTAAAACACAAGAAACAAAGAACAAAGTCATCCACAATCACAAGTAGTTTATACTTTGATGTGTCCTTCTAGGTCCTGTGTGTGTAGACATAACATCCAGTTATATGGGATTGAGATTCTACAGTATATAGTATATATTATGCTTTTTTACACATCATAAATATTTACCAATTCAGAATTGCAAAGCTATATGAGTATTCTGATAACCAAGAATATACAGCACCAACTCAGTCTGTTAGAAAAACAATGTAATCTTGCTTTTTTTGGGACAAAAATTTTATAGAAGGCAAAAATGGAGACATGCCTCTAGATAAAAGCATTAGCAGAGTTCTGATTAAAATACTGCATTCCCTTAGTGCTCAATTTAAAATAAAACATAAAGCAACTGAATACACTAAGTATAATATTTCTAAGAGAATTCATTAACAGATCTATACCATTAAAATATTAGCAAGAAGATATGTTTCCTTTTAATTACTTCATGTATTCCTATAGTACAGCCAAAAGAGATGCACATACACCAATGGCTATCGTCAAAATGGAAATATGGACACATCTGCATTCATCTCTCCCTTTATACTTCCTTCTGCCTCTCTACTGCTAACCTGATGAACAAGTCCTGGTATACACTACCCAGTGGTGGTTTCACAATTCCATGTCCAAGATACATCTTTTCTAAAGATGTTTACTGAAAAGTAAAGTGCTCATATAGACCTATGGTTATCATCTAAAACCATGTTCTAGATAATGGAGATACTAGCAAAGAGCCCTTCCCTTCAACTTTCCTCTTTTCCCTCTTCCACCGTCCAGGTGGCTATGTCCAGCTCCAAGAGGTGGATTAACAAAGGTCACTCCTGGAAGACAGGCCTTCCTAAAAACTAACAAAAGGATATAAATGGATTGTTTTACTACCTCTACTTCCAACACACTTTGAGCAAAAGGACTTGCATTTTAATATACAACAATATTAACTAAAATGCACATATAGAACAATGGTTAGACCATCTGAACTAATCTAACTCACCTGCACAGAACTCTTCCCTCTACATACTTCTTCCCCACAACTTGCCACTACCCAGTGAAAAGTCAGTGTACTCTCCAAAACCTCAAGTTTAACAATTCCATTCCCAAATACAACCACTCCTAGACAATTTTGGTGAAAGGTGTTACTTTAGTATCTACTTTTAACCTATGTTGTGTGCTTTTACACATCTAGAAAGACAAGATGTTTCAAATAGGAGTTGTTTTCCACTGTATATACAGTAGCAGTGAATAAATGGTGCATATACATAACACAGGCTATAATTTAAAAGTGTCTTCTAAATAGGAACATTACGGCCTAGAATCGTTTCCCTTCTCACCTCTAAATTAACCCTATGGACAGGTATGAGCATCCAGAAGAGGAATAAGCATCCAGTTAGAGATTTTAACAATTTCACTTCTGTGGGGTTTTTCTTGTTTTTTTGTTGTTTTTTTTTTTGAGATGGAGTCTCACTCTGTTTCCCAGGCTGGAGTGCAGTGGCGCGATCTCAGCTCACTGCAACCTCTGCCTCCCAGCTTCAAGCGATTCTCCTGAGTAGCATCCTGAGTAGCTGGGACTACAGGCGTGTGCCACCATGTGCCCGGCTAATTTTTTTTTATTTTTAGTAGAGGCGGGGTTTCATCGTGTTAGCCAGGATGGTCTCGATTTCCTGAGCTCGTGATCTGCCTGCCTCAGCCTCCCAAAGTGCTGGGATTACAGGCGTGAGCCACTGGGCCCTGATCACTTCTGTGTTTTTAAGAACACTCTGTGAATTTTAACATAAGGTGTACTCAATGTATCAGTTTACTAACTCTACTTTTGTCATACACTAGCAACCTCCTTAACATCTGGAAAGACTAGATGTTGTAAATTAGGACTCGTTTGTGCATTTATATACACTATATACACAGCATAGTAAAAGACCATAAACACACTGGTATAAAACCCTTTGCACTTTCTTCTCCTTCCTCCCTGAACCAGCACAAATATAATAATGTGTACTGCTCAGGGAATTAGTTTGATCAGTTTTCAAAAGACAATATTTCATACGAATCAAAACGGTATCTACAATGCATTTTGTGCATTTCTAAACATTTAGAAAGCCTAGATGTTTCAATTAAGGACTTAAGTTTGTCCACTATATACATAGTAGTGTTGAATAAACCACACACATGTAACAGTGGTTATATCTGAAAGTGTCTTCTAAATTGAAACATTCTATTCTAGAATCCTTAATTTCTTCCCACTCCTCTCCACCACAAACTCAGTGGATATAGGCACTTGTGTCACTTAGCTGATGTTATCATTTCACTTCCAAAAGTCCTTTTCAGGAGACAGTCTTTAAATGAATTTTAACACAAAGTGTACAAAATGGGTTAGTTTATTAACACTACTTTTGTCATACACTGGCAATCTCTTTAATATCTAGAGACTAGATGTTACAAAATTGACTAGATATTATAAAATTTAATATATAGAGACTGTATATTATAAAATATACACTCAACAACTCATTTGTCCAGTATATACACAATATGCGCAGTATAGCAAAGTTAAATGAAAAGCACATAACATATAAGGCAATGGATAAGCTGAAATTTTCTAGTACACACTAGCAAAACACCTTTTGCAGTTTCTTTCCTCCTACCTCCCTCAACTCAACGAACAAGTAGAGAGCACACTGTTCAGAGAGGTGGTTTAACAATTCCACTTCCAAATACAGTATTTCCCATCAGTCTTTAAAAGCTATTTACAAAGTGTTATTCAACTACTTCTGCTTTTAAATACATCAAGCACTTCTAAATAGCTGAAAAGACTAGATATTTCATATAACTTTTCCACCATGTATACAGCACTGTTAAATAAAATTGCATACATGTAACAATGGTTATAATCTGAGGTATCTTCCAAATATGATCATTTTAGTCTTGAACCATTCCCTCCTCACTTCCTTCTCTCTGCCTTCAATTCAGTGGACATGTACAGGCACATGTAATGCTTAGAGATGGTTGAACAAATTAGTATCCAAAAGTCATTTACAGAAGACAAGCTTTCCTATGAATTTCAACACAAAGTGTACAAAATGAGCTAATTTTACTGAGTACTTTGTCATACACTGGCAACCTCTAACATCTAAGGGACTAGATGTTGCAAAATTATGACTCATTTGTTTATTATAAACTTTATACACAGCAAAACAAAATCCACAAAACATACAGAAAAATGGTGTCTAAAAAGTCCAAGTATAAGCACACTAGCATATTACCTTTTGCAATATCTTCCCTCCCACTTCCACTAAACCATTAAACAAGTATAGACACTACTATACCACTCACAGGGGCGGTTTAACAATTCCACTTTCTTTTCTTTTCTTTTTTTTTTTTTTAGATGGAGTTTCGCTCTTGTTGCCCAGGATGGAGCGCAATGGCGTGATCTTGGCTCACTGCAACCTCTGCCTCCCAGGTTCAAGCGATTCTCCTGCTTCAGCCTCCCAAGAAGCTGGGAATACAGGCATGTACCACCACGCCCAGCTGATTTTGTATTTTTAGTAGAGACAGAGTTTCACCATGTTGACCATGGCTGGTTTCAAACTCCTGACCTCAGGTGATCCACCCGCCTCGGCCTCCCAAAGTGCTGGGATTACAGGCGTGAGCCACCGCGCCTGGCAACAATTCCACTTTCAAAAGACACTATTTCTTATGAATTTTAGCAAAAAGATATTTTTAAGTGATTATTTTACTCTTACATTAGAGGTTAAATGTTACCTGTACATTTAACATATGCTGGGCACTTCTAAACATCTAGATAGGCTAGATGTTTCAGGTAAGGAGTATATTTGTTGTCCACTATATACAGAGCAGTTTTCTTTTTTCTTTTCTTTTTTTTGGAGGCAGGGTCTTGCTCCATCACCCAGGCTGGAGTGCAGTGGTGTGATCTTGGCTCACTGCAACCTCCGCCTCCCTGGTTCAAGTGATTCTCCTGTCTCAGCCTCCCAAGTAGCTGGGATTACAGGCATGCATCACCACACCCAGCTAATTTTTGTATTTTTAGTAGAGATGGGGTTTCACCATGTTGGCCAGGCTGGTCTTGAACTCCTGGCCTCAAGCAATCCACCCACCTCAGCCTCCCAAAGTGCTGGGATTACAGGTGTGAGCCATCGTGCTGGTCCTGCAAAGCAGTCTTGAATAAACTGTACACATGTAACAATAGTTAAAATCTGAAAGAATCTTCCAAATAAAAATATTCCAGCCTAGAACCCTTCCCATCTCAGTCAACCCAGTGGCCAGTAATGCTCAGATTTTCAGAAGACAATTTTCCCAAGGAATTTTAAAACAATATGTTCAAGATATATTAGTTTACTAACTCTACTTTTGTCATATACTGGAAACCTCTTTAATGTCTAGAAAGTCTAGATGTAAATTAGGACTTGTTTTCCTCTATAAACACTGTATACACAGATAAGGAAAACAAAGTGCACAGACATGAGAGACAATAGTTAATCTTGCCTCACCGTAAGCACACTGGTGGCATAGAGCTCTCTGCACAGCCTCCTTCTCCTCCTGCCCTGAACCAGTGCATAAACACAATGTTTGTTACTGAACTGGTGGTTGGCCATTCCCCTCTCAAAACATTTCATATGAATTTTAACCAAAAGATATTTACAAAATGTAATATTTTACTATCTCTAAATTTAACACGTATTAGACACTTCAGACCATCTAGAAAGACTAGACATTTCCGGGAGCAGTGGCTCAGGCCTGTAATCCCAGCACTTTGAGAGGCCGAGGTGGGCGGATCATTTGAGGTCAGGAGTTCAAAACCAGCCTCGCCAACATGGTGAAACTCGTTTCTACTAAAAATACAAAAATTAGTAGGGCATGGTGGTGCGCGCCTGTAATCTCAGCTACTTGGGAGACTGAGGCAGGAGAATCACTTGTACGTGGGAAGTGAGCCATGATCGCGCCACTGCACTCCAGCCTAGGCAACAGAGAGAGACTCCATCTCAAAAAAAAAAAAAAAAAGACTAGACATTTCAAAAAGTACTTGGAGTTGTCAACTACATATACAGTAGTGAGGAATAAAATGCACACGGAAGACAACGATTATAATATGTAAACGTCTTCTAAATATGACCAGTCTGGCATAGGACCTTCTTCTCGTCCTTCTCAGATCTTCTCCATGTCCTAGTCTAACCCACTGAACAAACGTGTATGTGTCTGCTCCAGAGGTGATGCAACATCTCCATTTCAAAAAGTCATCTCCAGAAGATGTTTATTTTCTACGATTTTTTTAAACAAATGGGAATTTACAAGATGTGTGATATTCTTAGTCTATCATACATCGGCAGCTTCTTTACATCTGGAGGGGCTAGATGTGGCAAATGTTTTCTTGTAAAAGTTTTCGGGGAAGCTGAGAGTAGCTTTCTCACCTTATACACTCGGGCCTTCTATAAACGCTGGTACATCTTCCCAAAGCGTGGTGGGCATCTCCAAAGCGCCAAATGTGGCTTGTTACTCCATTTCTCTCTTCCCACATCAAGGTCTGGTAGAAGGAAGGCCAACCGCCCCATGGCCGTTACCGTTCTACTCGTCCTCATCCGGGACTGCGCTGACCTTCTGGCCGTTAAAGCCGTTATCCACTGTTATCAGGACCAGGTAGTCTCGCCCAACTGGGACAGAGCGGTCGCCCGAGGACCGGATCTGCGCGGCGCAGTGGCCTAAAAAGGAGGCCGAGCCAGTCCCTAGCTCCGCCTTCCCGGGCCCTGCGCCCTAGTGGCCTCTGCGCGGTTCTTCCCGACCCGCAAACACGCCGCCACCCAAAGCCTCTGTGTCCCGGCGGCCACCCGGTCACCGAGGTGTGAGGAGAGGTTCCCCGCTGCTTCAAGTCGGGGCCCGACGGGTTGGAGCCGAGGCCCCGGCTCTGCTGGAGCTCCAGAGCCCGAGTCTTTCTTAAGAGGCAAAGCTTTCTTAAGAGGCAAAGCGCGGGAACTGACGTCGGGGTAGGGCGTGCAGGGCGGCATACTTAGTTACTCTGGTTATCTTGAGTTAATGAGCCACCCTGTCGTCTGGCCGGAGGCAAGAGACTGTAAATCGATTGATTGTTCAACATTCCTTCCCAAAGTGGGACACTCGGCAACCTTGGTTGTCTCCTAAGGTCAGTTCCTGGAATTCTTTTAAATGCATAGTTCTAACATTATGGCGTCAGTGAGGCAGTGGGGTAGGTTTTGTGATCAGTGGAGATGCATGAAGGAATGCCCTAGTGGGGGTAGCCTGCAGCCAAGCCCCCTTTCTACTCTGCCTCATTTTATTCTATTTTTATTTCAGGTAGATTTAAGGTAATCATGGTCTTCCCTTCTCTTCCACAGCAGTTTGTAGAAGGCTCCTCTCTTATTTATTTTGTTTATTTATTTATTTATTTATTTGAGATGGTGTCTCTGTCACCCAGGCATGCAGTGGCACCCAGGCATGCAGTGGCATGCACTGGCATGATCTTGGCTCACTGCAACCTCCGCCTCCCGGGTTCAAGCGATTCTTTTGCTTCTGCTTCCTGAGTAGCTGGGATTACAGGCGCACACCATCACACCCAGCTAATTTTTTATATTTTTAGTAGAGACGGGGTTTCACCATGTTGGCCAGGCTGGCTTCGAACTCCTGACCTAAAGTGATCTGCCCGCCTCAGCCTCCCAAAGTGCTGGGATTACAGGTGTGAGCCACAGCGCCTGGCCTATCTATCTATTTATTTATTTATTTATCTCGGCTCACTGGTGCCCGACCTCTTAGGCGCAGGTGATTCTCCCACCTCAGCCTTCTGAATAGCTGGGACTATAGACGTGCACCACCATGCCCGGCTAATTTTTTTGTATTTGTTGTAGAAATGGGGTTTCCCCATGTTGCCCAGACTGGTCTCCAAGAGCCTCCCACCTGGGCCTCCCAAAGTGTTGGGATTACAGGCATGAGCCACGGGCGCTCCGCCTATTTGTTCCTTTTAAAAAATCTAATTTTCCCTTTCTTGTCTCAGATTTCTCCCATAATTTGAATGTATTTAATGTGCCTTTTTATTTGTATGTCTTATTGTAACTTGTGTTGCTTTTGTGCATATATTTTTATATATGTAAATAATGTGATTTATAGAGTTCAGTATTATTTCTTACTCTTTAAACATGATGTTTTGTATGTTACTACATGTATATTTTCTTCATTGTTTCTAATTGTTTCTGGCCAAACTAAGGGTCTGGCTGCTGTTTCTCTATGCTCAATAACGAGATGCAGATGAACTGGGGAGGAAGAGAGTTTTTATTCCTGTAACTGCTTACAGGAAGAAGGCCTGGAAATTATTGCCAGACCAACTCAAAATGTCAAAGTTTTCCAGAGCTTATATACCTTTTAAGCTATATGTCTATGTGTAAGTGTGCATTCATCTAAAGACATAAGTGATTAACTTCTTTCAATCTATAACTAAGGTCTCAGTCTTGAAGACTTTCCTCTGGAGCCTCAGTAAGATTACTTAATCTAAATGAGTCTAGGTGCTGGGGTGATTACCCTTAGCTTGTCCCCTGCTAAATCAAGGTTTGGGGAGTTCCTTCAGACCTCCAGTAAACTTGTTTGTGGAGGCCTGGTGAGTTTCTTCAGACTCCCAATAAAACTTGTTTAATCCTAAATGCGTCCTGTTAAGAACTCCTTCGTTATTTTGTCATGCTATAAGGCCCACGAAAGTCCTAGGCAAAACTCTGAGGGGCTTTTGTTACATTCCAGCCTTTGTATAAGGGCACTGGCTTGTCTTAGCTTTTAATATTTAACTTAACCAGTCAGTCAGTACTGAAACAGTTGTGATACAGGCCTGAGTTGGTGAAACCTGGCCTGCCACATAGTGGATGCAGAGTAGTTCACGTGTAGGTCTACCACTATGATATTTTGAAATAAGAAATACAGACCAGCACAGTGGCTTACGCCTGTAATCCCAGCACTTTGGGAGGCCGAGGCGGGAGAATTGCTTGAGCCTAGGAGTTCAGAGACCAGCCTAGGCAACTCCGTCTCTACCAAAAATAATTTCTTTAAAAATTAGCCGTGGCTGGCTGTGCGCACCTGTAGTCCCAGCTATTTGGGGGGCTGCAGTGGGACATCGCTTCAGCCTGGGAGATCAAGGCTGCAGTGAGTTACAGTCATACCACTGCACTCCAGGCTGGGTGACAGAGACCCTCTCTCAAAAAAAAAAAAAGAAAAGAAATATATATTTTATAGATATGTGTGTGTGTGTATATATATATATATAATATGTGTATGTGTATTATGTTCGTGTGTGTGTGTATACATATATACACACACACACACAATATGTCTGTGCCCCTGGTTACTGACATAGAACTTCTGAAACCCTTAGGTGGGCAGTAGGAAAATCTTTTGTTCTAATGTTTGATCTTTGCCCCAGTTCCTGACACAGAGCTCCTAAGACCTTTTTTTCTAATGAGGAGACTCTTGGTGGGCTCCTGGATAGCCTCAGGAACTGGTTGTCAGGGAAACCAACCATGTGATCAGAGGGATAGAACTTTCAGCTCCAACCCCAAACCTCCAGGGAGAAGAGAGGCATTAAAGGCTGAGTTGATCACCAATGACCAATGATTTAACCAGTCATGCCTATGTAATGAAGCCTCCATAAAAACCCAGAAGGACAGAGTTTATAATAATATATATAGATGATATATGCTAATATATAAATATGTATATAAATAAAAATGTAATATATAAATATCTGATAATAAATGATGCAATAAAAATATTTCCTCATGTCCCTGTACATGTATGTGTAAGAATTTTCTTACAATTTTCCACATATACACAGGAGCATAGTGGCTTGGTGTCACAGGTTAGATTATCTGTGAAGTAGACCTTGAGATAGAGTTGTTTTGTTTTGTTCTGTTTTGTTTTGTTATTTTTGAGACAAGGTCTCACTCTGTCACCCAGGCTGGAGTGCAATGGCGCGATCCCTGCTTACTACAACCTCTACCTCCCAGATTCAAGCGATTCTCGTGCCTCAGCCTCCTGAGTAGGTAGGATTACAGGCTCACCCCACCATGCCCAGCTAATTTTTTTTTTTTTTTGTATTTTTTTTGGTAGAGACGGAGTTTCACCATGTTGGCCAGGCTGGTCTCGAACTCCTGACCTCAAGTGATCTGCCCGTCTCAGCCTCCCAATAGGCATGAGCCACTGTGCCCAGCGAGATAGAGTTTAATGTGCAGGATGTTTATTACGCAGTTTCTTTGAGATCCACATCTGTGGAAGGCAGAGAGTAGACTCAAGATTGAGAAGAAGTCAAGCTAGGATGCATGCAAGGTAGGATGCATGCCTGACAGCCTCAGCTAACACTATGGGGAGGTCTGAGGCTAAGTGGTCCATCTGCTCCACTTTGGGCCCTTAATACTCTTGCCCCTTCGGCTGGGTGCAGTGGCTCACGCCTGTAATCCCAGCACTTTGGGAGGCCGAGGAGGGCACATCACCTGAGGTGGGGAGTTCGAGACCAGCCTGACCAACATGGAGAAACCCTGTGTCTACAAAATTAGCCAGGCGTGGTGGTGCATGCCTGTAATCCCAGCTACTTGGGAAGCTGAGGCAAGAGAATTGCTTGAACCCAGGAGGCAGAGGTTGCGGTGAGCCAAGATCGCACCATTGCATTTCAGCCTGGGCAACAAGAGTGAAACTCCGTCTCCAAATATATATATATATATTCTTGCCCCTTCACTCATTTGATATGAACAGCCTCAAAAAGGATGTGATCTTGGGCAGGCAGCTCTGCAGCTGAAACAATCCCTGAAAGTCCTGACAGTTGTGGATCGTCTGCTGAATGCACTTGTAATAGCTGAAGCAACAACTAGTCCTTCCTTGCAGGTAGATTTGGGCAGAGCATCTGTGTCTATTACATTTGGTCATAGAGAATGTGTTAACATGATTGCCTAAATACTAGCCGATTTCTCTAAGGATGGCTGTGTATTATTCTGCACTTTACCCAGAAGTGCAAACCAAAAACAAACAAATAGAAAGTCAAATAAGGACATAAACAGGCATTTACAAAAAGAAAAGATACAAGAGGCTAATGAGGATGTGAAGATGCAGTATTCGTTAGTAATCAACAATAAATAACAATAAAACTTCATTTTACACTACTGAAACAAGCAAAAGTTAGAAGTCTCAACAATTTCATAGCAAAAACAAATGAACAAAAAGGTTACCTACAGAATGGGAGGGAATATTTGCACATCATATACCTGTAAAGGAGCTAATTTCCAAAATATATAAAGGACTCATAAAACACAATAGCAAAAAAAGGAGTACAAACAAAAACCAAATAACCTAATTAAACAATGGGCAAAAAACTGGAACACATATTCCTCCAAAAAAGACATACAAATAACCAACAAGTATATAAAAAGATGCTCAACATCATTAATTATCAGGAAAATGCAAATCAAAACTACAAAGACATGTCACTTCATACTTGTAGAGATGGCTATTATAAAAAACAACAAAGATAACAAGTGTTGGCAAGGATGTGGAGAAATTGAAACCCCTGTACACTTGTTAGTGGGAATGTAAAATAGTGAAGCAGCAATGGAAAACAATATGAAGGTTCTTCCAAAAATTAAAAATAAGACTACCGGATGGCCAAATAGGAACAGCTCCGGTCTACAGCTCCCAGCGTGAGCGACGCAGAAGACGGGTGATTTCTGCATTTCAATCTGAGGTACCGGGTTCATCTCACTAGGGAGTGCCAGACAGTGGGCGCAGGACAGTGGGTGCAGCGCACCGTGTGCAAGCCGAAGCAGGGCGAGGCATTGCCTCACTGGGGAAGTGCAAGGGGTCAGGGAGTTCCCTTTCCTAGTCAAAGAAAGGGGTGACAGACGGCACCTGGAAAATCGGGTCACTACCACCCCAATACTGCGCTTTTCCGACGGGCTTAAAAAACGGCACACCAGGAGACTATATCCCGCACCTGGCTCGGAGGGTCCTACGCCCACGGAGTCTCGCTGATTGCTAGCACAGCAGTCTGAGATCAAACTGCAAGGTGGCAGCGAGGCTGGGGGAGGGGCGCCCGCCATTGCCCAGGCTTGCTTAGGTAAACAAAGCAGCCGGGAAGCTCCAACTGGGTGGAGCCCACCACAGCTCAAGGAGGCCTGCCTCCCTCTGTAGGCTCCACCTCTGGGGGCAGGACACAGACAAACAAAAAGACAGCAGTAACCTCTGCCGACTTAAATGTCCCTGTCTGACAGCTTTGAAGAGAGCAGTGGTTCTCCCAGCACGCAGCTGGAGATCTGAGAACAGGCAGACTGCCTCCTCAAGTGGGTCCCTGACCCCTGACCCCCGAGCAGCCTAACTGGGAGGCACCCCCCAGTAGGGGCAGACTGACACCTCACACGGCCGGGTACTCCTCTGAGACAAAACTTCCAGAGGAACGATCAGACAGCAGCATTCGCGGTTCATGAAAATCCGCTGTTCTGCAGCCACCGCTGCTGGTACCCAGGCAAACAGGGTCTAGAGTGGACCTTTAGCAAACTCCAACAGACCTGCAGCTGAGGGTCCTGTCTGTTAGAAGGAAAACTAACAAACAGAAAGGACATCCACACCAAAAACCCATCTGTACATCACCATCATCAAAGACCAAAAGTAGATAAAACCACAAAGATGGGGAAAAAACAGAGCAGAAAAACTGGAAACTCTAAAAAGCAGAGCGCCTCTCCTCCTCCAAAGGAACGCAGTTCCTCACCAGCAATGGAACAAAGCTGGACGGAGAATGACTTTGACGAGTTGAGAGAAGAAGGCTTCAGACGATCAAACTACTCCGAGCTACAGGAGGAAATTCAAACCAAAGGCAAAGAAGTTGAAAACTTTGAAAAAAATTTAGAAGAATGTATAACTAGAATAACCAATACAGAGAAGTGCTTAAAGGAGCTGATGGAGCTGAAAGCCAAGGCTCGAGAACTACGTGAAGAATGCAGAAGCCTCAGGAGCTGATGCGATCAACTGGAAGAAAGGGTATCAGTGATGGAAGATGAAATGAATGAAATGAAGGGAGAAGGGAAGTTTAGAGAAAAAAGAATAAAAAGAAACAAACAAAGCCTCCAAGAAATATGGGACTATGTGAAAAGACCAAATCTACGTCTGATTGGTGCACCTGAAAGTGACTGGGAGAATGGAACCAAGTTGGAAAACACTCTTCAGGATATTATCCAGGAGAACTTCCCCAATCTAGCAAGGCAGGCCAACATTCAGATTCAGGAAATACACAGATTCAGAACGCCACAAAGATACTCCACGAGAAGAGCAACTCCAAGACACATAATTGTCAGATTCACCAAAGTTGAAATGAAGGAAAAAATGTTAAGGGCAGCCAGAGAGAAAGGTCAGGTTACCCACAAAGGGAAGCCCATCAGACTAACAGTGGATCTCTCGGCAGAAACTCTACAAGCCAGAAGAGAGTGGGGGCCAATATTCAACATTCTTAAAGAAAAGAAGTTTCAACCCAGAATTTCATATCCAGCCAAATTAAGCTTCATAAGTGAAGGAGAATAAAATACTTTACAGACAAGCAAATGCTGAGAGATTTTGTCACCACCAGGCCTGCCCTAAAAGAGCTCCTGTAGGAAGCACTAAACATGGAAAGGAACAACCAGTACCAGCCACTGCAAAATCATGCCAAATTGTAAAGACCATCGAGGCTAGGAAGAAACGGCATCAACTAATGAGCAAAATAACCAGCTAACATCATAATGACAGGATCAAATTCACACATAACAATATTAACTTTAAATGTAAATGGACTAAATTCTCCAATTAAAAGACACAGACTGGCAAATTGGATAAAGAATCAAGACCCATCAGTGTGCTGTATTCAGGAAACCCATCTCACGTGCAGAGACACACATAGGCTCAAAATAAAAGGATGGAGGAAGATCTACCAAGCAAGTGGAAAACAAAAAAAGGCAGGGGTTGCAATCCTAGTCTCTGATAAAACAGACTTTAAACCAACAAAGATCAAAAGAGACAAAGAAGGCCATTACATAATGGTAAAGGGATCAATTCAACAAGAAGAGCTAACTATCCTAAATATATATGCACCCAATACAGGAGCACCCAGATTCATAAAGCAAGTCCTGAGTGACCTACAAAGAGACTTAGACTCCCACACAATAATAATGGGAGACTTTAACACCCCCCTGTCAACATTAGACAGATCAATGAGACAGAAAGTTAACAAGGATACCCAGTAATTGAACTCAGCTCTGCACCAAGCGGACCTAATAGACATCTACAGAACTCTCCACCCCGAATCAACAGAATATACATTTTTTCCAGCACCACACCACACCTATTCCAAAATTGACTGCATAGTTGGAAGTAAAGCTCTCGTCAGCAATTGTAAAATATCAGAAATTATAACAAACTGTCTCTCAGACCACAGTGCAATCAAAGTAGAACTCAGGATTAAGAAACTCACTCAAAACCGCTCAACTACATGGAAACTGAACAACCTGCTCCTGAATGACTACTGGGTACATAACGAAATGAACGCAGAAATAAAGATGTTCTTTAAAACCAACAAGAACAAAGACACAACATACCAGAATCTCTGGGACACATTCAAAGCAGTGTGTAGAGGGAAATTTATAGCACTAAATGCCCACAAGAGAAAGCAGGAAAGATCCAAAATTGACACCCTAACATCACAATTAAAAGAACTAGAAAAGCAAGAGCAAACACATTCAAAAGCTAGCAGAAGGCAAGAAATAACTAAAATCAGAGCAGAACTGAAGGAAATAGAGATACAAAAAACCCTTCAAAAAATTAATAAATCCAGGAGCTGGTTTTTTGAAAGGATCAACAAAATTGATAGACTGCTAGCAAGACTAATAAAGAAGAAAAGAGAGAAGAATCAAATAGATGCAATAAAAAATGATAAAGGGGATATCACCACCGATCCCACAGAAATACAAACTACCATCAGAGAATACTACAAACACCTCTATGCAAATAAACTAGAAAACCTAGAAGAAATGGATAAATTCCTCGACACATACACCCTCCCAAGACTAAACCAGGAAGAAGTTGAATCTCTGAATAGACCAATAACAGGAGCTGAAATTGTGGCAATAATCAATAGCTTACCAACCAAAAAGAGTCCAGGACCAGATGGATTCACAGCTGAATTTTACCAGAGGTACAAGGAGGAACTGGTACCATTCCTTCTGAAACGATTCCAATCAATAGAAAAAGAGGGAATCCTTCCTAACTCATTTTATGAGGCCAGCATCATCCTGATACCAAAGCCTGGCAGAGACACAACCAAAAAAGAGAATTTTAGACCAATATCCTTGATGAACATTGATGCAAAAATCCTCAATAGAATACTGGCAAACCGAATCCAGCAGCACATCAAAAAGCTTATCCACCATGATCAAGTGGGCTTCATCCCTGGGATGCAAGGCTGGTTCAATATACACAAATCAATAAATGTAATCCAGCATATAAACAGAACCAAAGACAAAAACCACATGATTATCTCAATAGATGCAGAAAAGGCCTTTGACGAAATTCAACAACCTTCATGCTAAAAACTCCCAATAAATTAGGTATTGATGGGACGTATCTCAAAATAAT
Organism: Homo sapiens; assembly: GCF_000001405.40. Classification (NCBI taxonomy): domain Eukaryota; kingdom Metazoa; phylum Chordata; class Mammalia; order Primates; family Hominidae; genus Homo; species Homo sapiens. The sequence goes on from NC_000006.12 coordinate 28,625,239, forward strand.
GAGAGCTATCTATGACAAACCCACAGCCAGTATCATACTGAATGGGCAAAAACTGGAAGCATTCCCTTTGAAAACTGGCACAAGACAGGGATGCCCTCTCTCACCACTCCTATTCAACATAGTGTTGGAAGTTCTGGCCAGGGCAATTAAGCAGGAGAAGGAAATAAAGGGTATTCAATTAGGAAAAGGGGAAGTCAAATTGTCCCTGTTTGCAGATGACATGATTGTATATCTAGAAAACCCCATTGTCTCAGCCCAAAATCTCCTTAAGCTGATAAGCAACTTCAGCAAAGTCTCAGGATACAAAATCAATGTACAAAAATCACAAGCATTCTTATACACCAATAACAGACAAACAGAGAGCCAAATCATGAGTGAACTCCCATTCACAATTGCTTCAAAGAGAATCAAATACCTAGGAATCCAACTTACAAGGGATGTGAAGGACCTCTTCAAGTAGAACTACAAACCACTGCTCAATGAAATGAAAGAGGATACAAAGAAATGGAAGAACATTCCATGCTCATGGGTAGGAAGAATCAATATCATGAAAAGGGCCATACTGCCCAAGGTAATTGATAGATTCAATGCCATCCCCATCAAGCTACCAATGACTTTCTTCACAGAATTGGAAAAAACTACTTTAAAGTTCATATGGAACCAAAAAAGAGCCTGCATCGCCAAGTCAATCGTAAGCCAAAAGAACAAAGCTGGAGGCATCACGCTACCTGACTTCAAACTATACTATAAGGCTACAGTAACCAAAACAGCATGGTACTGGTACCAAAACAGAGATATAGATCAATGGAACAGAACAGAGCCCTCAGAAATAACGCCGCATAACTACAACTATCTGATCTTTGACAAACCTGAGAAAAACAAGCAATGGGGAAAGGATTCCCTATTTAATAAATGGTGCTGGGAAAACTGGCTAGCCATATGTAGAAAGCTGAAACTGGATCCCTTCCTTACACCTTATACAAAAATTAATTCAAGATGGATTAAAGACTTAAATGTTAGACCTAAAACCATAAAAACCCTAGAAGAAAACCTAGGCATTACCATTCAGGACATAGGCATGGGCAAGGACTTCATGTCTAAAACACCAAAAGCAATGGCAACAAAAGCCAAAATTGACAAATGGGATCTAATTAAACTAAAGAGCTTCTGCACAGCAAAAGAAAATACCATCAGAGTGAACAGGCAACCTACAAAATGGGAGAAAATTTTTGCAACCTACTCATCTGACAAAGGGCTAATATCCAGAATCTACAATGAACTCAAAGAAATTTACAAGAAAAAAAAAACAACCCCACCAAAAATGGGCGAAGGACATGAACAGACACTTCTCAAAAGAAGACCTTTATGCAGCCAAAAAACACATGAAAAAATGCTCACCATCACTGGCCGTCAGAGAAATGCAAATCAAAACCACAATGAGATACCATCTCACACCAGTTAGAATGGCAATCATTAAAAAGTCAGGAAACAACAGGTGCTGGAGAGGATGTGGAGAAATAGGAACACTTTTACACTGTTGGTGGGACTGTAAACTAGTTCAACCATTGTGGAAGTCAGTGTGGCAATTCCTCAGGGATCTAAAACTAGAAATACCATTTGACCCAGCCATCCCATTACTGGGTATATACCCAAAGGACTATAAATCATGCTGCTATAAAGACACATGCACACGTATGTTTATTGCGGCACTATTCACAATAGCAAAGACTTGGAACCAACCCAAATGTCCAACAATGATAGACTGGATTAAGAAAATGTGGCACATATACACCATGGAATACTATGCAGCCATAAAAAATGATGAGTTCATGTCCTTTGTAGGGACATGGATGAAATTGGAAATCATCATTCTCAGTAAACTATCGCAAGAACAAAAAACCAAACACCGCATGTTCTCACTCATAGGTGGGAATTGAACAATGAGAACACATGGACATAGGAAGGAGAACATCACACTCTGGGGCCTGTTGTGGGGTGGGGGGAGGGGGGAGGGATAGCATTAAGAGATATACCTAATGCTAAATGACGAGTTAATGGGTGCAGCACACCAGCATGGCACATGTATACATATGTAACTAACATGCACATTGTGCACATGTACCCTAAAACTTAAAGTATAATAATAATAAAATAAAATAAAAAAAGACTGCCATGTGATCCTGCAATCCCACTTTTGGGTATATTTGCAAAAAAATTGAAATCAGAATCTCAAGGAGATATATGCACTTCCATGTTCATTGTAGCATTATTCACAATAGCCAAGATATGGAAACAACCTGTATCCATTGACAGATGAATGAAAAAACAAAGTGTGGCATATATATCCAACGGAAAATTATTAGGCTTAGAAAAGAAGAAAATCCTGCCATTTGCAACAATATTGATGAACCTGGAGGACATTATGGGAACTGAAATAAGCCAGTCACAGCACAAATACTGCATGATTCCACTTACATGAGGTGTCTGTAACAGTTAAACTCAGAAACAGAGAATGCAATAGTGGTTGCCAGGGGCTGGGAGGCTGAAGAAGATGGGGAATTGTTGCTCAATGGATATATTTCAGTTATGCTACATGAATAAGTTCTAGAGATCTGCTGTACAACATAGCACCTACAGTTAACAATAAGGTATTGTACGCTTCAAAATTTGTTAAGATGACAGCTCTCACTTTAAATGTTTGTACCACATACAAAAAATAAAGACGAAACAAAACCAAAAAAACCCAAAGAGACATAAGGAAACTTTGGTTGGTGGATATGTCTATTACCTTGATTGTGGTGATGGATCATGGGTATTTCCTTGTGCCCGAATTCATCATATTGTACACATTGTGTGCAGTTCTTTGTATATCAGTTATACCTCAATAAATCTGTTTTTTTGTTGTTGTTGTTTTTTGTTTTTCTGTTTTTGAGACAGAGTATCATTCTGTTGCCCAGACTGGAGTGCAGTGGCGCAGTCTCAGCTCAGTGCAATCTCTGCCTCCTGGGTTCGAGTGATTCTCCTGTTTCAGCCTCCTGAGTAGCTGGGATTACAGGCGCCTGCCACTGCGCCCGGCTAATTTTTGTACTTTTAGTAGAAATGGGGTTTCACCATCTTGGCCAGGCTGTTCTCGAACTCCTGACCTTGTGATCCACCTGTCTTGGCCTCCCAAAGTGCTGGGATTACAGGCGTGAGCTACCACACCAGGCCAATAAATTTTTTTTTAAAAGAAATCTAATGTCAAGAGTTGCTAGATTTGTTATTGCTTTGCAATTGTTCTTTGCATATTCTAAGAATTATTTCATTGCTTGTTTTAAATATTGCAAATAACTTCTCTAAATCTGTCGTTGTGTTAGTCCGAGTTCTCCAGAGTAACAGATTATATAGATATATATTATTATACATATAATTTATTATATGTAAATTTTATAACATTGTAGTATAATTGTAATTAGTATATATTATAACATATCCTAATATAATAATACTTATTATGTTACTATAATAAATATTATGCATATTTACTATATATATAAAGAGACTTATTATAAGGTTTTGCTTTACGCAATTCTGGAGGCTGAGAGGTTCCATGATCTACCATCTGCAAGCTGGAGACCCAAAAAAGCTAGTGTTGTATTTGGAAGGCCTAAGAGCTGGAGGGTGGGTGGCATAGATTCTTATCAAATCTAAGGGCCTGAGAACCAGGAGCATCAAGGGCAGAGTGTGAGTGTTCCTGCACAACCTGTCAAGCAGAGAGAAGGTGAATCCAACCTTCCCCTCCTTCTGTTCTATTCAGACCCTCAATGGATTGGATTATGTCCACCCACATTGAGGAAAGCCATCGGCTTTACTCAGTCCAGCAATTCAAATGCTACTGTCTTCTGGAAACACCCTCACAGACATACCCAGAAATGATGTTTAATCACATGTCTGGGCATCCTGTGGCCCAGTAAAGTTGACCCATAAAATTATCAGATTCATCAATGTGTTAATTTTGTTCTAAGGTATTCTTTGTCTCTAAGGTATTTGAAATCTTTAACAATCTCCAATTTCTTTCAAACTAAAGGCTTGGCCAGCCGTGGTGGCTCTTGCCTGTAATCCCAGCACTTTGGGAGGCCGAGGCAGGTGGATCACAAGGTCAGGAGATCGAGACCATCCTGGCTAACACGGTGAAACCCCGTCTCTACTAAAAATACAAAAAATTAGCCGGGCACGGTGGCGGGCGCCTGTAGTCCCAGTTACTCGGGAGGCTGAGGCAGGAGAATGGCGTGAACCCAGGAGGCGAAGCTTGCAGTGAGCTGAGATTGCGCCACTGCACTCCAGCCTGGGAGACAGAGTGAGAGACTCCGTCTCAAAAACAAACAAACAAACAAAACAACAACAACAAAAACTAAAGGCTAAAATTAAATTTTTTAAAATACATTTTTAATTTTGATTTAATTAAATTTATCTCTCCCTTTTTTTGACTTTAGGGACTGTGCTTGTTAGCGTGTGGCATGCCAATGGATAATAATGATAATGAAAACTATGATGATGACAAAAATGATAATGATGATAGCAGGTAATTTACTGTGTGCATAATAGGGAAGAAAGAATTTTTTATTACTATTCCTTATTAAATTTATTTCTTTTAAAATTGTTTCTTACTATTTCTTATTAAAACTGGGTTGGCCAGGCACTGTGGCTCACACCTGTAATCCCAGCACTTTGGGAGGCCGAGGTGTGTGGATCACTTGAGATCAGGAGTTCAAGATCAGCCTGGCCAACAAGGTGAAGCCCCATCTCTACTAAAAATACAAAAATTAGCTGGGTGTGGCGACATGCATCTGTAATACCAGCTACTAGTGAGGCTGAGGCAGGAGAATCGCTTGAACCTGTAAGGTGGAGGTTGTGGCGAGCTAAGATCATGCAACTGCACTCCAGCCTGGGTGAAAGAGTGAGACTCTGTCTCAAAAGTAAAAAGTAAAATAAAAATGAAAACAAAACTGGGTCATTATTAGAAGTTATTATGAAGAAACAGAACAAAACCATTAATCACAACAACACAATAATAGCTGGGCATACAATGGCAACCCATGCCTGTAGTCCCAGCTATTCAGGAGGCTGAGGCATGAGGATCACTTGAGCCCAAGAAGTGGAAGGCCAGCCTGGGCAACATAGCAAGGCCACATCTCTAAAATTTAAAAAACAAAAATGACAAAAAGCAATGTAATAACTCCTTTGCCTACTGATAGGGCAACCAGAGTGGAGTGAATATGGAAAGCTAGTTTACATATTGATATGATTCGGCTCTGTGTCACCACCCAAATCTCACCTTGACTTGTAATAATCCTCATGTGTCATGGCAGGCACCTGGTGAGAGGTAATTGAATCATGGGGGCACATTTATCCCCTGCTGTTCTCGTGATAGTGAATAAGTCTCATGAGATCTGATGTTTTTATAAAAGGCAGTTCCCCTGCACACGCCCTCTTACCTGCCACCATGTAAGATATGCCTTTGCTTCTCCTTTGCCTTCTGCCATAATTGTGAGGCCTCTCCAGCCATGTGGAACTGTGAGTCCATTAAACCTCTTTCCTTTATAAATTACCCAGTCTTGGGTATGTCTTTCTTAGCAGCATGAGAACAGACTAATATATATATTCAGTTACCTTTCTCATGAGAAACTTTTTGTTTCCTTCAGAACCATTAAAGTCCTGTTCTAATCTATCATGAGAATCCATTCTACTTCAGCTTATGTGTGTTCCATGGTACATATATTTTAAAAGCAGTTGGCTATAATGGGAAACCAGGAAGAGGAGAAACTAGAGTAAATGACATAGTGGCAACAATCATAGTGTTACTGGAAGACAAATGGCTGAGTGGGATACATACCCATGCACTATTCTCCCCTATCCTGCTCCCTCCACCACCAAGAAGTTGATGGAGCCAGAGGTCCTAGCATTGAAAACAATGTGGCTTTATTTCACCATCTGCATGCACTCCTATTTAAAACTAAGATAAAGAAAGGTGGTGGTGACTTAGTTGCTTTACATTTAAATTACTTGGAAATGTTCCATGTTTACATGTCATAGAACACAAGAACTCACAGGCATACAGCGTCAGTGTGATACCAGTAATTTGACAAGTTCTCATCCCTTAGGTCATCAGCCGGTACACCAGAGCAAGTGTGCTATATTGAAAATAAAATAATAGGACAGGCTGGGCACGGTGGCTCACGCCTATAATCCCAGCACTTTGGGAGGCCGAGGTGGGTGGATCACCTGGGGTCAGTCATTTGAGACCACCCTGGCCAATATGGTAAAACCCTGTCTCAACTAAAAATACAAAAAAATTAGCTGGGCGTGGTGGCGGGCACCTGTAATCTCAGCTAGTTGGGAGGCTGAGGCAGGAGAATTGCTTGAACCCAGGAGGCGGAGGTTGCAGTGAGCCAAGATAGCGCCATTGCACTCCAGCCTGGGTGACAGAGTGAGACTCTGTCTAAAAAAAGAAAGAAAGAAATAATAGGACAATAACTGAAAATAAAGAAATTTCTTTGCTGGAACCAAAAGGGAGAAAACATTCATCAAGTGATATTAGACAGGACATAAGGAGATGTTGGGAGCTTTGCAAAAGAATCAATTAAATTCACCACACAAGGCTGGGCGCGGTGGCTCATGCCTGTAATTCCAGCACTTTGGGAGGCCAAGGCGGGCAGATCACGAGGTCAGGAGATTGAGACCATCCTGGCTAACACGGTGAAACCCCATCTCTACTAAAAGTACAAAAAATTAGCCAGGAGTGGTGGCCTGCGCCTGTAGTCCTAGCTACTCAGGAGGCTGAGTCAGGAGAATCGCTAGAACCCAGGAGGCAGAGGTTGCAGTGAGCCAAGATCGTGCCACTGCACTCCAGCATGAAGACAGAGCGAGACTTCTTCTCAATAAATAAGTAAATAAATAAATAAATAAATAAATTCACCACACCAAAAAAAGGTCCTTGCAAAGATCAAAAATCCACTCAGTATCAGCATCTAATCTACTAAGCCAGCCAGCACATGGAATGATACATCAATAAAAAACTAAATAAACATTTATGTCTGTATTTAACTGCCTCAACTTCTGGTGTTTTAATCTATTTTCAAAATTGTTAAGGGGAGAAAGACAAAAGCCTTGTTTTGTTTACAGAATACATGCAATGTCTCACTCTTTAAAAAGACAGGTGGGAAGAGGAAGTTCTGCGGAACAAATGTGGGTCCTCCAATCTTTACCACGGAACCACATCCCCACTGTAGGTATTACTGACTATTCTGATTATTGACCAAAATTGCCACAAAAATGGTGTCTTTATATAGTTTCTTGCAGAATAACTACCAGGAAGTGGGAACAAAGATGAAAAGCAAACACTAGCAGTGACCTCGAAAGAGGAATGAAATAACCTATGAACAAACAGAATAGGTCTTGCTTCATTTTGCTCCTTGTGGGGAAGACAAATTGGAGATACCAAGGATCGAACTGGGAACCCTAGGCATGCAAATTGTAAGCTCTAGCACTTATATCCTTGCAACCATCTCTGTTCTCTCCCCAATCTTGAGTCCAAAAAATTTTCGTAAACACAATTTGCATAGCTGTTTCTTCAAGGTTGTATCAATAATTCACGTCTTATTTTTGAGAAGAAAAAGTTACCCTTTAGTTCATTCAAATGACCTTAAATTCAATTGAACCAGACCAGGTCTCATTCAACAAGCAACTGAAAAGATGGCTTACAATACAATATATGCTATATAAACAGATATTATAGATTGTATATATGACAGCCCCCCCCACCAAAAAAAGATAGCATATTGGTGAAAAGACCAGGGTAACAACGGCAGAAAAGGTATCTTAAGGCAAATAGTTCAGACAGTTCCTGATATAAAGCTCAAAGCTAATTTTTTAAAGTGTTTCAGTTATATTTAATACTTAAGCAAAACATTTTTGACTATACATCTCTATAATGCACAATACTAAAAAAGTCCAAAATTTTTATCATAAAGATGGTTATGAAACTGAATACCACAATGGTTGTAATGTGGTATTACAGTTTATGAAGACAGTTTTGTTTTGTGGTTTTTTTTTTTTTCTTAAAGTTTTTTGGACGTTAACAGGCGCTCAACATCTTCTTCCATTTACTCCTTTCTGAACTGGCTCAGACTGCTTAGCACATACGCAGACGGTGTTAAGAAGGTCGTAAAACACCAGAATTCCAACAGCCATATTTCCATGGCATACATGGGCTGGCGCGGAGGCTCAGAGTGGGCAAGGCAGGGGTCGGGCTGCAGGGCGAGCAGGGCCACGCAGCGGTGGTGGCAGAGTTGAGGACAGAGCCCGGGTAGGCGAGGCATGGCGCGTCAGGTGAGATAAAGCCAGGCAAGCCAATGGGAGGGACCGCGTGAGTGGGTTGAGGCCAAGCGGCGCGAGCTCCAGAGCTGGTGAGGCAGCTGGTTTGCGCTGGAGCCCCAGCCACGAGGAGGCCCCTGCCCAACCCTTCCGCCTCAAAACTAACTCTTAAGATGATCCTCGTGGCTGAGAGAGGGTAGAATCATCTTCAACTGTGCTCCAAATAACTGTATTTCTGGTTACAAATCATGTACCTTCAGTCATAACAATGTAAACCCAATTTTGTTAATGAGTGGTAAGATTTAAAGGTGTTCTAAAGCAGTTAGCAGTTACAGGATTTTGATAGTTGGAGAAAGTTTGGCACTATGAAAGTGTGCCGTGTTAAATACATCTGACCTTTAAAGCCACCGACCTATTTCCAAGTATTTGAAGACGTCAGGAAGTTCTACCCAAGCCTAAACAAAGAGGAGTAACCAACCAGTATGCTAAAGTGGAAACGCCAGGGATCGAAACCGGGACCTCATACATGCAAAGCGCGCGTTCTACCACTAAACTACATCCACCTAAGCACTAAAACCTTCTTTTCCTTTTATTTACTCATATAGCCCTTAACAATATAGAGTAGCACTACCCAATTCCGTCGGCTTTTTCAATTTATATTCATAGAAAATCAAGTCGGTTCAACAAATTGTTATCAATGCCATACATAACTTCCTTGTACTTTCCCTAAATTTCATTTACCACAAACACCTTATAAGAGTAGATTTATGTTAAGTTTGTTCCCTTCTCTAGTAAGGTAGCTTCTGGAGGGCAGAGGCTATTTTTCTTTCATCAGGCTTCCCACACCCTTAGTATAGAGGTGGAGTACAGCAGCCACTCACAGAGCAGTGAGAAATAAATTACAGGTGCCCTCTGTTCAGGATATATTTCACAGTACAGAGACTTGCAATGAAGTGTGAAGGTGGAGGAGGGAGGATTCAAAATTACATAAACAGATCATTCCAATAGCGTATGACAAGTGCTCTGGCAAAGATAAGCATATATAACTATGGCATTAAGCAGAAAGTATACCACTTTCTTGATCAAAAATTGACGACTCCAGGAATTTTGAAAGACTTGACCAAATAAATAAAGGCCGAGAGTTACGCATGAGAACCAACATGGGTTGTGCTTCTCGGATTCAGGCCAAAGTTCTCTGCGCCGGTGGGTGGAGCTTCGTTGCACGAAATGAACACCCAGTAGTGATCTGCCCGGCTAACGCTGGGGCTTTGCGGACCTCAGGTCTTAGGCAGGAGCTTGCGGGCCTAAAATGCATTAGCTGGTTTTTACTGAATTTACGCTTAGCAGAGACCTACAGAAAAATGAGATCCAGCTCGCCGCTGGAGGGAACAGCTCTGGCCTCCCAGTGACGCTGATATAGACGCGAGGCTGGAGTGATTTTTTTGATAATCCTGCTAGAGACAGAATGGGTAAGGATGGGTAAGGGCGACCACCACCGTTAAGCAATGACATGCGAGCTCCAGCACCGCGTCTCCCCGGTAGGATGCTCACTGCGCTAGCGGGAGGGGACCGTTAAGTATTTTCCGGAACCGTTTATCAGCTCGGCCTTGGACATATGTCCTTTTACCCTTCAGCAATAAAAACATGGCCCTTTCTCCCCGCTCTCGGGCGGTTAATTTTAACCCGCAGATCGCAGTTTCAGCGGACTAACATTCCTCGCAGACCAAGCCTCGTCTCTGCCTTCTTAGGATTCAGCTTGGGGTGGTCCATTGACTTCTCCAGGGAGCTCCTAGCGTTTGCGGCCGCGTCACATCTCCAACCTTTGCCTCGCCCTGCCTGTCATCCCGGTTTTCTTTCTTGCCCGCCTAAGTGTGGCGGACAGGGATACTATTCCCCGCCTTCCATACCGCCCCTTCCTCCTTGTCGCGGACTCCTTGTCCTTGCCGGTTCACCTCCCTGTGGAGGACCTCCTCTCTCTGTCATTGGAACAAGCCTTGCTCGGTCGTCAGTGTGGATGTTCCTGGGTCCCCTAGAACACTCGAAATCTCCCCAAAAATACCAGAGAGTAGCGGTGGGTGCCCTGCCCCTTGCTGTACCCCTCTGTCCGCAGCCGTGTTGTGGAGGGAAAGGGAGAATAGAAAACCAATGTGAAAAAAAAAAGGCAAAAGCTAAGATGAAAGCTTTTGAATCAAGTAAAAGAGGCCCCAAAATAAATAAATATAAATCTCTAGAAATAAGCAAAGAGAGCCTAACTGGAGGATAAAACCTTTGGCTCTTTGCTTATTTCTCTTGCTGCGCTTCTCTGCATCCCAGACTAACTCCTTTCCACCCACCACCTGCCGCTCCCCGCTGCCGCAAGTGGTTCCTTAACAGACCGCAACGGGTGGCGGAGAGATCTGGGTGACCTGACTCGGGCGTCCATCCCCCGGCCTGGGCTGCGGGACACGCTGGTAACCAACAGGCCAATGCAGGTTCTAGGGATGTCAATCCCTGTCTACTGCTTAGCCCTGCGTGTTTAGTTAAAGCGGTGCATTTGTTAAAATTGATGACCTAAATTGACACATCAGTATTACTCAAAGTCCACAGTTTACAATAGGGTTTACGCTTGGTGTTGCACATTTTATGGGTTTGGATAAATATATAATGACATACTTCCACCATTATAGTATACAGAGTATTTTCGCTGAGCTAAAAATCCTTTGTGCTCCACCAATTAATCAGTCCCTCCCTCTCCCTCTAACCCTTGGCAACTTCTGATCTTTTACTATCTCCACAGCTTTGCCTTTTCCAGAATACCATATAGTTGGAATCATACAGTATGTAACTTTTTCAGATTGGCTTCTTTCACCTAATAATATGGTACATGTTTCCTCCATGTCTATTCATGGCTTGATAACTCATTTCTTTTTTTTAGCACTGAATGATATTCCATGGTCTGGATGTGCCACAGTTTGTTTATTCACCTACAGAAGGAAATCTTGGTTGTTTCCAAGTTTGGGCAATTATGAATGAAGCTGCTATAGAAATATATGTGTAAGTTTTTATGTGTACATATGTTTTCAACTTCTCTGGATAGATACTAAGGAGTATAATTGCTGGCTTGTATGATAAATGTATGTTTAGTTTTGTAAGAAACTGCTAAAGTCTTCCAAAGACATCATACCATTTTGTATTTCCATCAACAATGAATTAGAGTTCCTATTTTTTGACATCCTCAACAGTATTTGGTGTTGTAAGGGTTCCGGAGTTTGGTCATTCTAATAGGTGTGTGTGTTGTCTCGTTTTAATTTGCACTTATCTGATGGGATATGATGTGGAGCATCTTTTCACAGGCTTAGTTGCTACTTGTTCTGGGTTTGTTTCTTTTCAGTCTTTCTTCTCTTTGCTTTTCGGTTTTGGAAATTTCTACTGATATATCCTTAAGTTCAAAGCTTCTTTCTTCAGCCATGTGAAGTCTACTAATAAGCCCATCAACAGCATTCTTCATTTCTGTTACAGTATTTTATCTCTAGCATTTCTTCGTGGTTGTTTCTTAGAATTTCCATCTCTTTGCTTACATTGCCCATCTGTTCTTGCATGCTGTCTAATTTATCCATTAGAGTCCTTAGCATATTAATCATAGTTGTTTTGAATTCCCCATCTGGTAATCCCAAAATCCCTGCCCATGTCTGTTTCTGATGCTTGCTTTCCATCTTCAAGCTGTTTTTTTTTTTTTTTGCCTTTTAGTTTGCCTTGTAGCTTTTTTCTTGATAGCTCAACATGATGCACTGGGTTAAAGGAATTGCTGCAAATAGATCTTCAGTAATGTGAGGGCAAGATGCAGGGGGACAGAAGGATTTCTGCATTCTTGCAATTAGGCCTGTCTTTTAGTAAGCCTGCACCTCTGCACTGTGAATCATACAAGTGTTGCTTAGATGTTTTTCTCTTCCCTTAGATGGACAGGATGGCTAGAGTGGGCTGGAGTTAAATATTTCCCTTCCATGACATGGAAGGTTAAAGCTGTCTGGGTTGGGTATTTTCCTCCCCCAAGAGCTGATAAAACCACAGCAGGTTAGGCTCTGATTAGTTTCTCCTGAGGGCAGAATTTATTAAGACAAACAGGTGCTATTCAAAATAGTCCCTTTTCCTCTCCCCATGTGGAAGCACAAGGGGATTTTTCTCTAATATTTACTGCAAGAATCTGGTCAAGTTCCTGTAAGTAAAATACACAAAAGCATGGGGCCTTGCTGTGACTGGGTCCCCCTGGAGTTTTTAACTCTCAGACTTGTCCACACCTAGCCTCCAGCAGTTCATTGATTAGAATTCAGGTTTTCTTATCTATGCAATGGTTCCCACAGATATTTCTGCTCGTGTGCTGTGATTTTCAATGTCTATCTGTCTGTCTCTCCAATTTGGGGGGGGGGTGGGCACCAGTTTCCTCTGTGACCTATCTTCTTTTATGAATCTAAAAAGTTAGATTTTTCACTTCCTTCAGCTTCTCAGTTGTTAAAGCAAAGTGGCAACATCCAAGCTACTTACACGCAAAACCCTAAACTGGAAATCCAGACTGTTTTTACTGTCTTATTTTCCTTTTTTAATCCCAATTAATTGTATCTCTATTATATGTACTGTTGTTTCAAAGAAAAAAATAAAACATGGATGGACACAGTGGCTCACACCTGTAGTCCTAGCACTTTGGGAGCCCAAGGCAGGTGGATTGCCTTAACGCAGGAGTTCCATACTAGCCTGGCCAACATGAAACCTCGTCTCCTTTAATACAAAAAGCAGCCCGGTGTGGTGGCACGTGCCTAAAATCCCAGCTACTCGGGAGGCTGAGACAGAAGAATCACTTGAAACCGGAAGGTGCAGGTTGCAGTGAGCTGAAGTCCGGCCACTGCACTCCCACCTGAGTTACAGAACAGAACTCTATCTCCAAAAAACAAAAAAAAAAAAAAAAAGAAAAAACATTAAACAAAATATTTTGAAGTACAAAGGGCTAAAGGGCTATGGGGAAATAGTGGTATTTGTATATATTCAGAAATGTGGTTAAGAGAATAAATCTGACAGCCCCTGAAAATTTCAGCATAACACTGGGTCCGGAATTGGCGGGTTCTTGGTTTCACTGACTTCAAGAACAGAGCCGCGGACCCTCACGAAATTACAGTTCTTAAAGGCAGCATGTCCAGAGTTTGTTCCTGCTGATGTTTAGGTGTGTTCGGAGTTTCTTCCTTCTGATGGATTCGTGGTCTCCCTGGCTGAGGAGTGAAGCCGTAAACCTTCGCGGTGAGTTTTACAGCTCTTAAGGCAGGGCGTCTGGAGTTGTTCCCTCCTTCCAGTGGGCTCATCATCTCGCTGGCTTCAGAAATGAAACTGCAGACTCTCCAGACAAGTGTTACAACTGCTAAGGCGACGCTTCTGGAGTTGTTCGTTCCTCTCGGTGGGCTCGTGGCTTCGCTGGCTTCAGAAGTGAGACTACAGATCTTCCCGGTGAGTGTTACAATGTATAAACGCAGTATAGACCAAAGAGTCAGCCATGACAAAATTTATTGCAAACAGCAACAAAAACAAAGCTTCAACACTGTGGGAGGAGACCCCAGTAGGTTGTCGCTGCTGGCTCGGGCAGCCTGCTTTTATTCTCTTATCCGGCCCCCACCCACGTCCTGCTGATTGGTAGAGCCGAGTGGTCTGTTTTGACAAGGCACTGATTGGTGCGTTTACAATCCCTGAGCTAGACACAAAGGTTCTCCACATCCCCATCAGGTTAACTAGATACAGAGTGTCCATACAAAGGTTTTCCAGGGCCCCACCAGAGTAGCTAGATACAGTGACGATTGCTGTATTCACAAACCCTGAGCTAGACACAGGGTGCTGATTGGTGTGTTTACAAACCTTGAGCTGGATACAGAGTGCCGATTGGTGTATTTACAATCCCTGAGCTAGACATAAAGGTTCTCCAAGGCCCCACCAGAGTAGCTAGATACAGAGTGTCGATTGGTGCATTCACAAACCCTGAGCTAGACACAGGGTGCTGATTGGTGTGTTTACAAAGCTTGAGCTCGATACAGAGTGCCGATTGGTGGATTTACAATCCCTGAGCTAGACATAAAGGTTCTCCACGACCGCACAAGACTGAGGAGCCCAGCTGGCTTCACCCAGTGAATCCCGCACCAGGGATGCAGGTGGAGCTGCCTGCCAGTCCCGCGCCCTGCGCCCGCACTCCTCAGCCCTTGGGTGGTCGATAGGACTGGCTGCTGTGGAGCAGGGGGCGGCTCTAGTCTGGGAGGCTGGGGCCGCACAGGAGCCCACGGGGGTAGGGGGAGGCTCAGGCATGGCGGGCTGCAGGTCCTGAGCCCTGCCCTGCGGGAAGACAGCTAAGGCCCGGTGAGAAATTGAGCACAGCAGCTGCTGGCCCGGGTGCTAAGCCCCTCACTGCCCGGGGCCGGTGGGGTCGGCCGGCCGCTTTGATCGCGGGGTCCGCCGAGCCCACGCCCACCCGGAACTCACCCTGGCCCGCAAGCACCGCGCGCAGCCCCGGTTCATGTCCGCGCATCTCACTCCACATCTCCCGGCAAGCTGAGGGAGCCGGCTCCGGCCTTGGCTAGCCCAGAAAGGGGCTCCCACAGTGCAGCGGCGGGCTGAAGAGCTCCTCAAGTGCCGCCAAAGTGGGAGCCCCGGCAGAGGAGGCGCCGAGAGCGAGCAAGGGCTGTGAGGACTGCCAGCATGCTGTCACCTCTCAACACAAATTGACTTGTTTTCAAATAGATTTGGTGATTTTTTTAAATGCAGGTTTTAATTTCAGGCTTCTATTATCACATACCTTTTTTTTAAGATTTACAGTTCTAGGCTGGGTGCGGTGGCTCACGCCTGTAATCGCAGCACTTTGGGAGGCCAAGGCAGGGGATCACTTGAGGTCAGGAGTTCGAGATAAGCCTGGCCAACGTGGTGAAACCTCCTCTCTACTAAAAATACAAAAATTAGCCAGGCGCGGTGGTGGGTGCCCGTAATCCCGGCTACTCAGGAGGCTGAGACAGGAGAATTGCTTGAACCCGGGAGGTGGAGATTTCAGTGAGCCGAGATCGTGCCACTGCACTCCAGCCTAGGTGACAGAGCAAGACTCCGTCTCAAAAAAAAAAAAAAAAAAAAAAAAAAAAAAAAAAAAAAAAAAAAAAAAAGATTTACAGTTCTAGTTATAGCAAGCTTTCTGTAACACTGATTGGGTTAGGCAAAGATCGTGTCAGTCATTTTGCAAATGTGTTAATCTTCAAAAATAGGCTGTAAAAGTACAAAACTATGAAAACAGAATATAGATTATGTACATGTGGCTCAGCTGTGAACAGAAAAAAAGGTAAATAGTGTACAGTTTGCTGATACAAAGCACTTCATTGCAGTGCCAGCAGACTGATCTCAAATGAGGTGTCCCTTGTAACACAAGAGCGAAGATTAATTAGTCTGTTCACATACTGGAACAAAGAACTACCTGAGACTGGGTAATTTATGAAGAAAAGAGGTTTTTTGTTGTTGTTTTTTTCTTGAGACGTAGTCTGGCTCTGTTGCCCAGGCTGGAGTGCAGTGGCGCGATCTCGGCTCACTGCAAGCTCCGCCTCCCGGGTTCACGCCGTTCTCCTGCCTCAGCCTCCCGCGTAGCTGGGACTACAGGCGCCTGCCACCACGCCCGGCTAAATTTTTTTGTATTTTTAGTAGAGACGGTGTTTCACTGTGTTAGCCAGGATGGTCTCGATCTCCTGACCTCGTGATCCACCCGCCTCGGCCTCCCAAAGTGCTGGGATTACAGGCATGAGCCACCGCGCCCGAAAAGAGGTTTAAATTGATTCACAGTTCAACACGCTTAACAGGAAGCATGACTGGGAAGCCTCAGGAAACTTATAATCATAGCAGCAGGTGAAGGGGAAGCAAGCATATCTTACCGGACGGACCAGGTCAGAGGGGTGGGGGAGGTGCCACACACATTTAAACGATCAGATCCCCAGATCTAATATCACTATCAGGAGAACAGGAAGGTGGAAACTGCACCCATGATCCAATCACCTCCCACCCAGGACCCTGCTCCAATTAGACGTGAGATTTGGGCTGGGACACAGATCAAACCATATCTCAAGACTTCTATCAAGGACACCTTGCATTGCATAATTAAAATAAAAATAGGATTCTTTTACGATGTTATCCTTGCTCTATGGAGAAGAGCAGGGCCAAACTGTTTATTTTTTAAACAGTTTCTTAGTAAAATATTTTGTGGTTGCTAAACCCATGTACTACTGCATAAACTCAGCCATGGACAGCACATTAAAGAAACAAAAGTTTAAACTCTCTAGGAAGCCAGCTGGTGGACATCCTCTCTAAAGCCCAAATTGCATGTGCACTGAGACAAACGTTGCTGCTTCAAAACAACCAAAATTGGGAAAATAACTGAGGTCCAGAAACAAATTTTCTCTCTCCTGACTCCTCCTCTTCTCTTAATATGGTGGATAGATTCTTTAATGCTCAAAGGCTTTCAAATATAAACAGAAATATCTGCTACTGTTTGTCTAATACACAAGTAATTTTTAAAAATTCACATACTATTTTCACAATATATTAAAAATCACTTTTATTTCCCTCACACGTTTAAATATTTTAATACACACTCATAAAAATTCAGGTCTAATATGTCAAATTATTTTATTTTTAAATGCTAGAAACACCTTAGTACTGTGTTATTGTTAGAAAATGAAACAGCAGGCCGGGCGCGGTGGCTCACGCCTGTAATCCCAGCACTTTGGGAGGCCGAGGTGAGTGGATCACCTGAGGTCCGAGGTTCAAGACCAGCCTGGTCCACATGGTGAAACCCCATCTCTACTAAATATACAAAAATTAGCCGGGCATGGTGGCAGTCGCCTGTAATCCTAGCTACTCGGGAGGCTGAGACAGGAGAATTGCTTAAACCCTGGAGGCGGAGGTTGCAGAGAGCCAAGATCGTGCCATTGCACTACAGCCTGGGCAGTAAGAGCAAAAACGTCGTCTCAAAAAAAAAAAAAAAAAAAAATGAAACAGCAATGTTGTATTCATCAATACCTTACATCAGCGGTTCTCAAACATAAGCGTGTACCAGAATCACCCTCAGGGCTTACTAAAACACAGATTATTGAGCCCTACTTCCACAGTCCCTGACTCATAGGTCTGGAGTAGTCCTAGAGAATTTGTATTTTTAGTAAGATCCTAGGTGATGCTGATGCTGTTGTTCTGAGGACCACATTTTGAGATCTACTGCCTGACACTGAATTCTGTTTCTCACATTTTGTAACCCAGATTTATATTTGAATATTCACATTTCTCTTACGCTTTTTATTCAACAAGATACAGATTTACTCACCCAATCTACTGAGTGGGATTTTTCTTCTTAGACGAGGCGGAGGGTTGGTTTGTGGATAATTCCAAGCCCAAAACCTAAGACTGGGTATGCCTTACAAGATCAATCTATCCCAGTACTTTACCCACTGAACTGGCTTCTGATTACAGTTAGACTTTGTATAATACATCAGGAAATTTCCCAGTGGTTTGCTGTAACCATCTATGGTTCTACTTTTCTTTATTCTGGCCATTTCAATTGACTGGATCTGAATGATTTATATACATAGTCCTGCTCAGATAAAAGCCAGTTTTGCAACCCCTTGTTCTGTGTTGGGCCTGGTGAGTTTCCAATTACTCTAAAGGACTTAGTGACATTGATTTAAATCTTCTTTCTCACATTCATGACCTGCAAAATTCACACAATTCTTGCACAACAAACTATTTAAAACTAATTTTGGGGGGAAAAAAAAAATTGATCGAATACAGTATATTTTTAAAAACTTTTTTTGGAACAACAAGGGTCTATGTGTGGGGATGTAGCTCAGTGGTAGAGCGCATGCTTTGCATGTATGAGGTCCCGGGTTCGATCCCCGGCATCTCCAATAGGTATTAAGGTTTTAGCGCTGATTCTTGTTCAACGTACGTGCTGCTGAGCAAATCTTCCGCTCACTGTTATTGCCAAGGTCTCTCAGGCCCTGGAGCCTTTTCTGGAAAGTGGGAGGGGTAAGAAAGGAGGTTAGGCAGAAAAAAGGATTTGTTTGTTTCCACCTCTGCCCTTTGTTTTTTCAA
This sequence comes from Homo sapiens, assembly GCF_000001405.40. Taxonomy (NCBI): domain Eukaryota; kingdom Metazoa; phylum Chordata; class Mammalia; order Primates; family Hominidae; genus Homo; species Homo sapiens. The sequence goes on from NC_000006.12 coordinate 28,643,704, forward strand.
CATCTCTTTCATCTTTTCACAGTGCTTCTAGGTTTCCAGGCGAAAACCAAGTATTTTATTTCTCATTCCTTCTATTTTACAAGTGATCATATATATATATCATATATATATGATATATATGATATAATATATACCTATATATGATATATATATGATATAATATATACCATATATATATATATATTTTTTTTTTTTTTTTTGAGATGGAGTCTAGCTCCGTCACCCAGGCTGGAGTGCAGTGGCGCAATCTCGGCTCACCGCAAGCTCCGCCTCCCGGGTTCATGCCATTCTCCTGCCTCAGCCTCCTGAGTAGCTGGCACTACACCACGCCCGGCTAATTTTTTGTATTTTTAGTAGAGACAGGGTTTCACCGTGTTAGCCAGGATGGTCTCGATCTCCTGACCTCGTGATCCACCCGCCTCGGCCTCCCAAAATGCTGGGATTACAGGCGTGAAACACCGCGCCCGGCCACAAGTGATGATATTTAAAGTCAACTGTTGAATAGAAAGTACATTACTGGGCCGGGCCCGGTGGCTGGGAGGGGAAGGAAACATTTTTTTCCTATAGCAGAAAGATAACTTGTAAATGTAAAATAAATGATGGATTTACAAGATCATCATTTGGCAACCATCATACTTCTAACTGATTCAGGCCAGGATCATCAATGGGTGCTAAATTAAGTTGATAAAAGTTGAATGATAACAGGATATTTACATAGTCTCAAAGTCAGGATACTTATTAATGACAGTGGAGAAACCTGGCAAACACTGTCATAACCAGGTGACCAAAATTAATACCACTGGTAATGGGACAACTGCCATTAAATATCTCCTGGTAAAATGCACTGAAAAGGGCACAATGTCAGCTCTCTGGTATTCCTACCCAAAATACATAAACTAAATCCAATCATGAGGAAATAGCAGACTAACCCAAATAGAGGAATACTTTATAAAATAACTGTCCTGTACTATTTTAAAAATACCAATGTTATAAAAGAAAAAGAAAGGCTACAGAACATGACAATTCAACATATGCTCAAAGATTTTCTTTTGCTAAAAAGGACATTTTAGGGACAATTAGCACAGTCTGAATAAGGCCCATATATTGGACAATAGTATTGTATCAATGTTAATTTCTGATTTTGATCATTGTACTGTGGTTATGTAAGAGGGTGTTTTCCTGTTAGGAAACATACATTGAAGTATTTAGGGGTAAAGGATCATTATATCTACAACTTATTCTTCTTTATTTTTATTTATTATTATTATTTTTTTGAGACAGAGTGTCACTCTGTCGCCCAGGCTGGAGTGCAGTGGCGCTATCTTGGCTCACTGCAAACTCTGCCTCCCGGGTTCAAGCGATTCTTCTGCTTCAGCCTCCTGAGTAGCTGGGACTACAGGCACGCGCCACCACGCCCGACTAATTTTTGTATTTTTAGTAGAGATGGGGTTCCTCCATATTGACCAGGCTGGTCTCAAACTTCTGACCTCGTGATCCACCCACCTTGGCCTCCCAAAGTGCTGGGATTACAGGCATGAGCCACCATGCCTGGCAACTTATTCTTAAATGGCAAATGGTTTAGTATGTGTGCGTGTGTGTGTGTCTGTGTGTATACATGTATATAGGAACTTTTAGCTCATATGTATATTTCATATGTATAAAATATATATGTATACATATATACATATGAGATGTGAGATAACAGTATATCTCACACGTATATGAGATAAAGGCATATCTCATATGTATAAGAGATTAAAAGTATATCTCATATGTATAAAATATATATGTATACATATATATATACATAAGAGATATACATATGAGAGAAGGTCCATATTTGGGAAGATTGAGTGAAGGATGCAACTTTTCTGTAAAAATGAAATTATTTTAAAAGTAAAAATTAAAATAAAAAGAAAAGAATGAGATAGACCTTAGGCTAGTCAAGTTGCTTACCAAAGGTCCACATTTGGTAGTGAAGGATCCAGGACATGCATACAGACTTTGTCACTGACAACTCCATGCTCCTTTCACTCCTGTGCACAGTCAGTCACTTTATTGCCAGCCTTTTCTCTGCATTTATATGTGAACAGATTTTTCTCTGGTGTGACTTGATCCATTGAATGAGCATTGCTCTCACTAGAGGGAGGAAAGCATCTTTGGATTGAGTTGAGAGCCACTTCACTTTTCAATCTGTGGTCCAGTACATAAACTTAGAAGTTGTTTGCTAAGTTTGCACAGAGACTGACTCAGCTCTTTGCTGAGTGTGAGGGGACTGCAAAGCTCTTTTAAGGCTCCTTAGATAATTCACCTTGGGGATGAAAAGACCTTAGAGGACTTGACTCCAGCCTCTCTTATTCTGGCAGCTCGGAACTTTATATAAGAAACAGAATAGAAAGCTAAACTTTCGAGAGAACTCCCAGTAAGCACAACTAAATTCTCATTGAAACCTTAGTGAATTCATCACCATTAAGTAAAGAGAAAGAGGATAGGATTATTTCTTATTAATCAAAAATTAAACAAAGGCATTGATGTACTTGTCTGATGAAGTTTTACTCTTAAAACATTTGGAAAAGGAGTCATTTGTGAGCAATAACTCCCCTGAGGTTGCAGATATAGGCTTTTTCTCAATTGGGGGGTTTTCCCCCTAAAACTTGATGCCAATTCCTTTTAAGTATTTCTTACATTTATACTTTCTCCACTTCTGATTATGTTACTGGTTATCTGCTTTTCTAGTTAATTTTAAATTTATTTTCTGAAAAGAACACAATAAATAGGAGAATACATCTGAAACCTTATATTTTTTTCTTCACTCATAATTTTTGAAATGTGTTTATGTTCAATTACACATGGATTTTGGTTGCTCTTAATATAAAATTAAAACTCCTTGGCATGGCCTCTAAAATTCTGACACAGTTTCGTCCTATCCTTCTGCATCCCATCTCTCAGGCTGCTTGCCCATGGCCTTCCCACTGTACTCATACCAGCTTTTTTCCAGTCCAATGCACTTTGTCCAACTTCCTCTGCCTGGGTTTTCCTATGCTCTGTCTCCCTTTCCTATGCTGTCCTCTTTCTTTGCAACTGAAGACTCTCTTCTTATCTCCCTGATGAAACCAAATCCCATCGGTGTGTTCTAAATCACAGTCATTCTTTTTTTGCAGCACTTATCATAGCCACAATGTTATGTTTGTCATTATATAAATAACTTCTATCCATTCACCCACCCCCAACTAAGCTCTTATCTCCTTTGGGATAGAGACCAGGCCTGTTCAGTTTACCTTTCCACACCTTGGTGTGAGTAGGCATAGAATTAATAATTTTGGGAATGAATGAGGGGATGACTAGAGTTCCGTAATTATCACATAAAACAGATGAAGGCATATCTTCCACTGCTTGAAGTTAGCTTTAAGAGGTGTTTATGGACCACATAGAATTCTTTTCAGAATTCACTTCAGTGATCTCACATCCAGAAATATAACTTTTTGAAACTGGCATGCTGGCTCAGAGTCATAACACTCCTGTTGGGAAATCTGCTTCTAATAACCCACTTTAAATCAACCAAGGGAAGGGAGTGATAGTACTATAAAAATCAATGTCAAGAAATAAAATATGACCCCTGTCCCTAAAACAGCTTATTTTTTCTGAACATTCATTTGCGATTTACTGTTTATTGATTTATGAAAGTCATGGATTTTTTTCAGTGGCACATGGACACCCAAGAACTTAAGGAGGTCAGAGAAAATCTCAAAAGAATATGCAAAATTTGTCCGTAAGTCTGTGTGTGTGTGTGTCTGTGTGTTTATAGACAAAATTTTTTTTTAGATAATGTAATGAGTTCATGTGCCATAAAATTTTAAGAACCATTATTCTAAATCACACTGGATACTGTTTGTTTTTATAAATAATATTATTTGTTACTTAAGACTTTGACTTAAATAACTTTGACTTAAGTAACTGAGAAATATTGGATTTAAATATTAGCTTGATTATCAGCTGTAAGATTTGGGCAAGTTTATTTCCTTCTGATACTTCATTTTTAATCTGTAAAATTGGCATAATAATGTTTACTTCAGTGAATATTCTAGGAATTAAAAGCATGTGAGAAAATACACAAAGTGCAACTTAGTAAATGTTCCATAAATTGCAACCATTTTTCATCCATGTGGACTTTAAGCAAGGTTAACATGGAGTTTGAGAAACCAGAAGAATATATTTTTAATGTTTTGAATTAAAAGTTTTACAATTTTATTTTAGAGATTTTTTATCCGTGATTGAACTTGAACCCCTGAGTTTGGTGAAATTCCAATATAACTGTCTGGGAGATCATCAGAAACTAATAGTCTTTGAGGATGCAGGTGTAATGAAGAGAGATTGGAGAGATTAAAGCTCTATGCAGTGGACTTGATATTGTGATTAAGGATTATAGACTAAAAATTGTGATAAATTTACAAAAACAGACGGCCCTTATTAAAGGGGGAAAGAAAAAAAAACACGCACACCCTAAGGCCCCGCTGGGATTCGAACCCAGGATCTCCTGTTTACGAGACAGGCGCTTTAGCCAACTAAGCCACAGAGCCAGCCGTGCTGATTCTGTGGCTTCTTTTATGACCGAATTGCACTTAATTAGGTGACAAATTCTGTTGCCATTAAGAGTTACTGTGTTTTCGAATACATCAACTTTGCAGTAAAGGCAGACTCCTGAAAGGAACTTCTAGAAATTAGACTCCCTTCAAGTCCAACAAAACACACCCACACTCACACAATCACTTAGAAAATGTGCTTAGAACAATGTCAGCGCGTCCCAGAGGGCAAATAAAACCGTGAAATCGGAGAGTGGAGATGAACCATGTTCCCAGCGGAGGAAGAGGCATCGGTCTCTAGACGTGGCGAGAGCAGTTTTTACATTCCATGGCATTGCGGTGATTTCGAATCATCAAGTGGTTGGATTCTAAAAGTGGAGTGAAAAGCTTTTCTAGCAAAACAGATCATTCAGAATTTTCATCACATTAATGGCTTTTCTGGCCAATTAGAAGATAGCACACGGATGCGCTGAAAAACAAAAACTGTTAACGCGTTCAGACTCTCCAAACAGCTGCCAGATCACTGCTTTAGAGAAAGCAGGCGACAGCTGGGAGGCGACCTGGTCGGAGCTCACTTAACGGTTTTGTATTTCAAATCCAAAGAGACTTTGCCTGCTCGAGGCTTGTGTTCCCGCGGCTCCTGAGAGGGGGCACAGATGGAAACCAGAAGGGGAGGCGTCACCGGACAGGGTCTTTCCTAATTCTGCCTTCCTCATTTTGGTTCTTCAAGCTTCAATTAGATGTTTCCTAATATCTTCCTTATGGATCCGCACCTTGTAGAAGCTAAACAAACATTAATTGATTGAAAAATCCCCAAATTAAGATCCATTCTGAAACTGTTAACGATTGTATCCTAGTTTTCTGCCTTTGCTTAGTACTGAGGCTGGTGCCAAAGTGAGGGAGTGAGTTCACCAAATAAAGCAAGCGTCTCTGCACATTACCCAGCTTCCCCGCCATGTTAAAAAGACAACAGGGAGGACTACAAAATTCCCTATTTAACCTGGCAAAGGCTGTAAGGGGCTCTGGGCCGGATAATGCCCTTGAATCCTAAAGTCTTTCTTAATTCCTCTCTTGAGCCAAAATTTGGAGCATTGCCATTTCGTATCCCATTCAGAATGTTTTTGTAGTGAATATAAACTTATTTTCCTGTTAACCAAGATAGTCACGTTTTAATTTAATATAGATTAACAAACTGTTATGATTAGACCTGTACTAACAGTTACTGTATTAAGAGTTACTGTATATTTACTGAGTTTGGGAAGCAACATCCCCCAAAATCATAAGGACCAGGAATCATAGCCTTTCTGAATTTGAATCAGCTGAATTGTTTATGATCAGGATTGTACTAACTTCAGTTACTAAAATATAACTGGGATGGCATCATGTCCAGGGAAATATTGTTCAAGTTTTTTCCAACAAGAACGATGTATTGAATACCTACTATGTGTCAGGCATTGAAATAACTTCTGTAGACACAACTAGGCACAAGGTAGCCAGATGATAAAAATCAAACAAGAAACAGTATCACAATAAAAGAAGTACAATGTGATAGTTGAGTGCCTAGCAGGTCCCAGTAATCAAGTTCAAAGCATAATACTTTGTTTTAGGTATATTTCTGACATTGCCCAGTTCAACTAATTTTAAAATTTCTTTTTGACTTTTGCTGGAAAAAGTCCTAATAGATTTTTCCCCCCTAATGTCACAATTAGTACTTGAACACACCTAGAATACGTTCAAGTTAATCCAAGATATTTAAACAAAATAAAGAATATGGCTGGGCGCAGTGGCTCATGCCTATAATCCTAGCACTTTGGGAGGCTGAGGCAGGCAGATCACCTGAGGTCAGGAGCTGGAGACCAGCCTGTCCAACATGGTGAAACCCCGTCTTTACTAAAAATACAAAAATTAGCCGGGCATGGTGGTGGGCGCCTGTAATCCCAGCTACTCAGGAGGCTAAGGCAGGAGAATTTCTTGAACCCGAGAGGTGGAGGATGCAGTGAGTCGAGATCACACCACTGCACTCCAGCCTGGGCGACAGAGTGAGACTCCGTCTCAAAAAAAAAAAAAAAAAAAAAAATTATTGGACCTCGTGAGACTTACTACCACGAGAACAGTATGGGGGAAACAGCCCTTATGATTCTATTATCTCCCACTGGGTCCCTCCCGCAACATGTGGGAATTATGGGAGCTATAATTCAAGATGAAATTTGGGTGAGGACACAGCCAAACCATATCACTAGCCCAGTGGGATCCTCCTCCAAATAGAGTTGCACTCAAAAAGAAAAAAAAAATATGTGAGTGAATTGAAAGGCTAAATAATTCACATGAGATCTCCAGCCAATTTGATGCAAAAGTGCTCAACTAACATCAGAATCCAAGACAGCTGACTGAGGGATATGAATATCAATACTGGAGCGTGGGGATTTGTCACAACTGCAGTGACTTCATATTACCCTCAGTTATGCTTTCTTTGTTGAGAATAGGGTGATTTACTATACTACTAGTTAGTAGCTGTTAGTCCCCTGAAAATTCATGTTTAAATCCTACCCTCAGTACCTCAGAATGTGATCTTATTTGGAAATAAGGTAATCAAAGAGGTAATTAGTTAACTTGAAGTCATACGGAGTAAAGTGAACCCCTGATTCAATATAACTGGTGTTCTAATAAAAACGGGAAATTTGTCTGGGTGCAGTGGTGGCTCACGCCTGTAATCCCAGGACTTTGGGAGGCGGAGGTGGGTGGATCACCTGAGGTCAGGAGTTCAAGACCAGCCTGGCCAATATGGTGAAACCCCATCTCCACTAAAAATACAAAAATTAGCCGGGCGTGGTGGCAGGGGCCTGTAATCCCATCTACTCGGGATGCTGAGGCAGGAGAATCACTTGAACCTGGGAGGCGGAGGTTGCAGTGAGCCAAGATCACGCCATTGCACTCCAGCCTGGGGACAAGAGCGAGACTTCATCTCAAAAAAAAAAGTAGGGGGATGGAAATTTGAACATACACACACATGCAGGGAGAATACCATGTGAACATGAAGGCAGAGATTTGGTGATGCATCCACAAGGAATTTCAAAGATTGTCAGAAAACCACCAGAAACTAGAGGAGAGGCCTGAAACAGATTCTCCCTCACAACCCTCAGAAAGAACAAACCCCGCTGACACCTCGATCTTGGACTTCTTGCCTCTAGAACTGTGAGATTATAAAGTTCTGTTGTTTGAGCTGCCTAGTTTGTGTTATTTTGTTATAGCAGCCCGAGGAAACTATTGCAGTAAGCAGCATCCTCTGAGAAATAACTAAGTTGTGTCCTAAGATTTTCCCCAAACTTTATTAAAATGAACTTATTTAAAAAGAAAACTAGTAAATAAGAGGTGAGGTGAAGTAAGTATGACAGGTTCATATGCCTAATTAAAAAGCTGAACAAAAATTTGAGTTCAAAGATAGAAGAAAATAAAAGGCACAAGGAAAAGTATGTGTCAGCTTAGCTATCCCAGTCCATAGTTTCTGAGAACAACCAGAGGTGGGGATAAGCAAGGACCACTCAGAAAGGGAGTATCTCACAGGTGTGTGGGAAGAAGAGAGCTTGAATCTGGGAAAAAAAGTTAAGCTAAGAATAGGAATTAGAAAGGATGGAAACCGAAGGATAGAATAGGGATGGTAGAGGAAGAGGCCATCGTAGGAGGTGGTAAAAGCAAAGACTGTGAGCTAGGAGAACAAAGCTGGCTGGATCCTGAGGGTAGTGAGTTACTATAGTGAGTGTAGTGAATGAGTTGAGGTGGGGGAAAGTAAGAGCATCTGGAGAACAGAAGATGGAGATGAATGTGATCTGAGATTAAGGTGGGAAAGTAATTTAGGAATAAGGGATGGAGTGGGTGCACTGGAGAAGGTATTTTGAGGGAGGACACAGAAGTGAGAGGCACAGGTGGTGGCTATAGAAGGGGCCCTACAGAATGGGTGGGCTTAAGGAGAAGCTAGAGAAATGCAAGTTGGGAACACCAAATCAGCTAGAGGAATAAGACTGTCAGTCAGTGGAAAGCAGGCAATTGGCAGGTATCTATGCTAAAGTGTTGGGCATTTTGCCCTAATAAAACTTCGTCATGAGATTGAAGTGCCATTCAGTGTCTAGTGAATAAGGTTGATATACCATGTGTACACCATCTACATTCACCAGTGATTTTAATACAGCATTTGTGACACTGGGTTACCAGAAAGTCCTTTCAAACTTCTCTAATGGTAGCTTTGACATTAGCAACTCAGCACAGTACCCCAGTGTGGTCCTTTTCCAGCCTGAAAAGGCTATGTTTGAGTGTGGATTTCACCACAATGAGGCAAGAGAAAGTAAAAGTACTTACTAACAGTTAAGCACAGTAGAATTGCTAGTCCTATATCAAATGGATTGGCTTTTGAGAAGAAATTGCATTATGTCAAGTAGCCTAGGAATATGAATATTAGATCATCACACTTTGGATTACTACTCAAGTGAAATAGTTATTTGAACTATAAACATGCATTAAAAATCTTGATGAACAACCAGATATAACTGAAGGAAAGATGAAGTACTTGACATTTAAAGGTAGAAACACAGTTACATGCCACATAAGGACATTGTAGTCGACAATGAGCCACATAGATGACAGTGGTCCCATAAGACTGATTATAATAGAGTTGAAAAATTCTGATCACCTAATGACATTGTAGCTGTGGTAACATAGCCCAGTGCATTATTCACATGTTTATGGTGATGCTGGTTTAAACAAACCTACTGCTCTGCCAGTTGTGTAAAAATATAGTACATACAATTATGTACAGTACATAATACTTGATAATGATAATAAATGACTATGTTACTGGTTTTGTATTTACTATACTATACTTTTTATTGTTATTTTACAGTGTACTCTTTCTACTTATTACAAAATAGTTAACTGTGAAACAGCCTCAGGCAGGCCCTCACAAGGGATTCTTGAAGGCATTGTTATCATAGGAGATGACAGCTTCCTACTTGGTATTGCCTCTGAAGAACTTGCAGTGGAACAAGATTTGGAGGTGGAAGATGGTGATATTGATAATCCTGACCCTGTCTAGGCCTAACCTAATGTGTGTGTTTGTGTCTTCATTTTTTAAAAAAAAAAGTTTTAAAAGTTAAAAAAAAAAAAAAAGCTTTTCAATAGAAAAAAGCTAATGGAATATAGATATAAAGAAAAAATGTTTTTTGTACAGCTTTACAGGTGTTTGTGGTCTTTTGGATTTTTTGTCTGTTTGTTTTTGTTTTTTGAGACGGAGTCTTGCTCTGTCACCCAGGCTGGAGCGCAGTGGCGAGATCTTGGCTCACTGCAACCTCCGCCTCCCGTGTTCAAGCGATTCTCCTGCCTCAGCCTCCCGAGTAGCTGGGATTACAGGCGCCCGCCACCACATCTGGCTAACTTTTGTATTTTTTAAAATTTTTAGTAGAGACAGGGTTTCACCATGTTAGCCAGGCTGGTCTCAAACTCTTGACCTCCAGTGATCAGCATGCCTCAGCCTCCCAAAGTGCTGGGATTACAGGCATAAACCACCATGCCAAGCCAGGTGTTTGTGTTTTAAGCTAAGTGTTATTACAAAAGAGTCAAAAAGTTTTTAAAAATTAAGTTTATAAAGTAAAAAAGTTACAATAAGTTAAGGTTAATTTATTATTGAAGAAATAAATACTTTATAAGTTTCGTGTAGCCTAAGTGTATAGCATTTATAAAATCTACAGTAGTGTACAGTAATGTCCTAGGTCTTCACATTGACTCACCACTCACTCACTGACTCACCAAGAACAACTACTACCAGTCCTGCAAGACACATTCATGGCAAGTGCCCAGTACAAGTGTACCATTTTAATGGAGTGCAATGGCGCAGTCTCAGCTCACTGCAGCCTCGACCTTTGGGCTCACTTGATCTTCCCATCTCAGCCTCTTGAGTAGCTGTGACCACAGGCGTGTGCCACCACACCCAGCTAATTTTTGTATTTTGTAGAGATGCGGTTTCACCATGTTGCCCAGGTTGGTCTACAACTCCTGGGCTCGAGCGATCAACCCGCCTTAGCCTCCCAAAGTGCTGGGATTACTGTCGTGTCCCACTGTTCCTGGCCCCATTTTTATCTTTTATACCACATTTTTACTGTACCTTTCGTATGTTCGGATACACAAATACCACTGTATTGCAATTGCCGACGGTATTCAGTTCAGCAACATGCTGTACAGCTTTGTAGCCTAGGAGCAATAGGCTATACCATACAGCCTAGGTGTATAGTCGGCTATATCATCTAGGTTTGCATAAGTACACTCTGTGACGTTCGCACAATGACGAAATCATCCAACAATGCATTTCTCAGAACATTTGCCCCTTATTGACACACGACTGTATAAAGATTTTTATCTTTGGCCGGGCGCGGGGCTCACGCCTGTAATCCTAGCACTTTGGGAGGCCGAAGCTGGCGGATCACAAGGTCAGGAGATTGAGACCATCCTGGCTAATACGGTGAAACCCTGTCTCTACTAAAAATACAAAAAATTAGCCGGGCGTGGTGGTGTGCCTGTACTCCCAGCTACTCGGGAGGTTGAGGCAGGAGAATGGCGTGAACCCGGGAGGCGGAGCTTGCAGTGAGCTGAGATCGTGCCACTGCACTCCAGCCTGGGCTACAGAGCAAGATTCCATCACAAAAAAAAAAAAAAGAAGATTTTTATCTTATGAATATCTATTATTGGAGATATCTCTGAGAAAAATTTACCCACTTGAACAACAACAATAGATCCAATATGATTTTAAATGACAACAATATAAATGTAAAATGACATTATAAATATAAAATGACTACAAAATAAATACATAACCATATCATAAGGGAAATAAAGAGAGGAAGAAATCTCCAAAAAAAAAAAAAAAAAAACCACCAAACACAACCAAACAAAAACCCACCAGTAATTCAAGTCCAGCATAGTAAGTGCATGAAGTAAAACCATTTAACCCAGAGGCACAGACAGAAGCCTTAGTCAAAGATGGCAGCTCTACCTTAGTGCTTCCAGAGCCAGAACTCATGGCCTGGGGCCTATTTTGGGGCAGAGATACAGAACTGAGTCTCCTGCAGGAGGCTGGGAGACTCCAGAGGCTTTCCCACGGTGGAGACGCTCTTAGCTCTTAGGGAAAATAAGAGTCAAAGCAGTATCTCGGTATCCACTGGCCCTTTAGTCATAGACATATGAGCAGTTCGCAGACATTTTAAAAGTCAAGGGCCGGTGGAGGTGATGTAACTTAATCTCACCAGGTACAGTTCTGCCAAGTAGAGAGAAGCTTCTATTTTATGTTTTGTCTTTCCAAAATTGTCCCAGGACTAAGAAATCAGAATTGCCACTCCTTGAGATCCCTGCTTTGCAAAGCTAGGTATTGGGGAAAAAAGCCGATCCCTTAAGAATTCAGGGCCTTCTGGGATAGAAGAAATAGACCCTTAAACTCTGTTCCCCCATAAAATTTGAGGTTATTTGCCAGTGGTCTGAGATGGCTCTGACCTCATCTTAAAGCAAGGGAAGACAATTGAAATAAACTTATCTCATGGAAAAGGGAAATTGATAACTTGGGACTGTCTTACTAAGGAAAGGCTTGTTTTAATTGATCGTATAACTCTGGGTTCCTGATAGGAAAATTAAAAAAATTTTAAACAATATTTCAAAAGATCGCTATTTTAATTGGTAAAACCAGACCTAATTTTCTGTAGCTTTTCTGCCGAAAGAATATTAAGAGAAGCAAAAGGAAGAAAGAAAAGGGGCAATTTTCTGAAAACATAAAAATAAGCGGACAGCTGAAACCTGGAGAAAAATCTTTTATTTGCTGGTCCTATTCCTTAGCATTGAAAAGCTAAAAAGACTCCTTTTTGTTACCAGAATGAAACTGCTCTGAGCCTCCATTTAGTGGTTGCTACAGTCTTGTGCTAGAGAAAATTAGATGTGAATCAAGGTTATTTAGTGAGGAATATAATTTATTATTTTCATGTTAAAGAGAAATGAGATACAGCAGACCTACAACATAATGTAGGAAAATCTTCACATGGTTTATTCTTAGGCTGTGATCAATAACCTCAGTAATTTGAAATAAAATACATCATGGTGGGTAGACAGAAATTTAACAGTGATTCTCTCTTCTTTCTTGTCTGTATTGGGCAAACCTGGGAAAGTTTAAACATTCAAGGGAGGAAATCTGGCAGTGTTTGGCAAGAATCTCTAAAATACGAAGTAAGTTATAACCTGTGGTCAACTGGGATGAAAGGCAGACTTTGGGTACCGCCCTACCCTGCGACAATATAAAGGACCTAAGAGAAAGATGGTAGATGGGAAGGGGAAGACAGTTACATGTTACGCACTGAAAATTCAAATAAATAAATAAATAACTATAAATCTGTCACTTAAATTATTTGCTGAAGGAATAAATGGAAGACTCAGGCTTTCTGTGACCAAAATAAAAGAATCTATTTTTTTTTCTTGGAGGGGATATAAAGCATGCATAGCTTTAACCTGTGGGTAGCTGAAGTATTAAATCAATGAAATGTGTAACTTCTCCAGGTCTCTTATATGAAATAAATTTAGGGAACTGATGGGGGAAAGAGTGGCACTGAGGGCCACTGGGGGCAGACATTAGGAGCAGAGTGGGGACGGAAATTTCAGTTAAGAAACATTCTCCAAGACCCTCCATTTCTGAATGCTTTTCTCATTTGTAAAAAGATTTTCAGGACAAAGGAAAGATCCTTCCAGAAAAGATAGAAAATGTTTTGCCAACGACTGTTTTTACTTAGGGAAACTACTGAACTGCCCCCCGATTCCTTACCGCATCTCTGCATTGTCCCAAGTTGGAAGTTGAGACTAAAGCACCAAGATACAAGAGACGCGGCATCCCAAAAGGAGATTTTTGTGTATTCTGCGAAATACACAAAAGGGCTAGCCAAAGAAAGTCCTCACACACGTGCATGGTATAAAAGCACCAGCTTTAAAAAGAGAAGTGTTTTTGTTTTTTTGTTTGAGAAGCATAATTGAAGTGAGCAGTTTTAGAATCAGTGCAGCAAATTTAGAGATTTCAAAAGAGATCAATATAGAAGGGATCAAATCCACACAATCATGGGAACGCTATGAACTCACTGGCAAAATGCAGTCACTGAAGGAAAAACGTCAGTGTCAAAATGCTACTATTTCACCTCTTTGTGTACGATTTCTGAGAGAACTGCCACGTTTGGAGATGCTAAATTTACCCAATGCCTTCGTAGCCTCCGGCCTGGGAAGAGTACATTTTCTTTCCTGCGAGCTTGAGGAGAAATCCATATTTTTCCCACTAAGCCCCAAAAGGTGAAACCTGAGACCGGACCTCAGCCTACCGTTGGATCCCCCACCACAAACCCAGCAGCAAAACTCAGTGAAAAGATGAATTCGTTCACAAAACATCCATTTAGGATTTTTATTGATAATTGTCCTTTTATTGGTAAATGTTCCTTCCAGCACCGCCCTAATGGAACAGGGTCCAAAGTCACTCATCATATGTAAATGCGGCTGAGAATGGAGAGGAATAAATTTTTTTTTCTTTTTCTTTTTTTTTTTCGAGGCGAAGTCTCTCTCTTGTCCCCTAGGCTGGAGTGCAATGGCGCGATCTCGGCTCACTGCAACCTCCGCCTCGCAGATTCAAGCGATTCTTCTGCCTCAGCCTCCCAAGTAGCTGGGATTACAGGCGCCTGCCACCACGCCTGGCTAATTTATGTATTTTTAGTAGAGACGGGGTTTCACCGTGTTGGCCAGGCAGGAATGAAATTTTAAAAATGAAAGAGCTACAGGCGTAACCAAAGCAAGATATAAATACGGGAGTGGGGGCAATATGATTAATTTTCCGATTCTACAGAAATAGGCTGTGACTGTATCTGTAAAAGAAAGACGGTTCCGGAGCATAAATACAAAAACACTGGAGATGCTGGGGATCGAACCCGGGACCTCATGCATGCTAAGCATGCGCTCTACCACTGAGCTACATCCCCACCTCGAAAAACGTTCGTCTTTAAACTGCTTTTATGAAAGAATATAGAAATTTACCTCAGTTTTTTTTTTTTTTAAACATTTATTTATTCTTTCATGAACGAACGTTAAAATTTTCATTTCCCCTTTTTGTAGCCCTCTATCACCAAGAAATTTTGATTAACCAGCATCTTGCAGACATTTGGTAAGGATTAAGAACAGACTAGAGGAGGAAATTTCAGTTAAGAAACATCCTCCCAGACCTTCCTTTTCTGAATGCTTTTCTCATTTGTAAAAAAGATTTTCAGGACACAGGAAAGATCCTTCCAGAAAAGATAGCAAATGTTTTACCAACTACTGTCTTTACTTAGGGAAACTACTGAACTGCCTCCAATTCCTTACCCCATCTCTGCGTCCTATTCCCAAACTCCAGAAACCGCTACACGCCTTTTCTTAGAAAACAAGGAGGTAGTGAAGGAATTTCTGTTATAAAAATAAACTCGTTCCACTCCGTTAGCAACTGGGACGGTTAAAGGCTAAAGATGTTGGATTGCCTCCCGCGGCCCCCTGATCCGCATTTTATCCAGAGAATACAAATAAAATCCAGAGAGTAGGAATCCTCAGATCCTACTCTGATTCTTTGAAATGAAGAGCCCAGAATGAAGTTGGAGACGTGTTACTTCTAAGATCGAGGCTAAATCTCTGCTTCTGTGGCGCATTATTTTCTGTAGAGGGAATGGTTCTCTCTACAGAAAATGTAGAGATGGTTCAGACTCCTGTCTCACCAAGGGAACAGAGAAGGCTTTATACCTGCGTAGAGAGTGCAGAAGTCCTCGGTTACAGTCACCTGTGACCGAATCTGGAAGGATGGATAGGAATGCCAAGTAGAAATGAGGGAAGGGCTGTGCTTGGGAGTGTTCAGAACGGTTGGAGTTGGGAGAAGGAGCAAGGTGGGGAGGAGGCTCTAAAAGGTAGCTTGGCAAGATGACACCAGCAATTCTCACCCTACCTTGCACTTACAGCATCCAGAACTAAATGCTTTTCCAGAGCCGCCAGAACTAAATGCTTGTCCAGAGCCTTCAGAACTAAATGCTTGTCCAGAGCCTCCAGAACTAAATGCTTGCACTTACAGCCTCCAGAAATAAATGCTTGTCATTTAAGCCACCCAGTTTATGGTATTTTGTTATAGCAGCCGGAAGTGACTAAAAGGTGGAGTTTGTTAAAGGAATGGACATGTGTCAATGAATATTATAAAATTCATTAATCTCATGCAACATATTAGAGGATTAAAAGAGGGAAAAACATGTAATAATCACAACACTTTCAGAAAAGTTTTCTCACTGCTGAGTGGAAAATGGAAGTAATAGTACTAAATATCTTTTCCAGATCTGACATTCACATAATTAATCATGCACTACTCTAGACCCCAGTACACACCTGGAAGGTAAGGAACATATCTAACAAAAGACTCAGACAACCATTAACACCTCTGCTTGGAAACAAGATTTTTTTGGAATCATAGTGTGTCTTCTTGTTTCTTCCAACATGATTCACTTTGAACTTTAAATCTGATAAGTGTGGGAAGTGAAAACCTCTGGCCAGGATAGAGTGACAGGAACCAGAGTTACTATTCCACCTGAATCAACCAAAAATTTCTAAAATGGCAAAATGTGAAACAATGAACATTAGGCAATGAAGGACAGTGATCTCTGAGAAATGCGAAACAAGATGAGCACAACGAATGCCTCAGCTTACTGCCTTCAGAGGTATCTCCAGGCCACCACACAGGTGTTATGGTTAATTTTATGTATCAACTAGACTAGGTTAGAATGCAGAGTTGCTTGGTCAAACTCTTGGTCAAAGTTTCAGAGTTGCTTGGTCAGAGTTGCTTGGTCAAACATCAGTCTAGAAGTTTCTGTGAAGGTGTTAGATGTGATTAAGATTTAAATCAGTAGACTTTGCCTAGGTTGGGCACTATGGCTCAGGCCTGTAATCCCACCACTTTGGGAGGCAGAAGCAGGAGTATCACCTGAGAATAAGACCTGCCTGGCCAACCTGGTGAAACCTGTCTCTACTAAAAATACAAAAATTAGCTAGGCGTGGTGGCACATGCCTGTAATTCCAGCTACTCAGGAGGCTGAGGCATAAAAATCGCTTGAACCCGGGAGGCGGAGGTTGCAGCTAGCTGAGATTGCATCTGTTCCAGCCTGGGCAACAGAGAGAGACTTTGTTTCAAAAAAGAAAGTAGACTTTGAGTATAGCAGATTACCCTCTATTGTGTGGATGGGCCTTACCCAATCAGCTGACTTGAAAGAAAAGGGAAAACAAGAGGACTGAATTCTACCTCCAGGCTGCCTCCAGACTCAAGACCACAACATTTGTTAACTATCGGCATGATGTTCCCTAACAAATCCTAAAAGCAAGACCTTAACAATTTCTTAAAAAGGAATCCATTCACTGCACTGATTTGGGAAATATAAGTTTAAATCATTCTTTCTTTTTAATAGATAGTTGACTATTCTTTGGTAAGAGAGGAAGGCAGGCCTCCCTTTACCACAATCACTTGAAATAATTGTATGGGATAACCAGAATTCCCTATCTCAGAGAGCAAAAAGCAGGACCTTAGAGTGCACTGAGAATACTGATGATGTGAGTTGTTTCAAGAATCAAGAAGGGAATTTCTGGTGGATATATTTTGAGGTGTATTCATTCCATGGTATAGGCATTCTTGTCTTGTCGTAAAAGCTGCCACCAAGACTTTGATGCCAGAATTATTTTGAAAAATATATATCACATCATGTCACATATGTATCAATAGGTTCATATTGTGCCATCATGTCTGGAAAACCGTCTTAGCTACTGAAAAGAATGTTCCCCTGAACTGGAAGGGCAAGGGAGAGAAGGACGCCACTAGGAGTAGATTGAAAAAATATCTGAACAATAAGGAGTCAATCATATAAAGATAAGGAAATGGAACATTCCATGGAGAAAGAAGAGATAAGGTAACAAGCTCTCTGGTAGAAATTAACTTAGTTGGTTCAAAAATTATAAAAAAGGAAAGTGTGATTGAAGTTTGATAAATGATTCTAGAGGCTAGACACTGTAGAACTTTGTAAAGGCAAATAAGAGTTGGAATTTTATGCTAAAGGTAGTGAAATGGAGGGTGCTACTTTGGTTGTTTACCTAACATTCAGTCCTTCTTCCTTGTAAAATTTTAATTGTCTTCAGAGGGTGATGTGCCTCATCACAGGGGATGAATCATAATGTAATTAGGGCATGGTTCTTAACCTTAACTGAACCAATACTCTCTCTTTACAACAAGTTTTTTGCAGCACATC
The DNA here is from genome assembly GCF_000001405.40 of Homo sapiens. NCBI lineage: Eukaryota > Metazoa > Chordata > Mammalia > Primates > Hominidae > Homo > Homo sapiens. The sequence continues at coordinate 28,661,624 of NC_000006.12, forward strand.
AATTAATATCCTGAAATAAAAGTGATAGTTAATGTAAACTAGCTACAGATACAATTTTTCTTTCAAATTTGTAAGACTCCTTAACTGGTATACATATGAGAAATAAAAATATAGTAATTCAAAATGGGTAATAAGACAACATATATTTCCTTATGGAAGTGGTAGGGAATTACAATCTTTTTAATACTCTCAGCAAAACCAATAAATGACTATTTTAGAAAACATTATACAGTCAAGTTCTTGTACCTTTCAAAAGAATTAGTTTGAATGAAACAGTAATGAAGGCACAGGTATGTAGTGTTGGATGTTTAAAGCCAAGAGCCATGCTTGCCTTGCCAAACTGATTTGTTAATATGGTAAACAATTTTTTTTTTTTTTTGAGATGGAGTTTCACTGTCTCACCCCAGCTGGAGTGCAATGGCATGGTCTTGGCTTACTGCAACCTCCGCCTCCCGGGTTCAAGTGATTCTCCTGCCTCAGCCTCCCGAGTAGCTGGGTGCCATCATACCCGGCGAATTTTTGTAGAGACGGGGTTTCACGATGTTGTCCAGGCTGGTCTCGAACTCCTGACCTCGTGATGCGCCCGCCTCAGCCTCCCAAAGTGCTGGAATTACAGGCGTGAGCCACCGCGCCCAGCAGGTTAACAATTTTTAATAAGTTCCAAACAAAGTACTATGAAACATTTCCACAATTTACAAAGTAGTTACATTCCTGGATTATTTGCTGTATGTGAAAAGTGTGGCCGGGCGCGGTGGCTCACGTCTGTAAGCCCAGCACTTTGGGAAGCCGAGGCAGGTGGATCACCTGATGTCAGGAGTTCGAGACCAGCCTGGCCAATATGGTGAAACCCCGTCTCTACTAAAAATACAAAAAAATTAGCCAGGCATGGTGGCGCACACCTGTAGTCCTGGCTACTCGGGGGGCTGAGGCAGAAGAATCGCTTGAACGCGGGAGGCGGAGGTTGCAGTGAGCCGAGATCTTGCCATTGCACTCCAGCCTGGGCAACAGAGTGAGACTCGGTCTCAAAAAAAAATTAAAAAATTGTTCAGAAATAAATAACTTGTGTTTATACATAAAACAAAGGTTCAGAAACTATAAACGGGTTAGTTGTTTTTTTTCTTACCTGCATGAATTTTCCAGAAACCATATAAAAGTCTTGCAGAATGTACAACCATTTTTGTTATGAGGAATTGCTGTGTTTATTTGTAAGATACTCTTACCCCTTTCCATTAGATGTCTGTAGCAGCCACTAGTCTCTGTGAAAATCAACCCCTCTAAAAATGTCCAAGTGGAACTGTCCTGAGAAACGCTTATTCAATTATTATCATCTATTTCTTGTTTATAGCAATTGATTTAGAAATGAGTATGAGACACTGTTGTGGCTGACGCAATTTAAGTACAGCCTTCCTGAGAGGTTTCTGGGACAAGTATTTCTCTTGTTAGAAGACAAATGTGCTAAGGAAGAATGTTCTTTGCTTTTGCCTTTACTTTCTTGCTTCAGAAACACTACTTTGAAGACAAAACACAGTGTTTGGAGCTACTGTGATCATGAAAGAGACACTCTTGACACTTAAGGATGACAGAATGAAAATGTCGCTGGAAAAAAGAAGGGCCTGATCCAGATCCCAAGAAAGGGTTCTTGGATCTCACCCAGGAACGACTTCAAGATGAGTCTTGGAGCTACTCCATTACCAAGTAGGGTGTCAGAAAGCAGGAGGAGGAACGTACTATCCTTTGTTAGTTTCTTTACTTATAAGAAACTCTGAGGGGCCGGGCGTGGTGCCTCACGCCTGTAATCCTAACGCTTTGGGAGGCCGAGGCGGGCAGATCACCTGAGGTCAGGAGTTCAAGACCAGCCTGACCAATATGGCAAAACCCCATCTCTACTAAAAATACAAAAATTAGCCAGGTGTGGTGGTCTGCGCCTGTATCCCAGCTACTCAGGAGGCTGAGACAGGAGAATTGCTTCAACTTGGGAGGCGGAGGTTGCAGTGAGCAGAGATCATGCCACTGCACTCCAGCCTGGGCGACAAAGTGAGACTCCTTCTCAAAAAAAAAAAAAGCAGACAAAAAACTATGAGGAGCTATAATTAAACTTGTAATATGTAGATGTGCTTACTAAAGGTAGGGGCTATTGTTTCTATCAATGACCATTAATCCTTCAACTCATTAAGCCTGCTCATTAACGTTATCTTTCAGTAAAGTGGGCTGTACTTTTAGGACATCTCGACATTCTGCAGGCTTGGTGGGAGGTGTTCTGTATGACCCATAAATATTCTGCAATTACAATTGGTGGTCAGATTAGAATGTGACTATTTTCAGACCATGAGTATTAACCTTATATGTAACTTTTAAGTGCCTCGCTATTTCATTCTGGTCATGTTTTATTAAACCAGAGGCCTAGTAAGCAGGGGTTCCTCTAACAGAAAGATTCGAGAAGTCTGGGTCCTTGATGACGTTGTTAAGGTGCTTCATCAACCCTTCCTTCTGACCTCTTGTTATGTGGGACCAATAAACCATTCTCATTTAAACGACTGATGGTCAGGTTTTCCGTTAATGGAAGCAAAACATATGCTAGCTGAAGCAGAATTTGAGGTAGGAAATGATACAATGTAATATATATATTTACATTTATTATTATTATTAATTTCGAGACAGAGTCTCTCTGTCACCCAGGCTGGAGTTCAGATCTCAGCTCACTGCAACCTCCGCCTCCCAGGTTCAAGTGATTCTCCTGCCTCAGCCTCCCGAGTAGGCCCGCGCCACCATGCCTGGCTAATTTTTTTTTTTTTTTTTTTTTTTTTGAGACTGAGTTTCGTTCTTGTTGCCCAGCCTGGAGTGCAATGGCGGAATCTCAGCTCACTGCAGCCTCCTCCTCCCAGGTTCAAGCAATTCTCCTGCATCAGCCTCCCGAGTAGCTGGGATTACAGGTGTCCACGACCACGTCCAGGAAATTTTTTATATCTTTAGTAGAGACGGGGTTTCACCATGTTGGCCAGGCTCAAACTCCTGACCTCAGGTGATCCACCCGCCTTGGCCTCCCAAAGTGCTGGGATTACAGGCGTGAGCCACCACACCCAGTCTAATTTTTGTATTTTTAGTAGAGACTGGGTCTCACTATATTGGCCAGCTGGTCTCAAACTCCTGGGTCTCAAGTGATGTGCCCCCTCGGCCTCCCAAAGTGCTGGGATTTCAGGCATGAGCCACCGTGCCCGGCGGTAAGATATATTTTTCAAAGATAATTCTGGCAACCATGTGGAGCATGAATTTTAGGAAGAATGGAAATGCCAGGGGACTGGTTAGGAGGCTACTGTGGTAATCTTGGCAAGAGAGTGTGACGTCTTCCAGAATGTAAGCTCACTGAGTGGAGGGAATTTGTCTATCTTTGTTCACGATTGTATCTACAGTTTCTAGAAGAGTACTGGCAACTAGGTAGTGCTTAGTCAACATTTATTGAGTGAATGTTTTTGGCTTAGGCAGTTTAAAGTGGAAGAGAGGTGTGGGTGGATTCCAGACACACTTTTGACACAAAATAGATATGGTGTTCTGTTGGACAGCAGAGAAAAGATAACAGCCAGCTGTGAAATGGCCTCAATCTAAAGAACACCTGCTGACAAAATGCACTCCCTGTGGCTAATGGAGACCGCTCAAAATTTAACAGGGTCCAGAGGCCATGGCCCAGGTGAGGGAACAGTCATGTACTCTGGGTTCTCAGAAAACATGACCCATGACAAACATCTGCTTTGCAACCCTAGACCAGAGTAGTTCTTGTAACCAGGGCCAAGATAAACTCTAGCAAGAAATCAGGAGATCGAGACCATCCTGGCTAACAAGGTGAAACCCCGTCTCTACTAAAAATACAAAAAAATTAGCCGGGCGCGGTGGCGGGCGCCTGTAGTCCCAGCTACTTGGGAGGCTGAGGCAGGAGAATGGCGTGAACCTGGGAAGCGGAGCTTGCAGTGAGCCGAGATTGCGCCACTGCACTCCAGCCTGGGAGACAGAGCGAGACTCCCTTTCAAAAAAATAAAATAAAATAAAAAGAAATCCCCAGTCGACCACCTAGAAACATCCAATCAACAAGACTTGTAGTTTTGGGCTTAAAAGTCACCCAACCGGGGCTCAACTGCCTTGTCCAATCAGGGCTCAGCTGTATCAACCAATTGGAACTAAGCAAGTTTGAATCCCTCATTTGCTTAAATGAACCTGATTGAGAATAAACACTGGGAAGATTGAATTTTCCCAGCGTATACATTGTTTCTCAGAAAATAAAAGCTGTCCCTTTGGCCTCCACAGATCTCATGCCTGCTTGACATCTCCGCATGGATATCTAATCAGCATCTCTAACTCAACATGTTCAAAACTAAAACCTTGTTTTTCCTTTACCTCCAAATTTCTTCCCTTCACTCTTTCTTATCTTGGTAAATAAGCACTCCTCTCAACTTAGTTGCTAAACTCTTAACCTGTATTAACTGAAGACTATGAGATCTGCAGAGGCCTCATATGGACAAGGCGCATCATTCGTTTTTTGTTTTTTTCTTGTTGTTTTTGTTTTTTGAGACGGAGTCTCGCTCTGTCGCCCAGACTGGAGTGGAGAAATCTCGGCTCACTGCAACCTCCGCCTCCCGGATTCAAGCGATTCTCCTGCCTCAGCCTCCCGAGTAGCCGGGATTACAGGCTTGTGCCACCACGCCCTGCTAATTTTTTGTATTTTTAGTGGAGACGGGGTTTCACCGTGTTAGCCAGGATGGTCTCGATCTCCTGACCCAGTGATCCGCCCGCCTCGGCCTCCCAAAGTGCTGGGATTACAGGTGTGAGCCACCGCTCCAGGCCTGCATCATTAGTTTTAACCAGGATTGAGGTCCTTACCGGAAAAGGCCATCACAAGGACAGAAGGGAAATTGACTTATGAATATGTACAATAAGTTAGAAGAATTTCTGGAGATGCAAACTAGATTAAATGAGTGGGAAAGTAGTGTATGGTTTTGAGAGATAGTAGAGGGTAGCGTTGAGCGTCTTTGGTGGTTAATTAGATATGTGTGGGAGGAAGGCAGCAAGGTGCCTGTGGAATAATACAGTGGCGACATGCTGTAGGCTATATGGACTTAACATTTAATGAGGGTGGTAGAGACTAAAGATATATATTTAAGAAATAGCAGCATACAGAGGATATGTAGAGCAAGTGTAATATATAAGAATGCTTAGGAAGAATGTGTAGAGCATGAAGAAAGTATGCCTACATTTGAACTCTAAAAAACACTCACATTTAACAACAACAACAGAAATTTTACAAATAACTTACGTGAAATCAATGCAATATATTGTAATGGAAAGACAAGGCTGTTTCAAAGCAAGAATCATTTGTGTCAAATGATAAAATGAGTTTAGTAAAGTGAAGGCTAATAAGTTCATTAGATTTAGAGACATGGGAATCATTGGTGACTCTTGTAAGAGTCATTTCACTGCAATTCTAAGAATCAAGTTTATATTCAGGAGATTGAGAAATGAGAGTAAGATGAGGAATGGAGACACAGAGTAAAAATATCCATTTCAAGAAATGTGGCTGGAATTGGAAGGAAAGAGAAATTGTGCTGGCTGCAGAAGAACGTGGAGCTAGGGGAGATTTTTAATATGAAGAGACTTGAACCATTTTAAATAGTAATAAAAAGAAACCAGCAGAGGACAGGGTGAAGACAGAGACAACAGGAATAATTAACAGCACAAATTCCCTGTGAATGCAGGACAAGATGGCCTGAGGACCTTTGAAGAACTAGCTGTGGACACTTTAAGCTCTCCCCAATAAAAGTATAGCATAGAGACCAGCAGCATCAGCATCAGTTGAGAGCTAGTTATAAATGTAGAATCTCGGCCGGATGCGGTGGCTCACACCTGTAATCCCAGCACTTTGGGAGGCTGAGACGGGTGGATCACGAGGTCAGGAATTCAAGACCAGTGTGGCCAAATGCTGAAACCCTGTTTCTACTAAAAATACAAAAATTAGTTGGGCATGGTGGCACGCGCCTGTAATCCCACCTACTGGAGAGGGTGCGGCAGGAGAATCGCTTGAATCTGGGGAGCAGAGGTTGCAGTGAGCCAAGATCGTGCCACTGCACTCCAGCCTGGGTGACAGAGCAAGACTCTGTCTCAAAATAAACAAATAAATAAAAATAATAAATGTAGAATCTCAGGGGTTACCCCAGACATATGGAATTTTCGTCTTAAAAAAATTCACAGGTGATGCTATATAAACATTAAAGCTTGTGTAGCACTGATACAAGGGATATTTATTCCATTTTAGCAGACAGAAATGAAAAAAAAGGATGCATACAAATATAGGTACATTTATAAGTTAATGAAGGAAGTTAAGATGGTTTTCATTTGATGGCATTTTTAAATTTGAAGTAGGAGGCAAAGTCATCAGCTGAAGGTACAGAAAGTAGGATTAGATATCTTGAGGAAGTCAAGCCTTCTTGAAGTAGCTACTATGAATCCTATTAGGGAAATGCAAGTGAGTGGGATAGCATTGAAGGGAACAAGTAAGTCACCCCTCTTCTCTGTACTTAAGTTTCCTGGCCTCTAAAGTGAAGGGTTGGACTGAACTTCCCAAAAGTCCTGTCTGGACCCAAGGTAACAAAGGCCGTAATTATTTCACTAATCTTGCTCTTTCTCTCCTCTTTGAAGATGATACCAAGTTGAATCCTTATGCAGGAGGAGATGGTGAGTACAGAACTGCCCCTTGAGCCCACCCCTAGAAGAGTGTGCAGCAGCCACCTGGCCTCTTTGCTTTTATTTCAAGTAGGTGGGGTACGAGTAACAGCAGCATGAGCATTCCAGGCCTTGTGGTGGGTGGGAAGGCAGGGGAGGTTGTGGGTACAGGCATCCTGGACTGGAAGGCCTACTCCTTATTTAGAGTGGCACTAATCTTCACCGTGGTGTGATATTCTCTAGGAGCACCAAACAGTCTGTGTGGAGTGAATAAGATCCATATGGAATAATCTACAATTGGAACTCTGAGGGAGGATGTTCACTATGAAACAAAGGAGTGTGAGGACACTGCTGAAATGTGGCTGAAGGGAAAGAACAAGGAATCTAAGCTGGAAATGGAAGAAAGAAAAGGTAGGAACAGAAAGATCCATGGAGAGAAAAAAATGTTAAGGAAATAGAAGTTGCATTTCAGTAGATAAACAGAAGTTGAGGAAGTAACTGGATGAGGTTGCCAGAAAAGAAAGCAGATTAGGGACACTATGGTAGGCAGACTAATGCCCTGCCACCCTCCACAAAGATGACCATATCCTAATTCCTAAACTTGTGAACATGATACCTTACATGACAAAGGGGACGTTGCAGTTTGATTAATTTAAGGGCCTTGAGATGGAGCATTTATTCTGGATTATTTGGATAAGCACAATGTAATCACAATGGTCCTTATGAGTGAAAGAGGGAGGCATGAAGGTCAGAGTCAGAGATTTGAAGATGTTACACTGCTGTCTTTGAAGATGGAGGAAGGAGCCACAATCCAAGCAATCCAGGCAAACGCTAAAGCTAGAAAAGACAAAGGAACTGATTATTCCCTAGAGTCTCCACAAGAAACATAGCCCTGTTGACACCCTTATATTAGCCCAGTGAAACCCATTTCAGACTTTTGAACTCCAGAAATGTAAGACAGTAAATTTGTGTTGTTTTAAGTCATTATATTTGTGGCAGTTTTAAGTCATTATATTTGTGGCAGTTACAGGGAAATAATGCAGATAGTAATAATATTAATAATAATAGCAGCTAACATTTGTTGAGCATGTATATTGTTCTAAGATATTGTCACAAGTCCTCCTATGAGTTTTAACTAAATTTATTCTTTTTCTGTTTTTGTTTTTGTTTGTTTGTTTGTTTTGAGATGAAGTCTCGCTCTTCTCCCCCAGGCTGGAGTTCAATGGCGCGATCTCAGCTCATTGCAACCTCCGCCTCCTGGGTTCAAGTGATTCTTCTGCCTGGGCCTCCCTGAGTAGCTGGGATTACAGGTGCCTGCCACCACGACTGGCTAATTTTGTATTTTTAGTAGAGACAGGGTTTCACCATGTTGGCCAGGCTGGTCTAGAACTTCTGACTTCAGGTGATCCACCAGCCTTGGCCTCCCAAAGTGCTGGGATTACAGGTGTTAGCCACTGCACCCGGCCTTTTTTTTTTTTTTTTTTTTTTTTGAGGTGGAGTTTCGCTCTTGTTGCCTAGGCTGGAGTGCAATGGTGCGATCTCGGCTCAATGCAACCTCTGCCTCCCAGGTTCAAGCGATTCTCCTGCCTCAGCCTCCCAAGTAGCTGGGATTACAGGCATGCACCACCATGCCTGGCTAATTTTGTATTTTTAGTAGAGATGGGGTTTCTCCATGTTGGTCAGGCTGGTCTTGAACTCCTGACCTCAGGTGATCCACCCGCCTCGGCCTCCCAAAGTGCTGGGATTACAGGTGTGAGCCACCACACCCAGCCAATTGATTCTTATATATTTAATTTTCATTGAGTTCTTACCATAGTCAGTTATTAATAAGTAGAAACTATTAAATGTATTATTTTATTTAAAATTCACAAAGTCCTGCGAGTTGGCATCATTTTCTCCCCATTTTACAGATGATAAAACCTAAGTTTAAATAAATTAAATGATCTGCCTTATGTCTCACAGTAGCGGAAAAGCTGAGATTTAAACATGAGTATTCTAATTCCAGAGTCTGTGTTCTTATAAACTACTCTATACTGGATTATATTATTTTGGAGTCATTATTTTGGCATAATACTGATGGATTTATTCTTTTGGCATAATACTGATACATGACAAAGTCCAGAGCATGGCCATTTGTGCTAGTGACTAAATAGAGTGGAAATAAAGATTCCTGGGAAAAGAGAGATCAAATGAATGAGAAGCTGGGGTGCTGGATGATCTGTCCACATGGCCCCTGAAGTCACCAAGGGTGAGTGGAAGAAAAGAGGCACCAGGTCTTCATTAAATTAGGAAGAGTTTTCTTGCTGAGAAATGTGAGATTGTGTTTTTTTGTTTTTTGGGGTTTTTTGGATGGAGTTCGCTTTTGTTCCCCAGGCTGGAGTGCAATGGTGCGATCTTGGCTCACCCCAACCTCCGCCTCCCGGATTCAAGCCATTCTCCTGCCTCAGCCTCCAGAGTAGCTGGGATTACAGGCATGCACCGCCATGCCCAGCTAATTTTGTATTTTCAGTAGAGATAGGATTTCTCCATGTTGGTGAGGCTGGTCTTGAACTCCCGACCTCAGGGTGATCCGCCCACCTCGTCCTCCCAAAGTGCTGGGATTAAAAGTGTGAGCCAGCGCACCTGGCCCAGATTGTGTTTCATAAAGCAAAGCCTCCAAGGAACAGGGTTTTGCTTAGGGGAGAGTGGTTGTTCTAATTTTTTTTTTAGAAATGAGGTCTACCTATATTGCCCAGGCTAGTCTTAAACTCCTGACTCCAAGCAATCCTCCTGCCTTGGCCTCCCAAAGTGTTGGGATTACAGGCATGAACCACTGCACGTGGCCAGAATAGGATTTTTTTGTTTTTGTTTTTGCTTTTGTTTTGAGACAGAGTCTCACTCTGTTGCCTAGGCTGGAGTGCAGTGGTGTAATCACAGCTCATTGCAGTCTTGACCTCCTCAGGCTCAGGCCATCTTCCCTTTTGGGCCTTCCAAGTAGCTGGGATTATAGGCGCATGCCACCACATCTGGCTAATTTTTGTATGTTTTTTATAGGGACAGGGTTTCGCCATGTTGTTGCCCAGGCAAGTCTGAAACTCCTGGGCTCAAGTGATCTGCCTGCCTCGGCCTTTCAAAGTGCTAGGCATGAGCCACTGTGCCCAACCCAGAATAGGGTTTTTAAAATGCAGATAGAAGCCTGGGCACGGTGGCTCACGCCTGTAATCCCAGCACTTTGGGAGGTCGAGGCAGACGGATCACAAAGTCAGGAGGTTGAGACCAGCCTTGCCAATATGGTGAAACCCCATTCTGTACTAAAAATACAAAAAAATTAGCTGGGCATGGTGGCAGGCACCTGCAGTCCCAGCTACTTGGGAGGCTGAGGCAGGAGAATTGCTTGAACCTGGGAGGTGGAGGTTGCAGTGAGCCAGAGGTTGCACTCTAGCCTGGCAACAGAGTGAGACTCAGTCTCAAAAAATAATAAAATAAAATGAAATGCAATGATTTGGAAATTGGAATGTGGCCTCAGAAGGTACTAACCTATTTCCTGATCCTGAGATTGGAGAATGTGTAGTTTCTAATTTAAATAGCAATGCATTAGGGAGATCTAGGTTTAAGTTAATGCAGGAACATTTGGATAAGTAGTTAAGGATTGTGGTTGTTAACATGGAAATGTGAGATACAAAGAGTGGAGTTGAAATATGCAGAGAGACAAATTGCAAGTCTACATTATTGAAACAGAAGAACACAGGGGTATGGAGATGAAGGTATAGGTGGAGAATTAGAGGGACATATATCCAGAGTGGTAACTGGGATAGCAGGAATATGAGACAGTAAGTTTAGCAAATCAAATGTTTTCCAAGTAAATTAAACATTCCCCACAGTCCAAAAGATCCCATTGGAAGTAGAAAACTGAGTGGGAAATGAGGTTAATTGAGAAATTAAGAGATTGAGACAGATAGCTTCATCCTTGAGGTAGATCTTGCTGGATATCAATCTCTTGGGAAAAGTCTACAGTTCAGGCCCCTGGGAAAGTTCCAGCATTTGGCTACTCTTACTCTGTTTCCTAAGGAATGGTCATAGGACAGGTCTTCATGTTCTGACATTTACTTCTCAGTGAAAGTCCCCACCAAAATTCTTCTGGACTCTTCCAGTAATATCTGAACTAGTCTTATTTTCATCTTATTTCACCACCATTCCCAATCCATTTTCCACATTATTTATGGAATTAACTTTGTAAAATTCAAGTCTGATTGTAATCCTCCACCTCCCAGGTTCAAGTGATTCTCCTGCCTCAGCCTCCCAACTAGCTGGGACTACAGGTGCCTGCCACCATGCCTGGCTAATTTTTTTGTAATGTTTTCTTATTATTGTGATCCTTGCTTTTATAATGTTTCATTATTTCCTCTTATAATGTTTCGTTGTAATATTTCACTATTATTGTGATCCTCTCTTTTTTATCATGTTTAATTATTTCCTCTTAACAATGGCAGAGAAATACTCATTGGCATTTTTGGTGTATCTTTAAATGTGAACTGAAGCAACAGAACAAATTCATTATCAATATTCCAAAGCACTCAAATGAATCAAAGCATGAACATAAGTGCAATGCAGAAATAACATAAACCTAAAAATTCATTTACTTACAGTTGCCCAGAATGCAACCTCAGTTGGGTTCTCAGTGCTGTCAGGAAATCTGTTATGATTTTCTTTTTTGCCCAGGATGGAGTGCCGTGGCGCCATCTTGGCTCACTTCAACCTCTGCCTACCGGGTTCAAGTGATTCTTCTTCCCCAGCCTCCCGAGTAGCTGGGATTACAGACGTGAGCCACCGCGTTCCACCTGTTGTGAGTTTCTAACCAACTCTGCCTTCCATTTCTACAGGCTATTTCTAACCTTTACTACTTTCCCAAATGTCCCAAATGTTCTATGACCAGCTTTCCCACACAAAAACCTTGAAAACGTGCAGTGAGAAAATGGTTACCAGGTTAGTAACTGTAGGACAAGATCTACATTATCTTAAGGTGATAGAGTGGACCTTAAGTTGAAAGCAACTCCCACCTGAATACTAAAACTAAAAAAAGCATGCTACTTTCCTCTTTTCCATCCTATTCCACTTTCCCCACCCCGCAAAAAAAAAACTATGATACGGAGACATTTTATTTTTACTGATAGTTTTTCACTGGAGACTGGGAATGGATTAGGGCCTCATTTAGTAGATCTTAAAACATTCTTGGATATTCAGCTCTATTCCCTCTTCCTGGATGCATTCATAGGAACAGTACATTTCTGAATTGTCCCTCTGACTTTGTATTACTCACCACATAATAAAACACCTTGGAAGTTTCCAGGAAACAGGAATATGGAGTGTGGCTAGTCAACCAAATAGAAGAGAAACAAACATAAAGACAGGAAATTGATCGATTTAAAGGAAATGATAATGGCAAAAATGAGAAAGGACTAAAATAGTTTTTTCTTTGTTTTTCTTATATTCTGTTCCAGAGGCTGAATTAAACAAAATCTACGTGATCGCCTTGGAGATGCCGGGGATCGAACCCGGGGCCTCATACATGCGAAGCATGCGCTCTACCACTGAGCTACATCCCCTGGCACAAGTCGGTTGTAACGGAGAATTCCTGTCATGTTAAAAACGCGAAGCATTTTATATTACCTCGTGCTCGACCAGGGAGTGACCAACTCTGAGGATGAATTCCACCTAAAGCCTAACCCAGATTACACCTGAGTAACCTCCTTCCGGGACACACTAACAACATCCAGCTTGTGTCGTTACTGAGAGCAAAGCACACTTTTATAGCTTTAGCACAATTAGTCCTCTTGGCGCAATTGAATCCCAGGCGGAAAGAATTAAGGGATTGTTCAAGATCTTTTGACAGATTTTCTGCTAGCCGAAGGCTCATGGAAAATGCAACCCAAATTCCCTGCATCTGAGTACGTTGAATGATGAAATGTACCTTGGGAGCTGTCGCTCCTCTCGCTCTCGACCCCGCTCGAAGAAGGAACTGTCCAAATAGATGAAAACGTGAAAATCCTGCCTGACCTTTCTCCCCACATGCAATGGCTCGGGCCACACATACCATCTAGCTCACCTGACACCGAAGCTTTATCTGGGAACTCTGGCTTCACCAAGAATTCTAGTTTAAGAAGGTGCGTTTGCTTGTTTCCCTCTTTTCTTGATCCACCCGTCAGCTCTTTCCCCGCACCTCGTTCTGAGTCTCCGCAAGGCTGCTGCGCGGAAGAATGAAGCTGCACGCAACAGCCTTTCCCGGGACCCGGGATAGGCCCTGGCCAGGCGCTCCGGCGGCGGCAGCCGCAACGCCCCCAACCTTTGAAAGCGCTTCTCTGCCCTCAGACCCCCCTGCAGCAGCCGCGGGCACAAAGGTTTTTGTCTCTTGCTTCAGATGTTGTACAGTGAAGAACAGCGACTCTTCAAACCGAAAATGACAACATCAAAGACATGATCCATGGAAGAAGTAATTGATAACTTATACTTCATTAAAAATCTAAAAATCGGATCTGCGAAACGCACTCTCAAAGAGAATGAGAAGACAAGCCACAGACAGAGAAAATATTTGCAAAACACATGTCTGATAAAGGACTGGTACCCAAAATATACAAAGAACTCAATGCATAACAATAAAAGTACAAACAACCTGATTAAAAAGTAGGCAAAACATTTGAACAGATTACTCACCAAAGAAGATGTACAGATGGCAAATAAGCATATAAAAAGTTTCCACATCATATATCATCAGGAAAATGCAAATTAAAACAACAATGATACCACTACACACTTTTTAGAATGGCAAAAATTCAAAACCCTGGCAACACCAAACGCTGATGAGGATGTGGAGCAACAGGAACTCTCATTCATTGCTGGTGGGAATGCAAAATGATACAACTGCTTTGGAAGACAATTTGGCAGTTTCTCACAAAACTAATCATACTCTTATCATACGACCCAGCAGTCACACTGTTTGGTACCTATCCAGAGGAGTTGAAAGCATATCTATGCAAAAACCCTGCACATGCATGTTTATAGCAGCTTTATTTATAATTGCCAAAACTTGGAAACAACGGAGACGTCTTCAGTAGGTGAATGCATAAACAAACTGTGGTATATTCAGGCAATGGGACATTATTCAGTGCTAAAAAGAAATGAATTGTCACACCATTAAAAGACATGGAGGAAACATAACATGGAGGAAACTTAACATGGAGGAAACTTAAATGCATATTACTAAGTTAAATAAGCCAATCTGAAAAGCCAATGTACTATGATTCCAACTATATGATATTCTGGAAAAGGTAAAGCTATGGAGACAGTAAAAACAGTAGTGGTTTCCAGGGGTTAGGGGTAAAGGTGAATAGGCAGAGCACGGGATTTTTAGGGCAGTGAAAATGCTCTGTATAATACTATAGTGGTGGATATATGTCATCACACATTTGTCAAAACCCATAAATTACCCAACACCAAGAGAGAACCCTCCAGTGAACTATGGACTTTGGGTGATAATGGTGTGTCTATATAGGCTTATCAGTTATAACAAATGTACCACTTTGGTGCAGGATGCTGTTGGTGGAAGAGGCTCTGCCTGTGTGAGGGCAGGGATATATAGGAAATTTCAGTACCTTCCACTCAGTTTTTCTGTGAACCTAAAACTGCTCTAAAAAAATAAAGACGCAAAAAAAAAAAAAAAAAAAAAAAGGGGAATGAAACCTTCATGGACTCAGGACAGTGACATGGAAGCATGGAAGGTGTGCCATTACATCCGCAGCCTCTGCCTGCTGCCTATTGACGTTAGAGGAAAAGGCAAAAGGAAACTGTTTCCCATTGTGTGCTAGTAAGAACGATTAGGGGCCGAGCGCGGTGGCTCACGCCTGTATTTTGCGGTGCTCCCAGCATTTTGGGAGGCCGAGGCGGGCGGATCACGAGGTCAGGAAATCGAGACCATCCTGGCTAACACGGTGAAACACCATCTCTATTAAAAATACAAAACATTAGCCGGCGTGGTGGCGGGCGCCTGTAGTCCCAGCTACACGGGAGGCTGAGGCAGGAGAATGGCGTGAACTCGGGAGGCGGAGCTTGCAGTGAGCCGAGATCGTGCCACTGCACTGCAGCCTGGGAGACGGAGCAAGACTCCATCTCAAAAAAAAAAAAAAAAAAAAAAAAAAACAACGATTAGGATTGGCCAGTCCACAAAGCTGCATCTCCTCATAAAAAATGTGAGAGATCCAGTACTGTGTGGCTACTCCTACGGACTCTGCTTCTAGACTGTCAAAAATGCTGCCATAAAACAGGGTCATAATCCAGGTCCAAATCTCAGCTCTGGCTACTTGGGAGATAACTGAGATATTTTAATGTCTTTTGCTCCCTCTGCTTTCACAGCAGCTTCCTTGAAACATAGAAACCTGTTTCAATATTGTCTTTTAAAATGGCGGTGAGGCCAGGTGTGGTGGCTCATGCCTGTAATTCTAGCACTAGGAGGATAAAGCAGAAGAATCGCTTGAGCCCAGGAGTTCAAGACCAGCCTGGGTAACAAAGTGAGACTCCGCCTCATCTCTACAAAATAATAATAATAATAATAATAATAATAATAATAATAATAATAATAGTAATTAGCTGGGAGTGGTGATACATGCCTGTGGTCCCAGCTACCAAAGAGGCTGAGGTGGGACGATGCCCGGGAGGTGGAGGAGCAGTGAGCCATGATCGTGCCACTGCATTCCCACCTGGGCCACAGAGTGAGACCGGGGCTCAAAAACGAAACAAAACAAAAAAATGGTGAGGATGCAGAGACTATGGAAAACTACATGACCACTGACATGGAAACTTCATGTTGCGGGGTGCTCCCATGAGGGAAGGATCTTCTTATTACTGAACAATTTGAGAAGAAAATCTGGCTCTTCAGTAGATGATAAAAACAGCTGGGCTGCCTTAGTTTATTAAATTGGAATATTACACAACACAGAAAATGAGCCTGATATTTGTTAATTTACTTTTTAATACTAATCTTTTTTTTAAAAGAGCAGTTTAAGGTTCACAGCAAAACAGAGGAAGTACAGAGTTCCCCTAAGCCCCCTGACGCCCCAACCGACCTCCTTTTATACTTTATGCTTTCAGTTTGCTAATATTTTGTTGAGGATTTTTGCTTCTATGTTCATGAGAGATATTGCATTGTAGCTTTCTTTTGTAATGTCTTTGTCTGGTTTCAGTATTAGGATATAATGCTGGCTTCATAGAATGAGTTGGAAATTATTGTCTCTGCTTCTATTTTCACTAAATAATGAAAGAGTTGGTAAAGTTTCTTCCTAAAATATTTGTTAGAGTTCACCAATGAACCTACCTGATCCTAATCCTTTCTGTTTTAGAGGGTTATTGATTATAGATTCAATTTCTCTAATTGATATAGGCCTATTTGGATTGGCCGTTTCTTCTTGTGAAGCAATCAGTGTAGTTTTTCCTTTCTTTTCCTCTTTATCGGAGACTATTTTAACATATAAAGGAGCAAAAAGGCTGGGTGCAGTGGCTCACGACTGTATTCCTAGCACATTGGGAGGCCGAGGCGAGCAGACCACTTGAGGTCAGGAGTTCGAGACAAGCCTGGCCAACATGGTGAAACCCCATCTCTACCTAAAATACAAAAATTAGCCAGGCATGGAAGCGCGTGCCTGTGGTCTCAGCTACTAGGGGATTTGAGGAAGGAGAATCGCTTGAACCCGGGAGGCGGAGGTTGCAGTGACCCGAGATGGTGCCACTGCACTTCAGCCTGGGCGAGAGATCAAGACTGTCTCCAAAAAAAAAAGCAAAAAGATATTATAATGAATTCCCATCTATTCATTACTCAGCTTTATTATCAGCTGATGGCCAATCTTGCTTCATAGTCAGTGTTGTTTTAATGTGTAATACTGTTCTTATGAGTGATTGATTAGAATGAGGCAAATGAGTTGTATAACTTCAGAGACTGGCTCACAAAAGACAGGGTAATTTATTATGTAGCAACAGATAACTAATACATTGGTATACATTTATTTCCTACTTAGCCTTTGTATGAACTTTTTAATATGGGTTTTTTGTTACATCTATTTCTTTCTTGATATAGAAAATTATATTATCAGAACATAAATGTAATTTTGCACTTTTTTAACAAAAAAATTGTAATTTTTTTCTATATTGATTCTGCTTTTTTTCCTTTATTATTGCTGTTTGTCCTGACTTTGGGTGGACAAATTATTCTTTTTTTAAATTTCTTTTTTAATTTTTAATTTTTATGGGTATATAATAGGTGGATATATGAGGTATATGTGTTATTTTGATACAGGCATACAATATATGATAATCATTTTGGGGTAATTTGGGTATTCATCACCTCGAACATTTATCATTTGTGTTAGGAACATTCCAATTCCACTCTTTTAATTATTTAAAAATATACAATAAATTATTGTTGACTACAGTCACCTTACTGTGTTATCAAACTATATTTTTGCACCCATTTAACCATCCCTACTTTAGAACCCCCTCCCTACTACCCTTCCCAGCTTCTGCTAATCATCATTCTTCTCTCTATCTCCATGAGTTCAATTGTTTTAATTTTTAGCTCCCACCTATGAGTGAGAATGTTCGAAATTTGTCCTTCTGTGCCTGGCTTATTTCACTTAACATAATGTACTCCAGTTCCATCCATGTTATTGCAAATGACAGGATTTCATTCTTTTTTATAGCTGAATAATATTTCACTATGCATATGTACCACATTTTCTTTTTCCATTTATCCATTGATGGACACTTAGGTTGTAAATAGTGCTGCAATAAACGTGGAAGTACTATTGTAAATAGTGCTGCAATAAACATGGAAGTACAGATATCTTTTTGATATGCTGATTTCCTTTCTTTTGGATATATACCTAGCAGTGAGATTGCCAGATCATGTGGTAGTTCTGTTTTTAGTTTTTCAAAGAATCTTCATAGTGTTCTCCATAGTGGTTGTACTAATTTACATTCCCATCAACAGTGTACAAGGATTTCCCCTTTCTCCACATCTTCACCATCATTCGATATTGCCAGTCTTTTGGATAAAAGCCATTTTAATTGGGGTGAGATGATATCTCATTATAGTTTTGATTTGCATTTCTCTGATGATTAATGATGTTGAGCATTTTTTCATTTTTTAAGAGCACTCCAACATCTGAAGAACATTTTTAATATACCTCGTGGCCATTTGTATGTCTTCTTTTGAGAATTGTCTACTCAGATTTTTGCCCATTTTTCAATCGGATTATTTGATTTTTTCCCCCATTAAGTTATTTGAGCTCACTCTATATTCTGTCTATTAGTCCCAAATTATTATTTTCAGTAAGATAATGACTATGGTTTTAAATGTACATAATTTGCCATGCTAAAGAAATTGTATTATCTTGCTATTTTTCTTAGCTAACATATACAACAGAAATAACTATCAACTTTAAGAAGTGACTTTTTTATCAATTATATAATTATAAAATGTTAGAGTCTCTAAAGTAAGATAAAATCTGATTTCAATCTTGAGCTCAGTATTTACTCATAACTTGTTAGAATTAAATTAGATAATCCATGGAAAATGTATGGATGAATGACACCTCATGACGGGTGGTTATGTGTGTATTTGCATGTGTACATAATTTATATATATACTATAATACATATTATCTATATGAATGTGTGTATGTATATAGGAGCATTTGGAAATATCACCACATTTATTTTCTCTGATTGGTAAATAAGTAGGAGACAGGTTCTGAAATATTTTCCTAAACAAGCCCTAATAAGAAAGTAAACATTGAGTGAATTATCATGAAGAATATAAACAAATTTAATTTCTTATGATAAACCATAGTTCCTGCCTCAGGTTTTTCCACCCCAACTCTCATCACCATGACCAGTGATTTCGGGAAGAGTGAACTTGAAGAACCATATTGCCTTCTCTTCTTTCCCAGTTCATTACTTATAGATAATCGTTTTCAAATATTTTAGAAGGTGTTTTATTTTTTCCTTCAATATTGGTAAATATTACTTTATTATAAGAGATTCTTGGAAAAAAAAGATTGTTAAAGCAAGTAACAAATTTGTCCTTACACTCTCCACTGTGTAAAAGAAGTGAGAGCAACTCTGGCACAGGACAACCATATGTCTTAACTGAAAAGCCATCATGTTCCTTAGATTTGGTCCCTTCATGATTGCTCTGTTTCTTGTGGTCCTTTTTCATGCCAAATTGCAGAAATGATAGAAGCTACTTAACTTAACTTCTGGCAATTAATCTATGATATATAGTGGAATTTTTTATCAAAGATGCTAAATGAAAAATTGAAACATCCTTAAACAAATAGCCTTTGCAATACCTACAATGGGCCTTGACTAAAATGCTTCTGTAACACTTGTAAAAAAAAATGACCTATAGTATTATATTTATTTTCTGTCTAATTGAATGCTGTCTTCGATATCTAACACAACACTTGAAATTAAGGAAAACCGTTAAATTGTGTATGAGTATGTGTGTGTATAGTATAATGTTATGAGAAAAGGACCCATGATTTGCAGTCTTATAATCTGGGTATGTAATCTAATGCCATTTAAAAGTTGGTGAGATAGGGTAAATTTTGGAGCATATTTCATTATTCTTTTTATATCTGTAAAACAGGACCATGTTGGCCTGGCATGGTGACTCACGCCTGTAATTCCAGCACTTTGGGAGGCCTAGGCAGGCAGATAACTTGAGGTCAGGAGTTTGAGACTAGCCTGGCCAACATGCTGAAACCCTGTCTCTACTGAAAATACAAAAATTAGCTGGGCATGGGGGTGCACACCTGTAGTCCCAGCTACTCAGGAGGCTGAGTCAGGAGAATCACTTGAACCCAAGAGAAGGAGGTTTCAGTGAGCCAAGATCATGCCACTCCAGCCTGGGTGACAGAGTGAGGCTCTATCTGAAAAACAAAACAAAACAAACGAAAACAAAAGCCAGGACCATGTAAAAGGATTTTTATGATATCAAAGAACATCATGCTTGGTGTGTACAATGATATTTCAACACACTCAAATTATATTCTAACATGCTTTCTATGTGACTCCTTCCAAAACAGCACCCAATGGGCTTCTATTTTCTCTTATGACACAGATGGGTTAGACACATGCTACATATGTTTTAGAGTTTTCTGAATACTGTATATTAAGCATGGTTATATTCTGTCTTTTGAGTAAAATATTGGGTTTCTCAGAAAATTCTGTAATTTATGAGTTAATCCCACAACTTCCCATTGAATAGATGTTTCAATAATGCTATTCAAAGACTGGAACTTGCCACAAAAAAATTATTAAATAATTTTGGAGATACAGCTGGAGGCAGACAGGGAAAAAAGTCTTCCATATGAGGAATATACGAGTCTACTTTGAATACAGTTTGCTCTAGTCACAATGGAAAGTAATCATTTACCAGGGACACTAGACATCATGCTAGTTGTGCTCTACACTACAAGCCAAGTTAAAACCTGCTCCATCTCCCCACCCTACACATAGATACCTGTACACCTGTGGGTGTGACACCACCTTAGTTGTCTCCCTTGGTGAGACCTGTCCTTTCTCTATTTTCTATTCTTACATTCTAGCAGTCTGATGAGCCTTTTGGACCAACCAAGAGACCTTGCCAGACAAGTGGGATCCTTTCAGGTTCAAAACCACTTCATGGGATGTCTCTGAACGTGAAGAGTCTTGTAAGGGCTGCGGAGGGCAAAATGCAGATAGCAATAACCTCACCTGAATTTCTAATATTTCCTCGGATTTCTAAATAGGTTCCAAGAACATTATGCTGTCCAGAATGAATACAGAGCCAAGATTACTGTAGCTTACCCTAAGGTTTTCCATGAATACCACGAATGAGCTCCCAATCTTCAAATCACAATTAACCCTTTCAATTCTCACTCTACCTACTGTTCCTCTCCTCTGTGGCTACATAATTAATAAGAATCCCAGTCAGGGATTCCTGCAGAGTTGCAGTCTCAGAGTTGTTAGACTGTGCTTGCCAAATACATTCTCAAGACCGAATCTTAAATTTGTAGGCATCTTAAATTAATCACGTTTAAACCCAGGCTCCTCCCCCCGTTCTGGCCCCATCCAATGCCCACAAAGCAAAAATAAAACCTAACAACAAACAGGAGAGCATTCGTTTCCTGTAGTGTGGTAAAAGATACCACTACCTACACCAGGACAAAGACTGGGTTTATATGTATATATATATATATTAGGGCTATGCAGGATGTGCTTTGTTAAAAAAGTGCTTGAAGGCAGTATGCTTGTTAAAAGACATCACCATTCTCTAATCTCAAGTATCCAGGGACACAATACACTGAAAGTCAGGTATTGTCCAAGGTTTCTCCCCAGTGTGATAGCCTGAGATATGGCCTCCTGGGAAGGGAAAGACCTGACCTTCCCGAGCCCCGACACCCACAAAGGGTCTGTGCTGAGGAGGATTAGTAAAAGAGGGAGGCCTCTTTGCAGTTGTGATAAGAGGAAGGCTTCTGTCTCCTGCTTGTCCCTGGGGAATAGAATGTCTCGGTGTAAAACCTGATTGTATGTTCTATTTACTGAGATAGGAGAAAACAGCCTTAAGGCTGGAGGTGAGACATGCTAGCGGCAATATTGCTCTTTAATGCACTGAGGTGTTTGTGTACCTGCATATCAAAGCACAGCACATTTTCTTAAACTTATTTATGACACAGAGACCTTTGTTCACATGTTTTCCTGCTGACTCTCTCCCCACTATTACCCTATCGTCGTGCCACATCCTCCTCTCTGAGATGGTAGAGATAATGATCAATAAATACTGAGGGAACTCAGAGACCAGTGCCTGCCCTCCTCTCTGAGATGGTAGAGATAATGATCAATAAATACTGAGGGAACTCAGAGACCAGCACCTGCGCGGGTCCTCCCTATGCTGAGCGCCGGTCCCCTGGGCCCACTTTTCTTTCTCTATACTTTGTCTCTGTCTCTTATTTCTTTTCTCAGTCTCTTGTCCCCCCTGACGAGAAACGCCCACAGGTGTGGAGGGGCAGGCCACCCCTTAATCTGGTGCCCAACGTGGGTGCTTTTCTCTAGGGTGAAGGTACACTAGAGCGTAGTCATTGAGGACAAGTCGATGAGAGATTCCCGAGTACGTCTACAGTCAGCCTTGCTGTAAGCTTGTGCGCTCGGAAGAACCTAGGGTAACAATGGGACAAACTGAAAGTAAATATGCCTCTTATCTCAGCTCTATTAAAATTCTTTTAAAAAGAGGGGGAGTTAGAGTCTCTACAAAAAATCTAATCATGCTATTTCAAACAATAGAACAATTCTGCCCATGGTTTCTAGAACAGGGAACCTTAGATCTAAAAGATTGGGAAAAAATTGGCAAAGAATTAAAACAAACAATTAGGGAGGGTAAAATCATCCCACTTACAGTATGGAATGATTGGGTCATTATTAAAGTAGCTTTAGAACTGTTTCAAACAGGAGAAGATAGCGTTTCAGTTTCTGATGCCCCTGAAAGCTGTGTAATCGATTGTGAAGAAGAGGCTGGGATAGAATCTCAGAAAGGAACGGAAAGTTCACATTGTAAATATGTAGCAGAGCTGGTAATGACTCGGTCAATGCAAAATGTAGACTATAATCAATTACAGGAAGTAATATATCCTGAAACATTAAAATTAGAAGAAAAGGGTCCAAAATTAGCGGGGCCGTCAGAGTCTAAACCACAATGGCCAACTCCTCTTCCAGCAGTTCAGATGCCTGTAACATTGCAACCTCAAATGCAGGTTAGACAAGTACAAACCCCAGAAGAATATCAAATAGAAAAAGATAAAGTCTCTGCCATGGCAATGCCAATCCAGATACAGTATCCACAATATCAGCAGGTAGAAAATAAGACCCAACTGCCAGTAGCCTATCAATACTGGCCGCCAGCCGAACTTCAGTATCGGCCGCCCCCAGAAAATCAGTATGGACACCCAGGAATGTTTCCAGCACCACAGGGCAGGGCTCTAGATCCTCAGCCGTCCACTGTGAGACTTAATCCTACAGCACTACCTAGTGGACAGCATAGTGCATTACATAAAATTATTGATAAGGCAAGAAAACAAGGAGATACTGAGGCGTGACAATTCCCAGTAACATTAGAACTGATACCACCTGGAGAAGGGGCCCAAGAGGGAGTGCCTCCCCTAGCTGAGGCCAGATATGAGTCCTTTTCTATAAAAATGCTAAAAGATATGAAAGAGGGAGTAAAACAGTATGGACCCAGCTCCCCTTATATGAAAATATTATTAGATTCCATTGCTCATGGACAGAGACTCATTCCTTATGATTGGGAGATTTTGGCCAAATCATCACTCTCATCCTCTCAATTTTTACAATTTAAGACTTGGTGAATTGATGGGGCACAAGAACAGATCCAAAAAAATAGGGCTGCCAATCCTCCAGTTAACATAGATGCAGATCAACTATTAGGAACAGGTCAAAATTGGAGCACTACCAATCAACAAGCAATAATGCAAAATGAGGCCATTAAGCAAGTTAGAGCTATATGCCTTAGAGCCTGGGAAAAAAATCCAAGACCCAGGAACCGCCTTCCCCTCATTCAATACAATAAAACAAGGCTCTAAAGAGACCTAGCCTGATTTTGCGGCAAGGCTCCAAGTCAATCACCGATGAGAATGCCTGTAAGGTCATAGTGGAGTTGATGGCATAGGAAAACGCCAATCCTGAGTGTCAATCAGCCATTAAGCCATTAAAAGGAAAGGTCCCAGCAGGATCAGATGTAATCTCATAGTATGTAAAAGCCTGTGATGGAATTGGAGGAGCTATGCATAAAGTTATGCTTATGACTCAAGCAACAACGGGAGTTGCTTTAGGACGATAAGTTAGAACATTTGGGGGAAAATGTTATAATTGTGGACAAATTGTTCATCTAAAAAAATTGCCCAGCCTCAAACAAAATATTCAAGCTACTACAACAACAGATAGAGCCACCTGACTTATGTCCAAGATGTAAAAAAGGAAAACATTGGGATAATCCATGTCCTTCTAAATTTGATAAAAGTGGGCAACCATTGTGGGGAAATGAGAAGAGGGGCCAGCCTCAGGCCCCACAACAAACTGAGGCATTCCCAATTCAGCCCTTTTTTCCTCAGGGTTTTCACAGACAACCCCCACTGTCACAAATGCCTCAGCGAATGAGCCAGTTACCACAATACAGCAATTGTCCCCCGCCACAAGTGGCAATGCAGCAGTAGATTTATGTACTATGCAAGCAGTCTCTCTGCTTCCAGGGGAGCCCCCACAAAAAATCTCCACAGGGGTATATGGCCCACTGCCTGAGGGGACGGTAGGACTAATCTTAGGAAGATCCAGTCTAAATCTAAAGGGAGTTCAAATTCATACTGGTGTGGTTGAGTCAAACTATGAAGGTGAAATTCAATTGGCTATTAGCTCCTCAATTCCTTGGAGTGGCAATCCAGGAGACAGGATTGTTAAATTATTACTCCTGCCTTATATTAAAGTTGGAAACAGTGAGATAAAAGAACAGGAGGGTTTGGAAGCACTGATCTGGCAGGAAAGGCTGCATATTGGGCAAGTCAAGTCTCAGAGAGCAGACCTGTGTGTAAGGCCATTATTCAAAAAAAACAGTTTGAAGGGTTAGTAGACACTGGAGCAGATGTCTCTATCATTGCTTTAAATCAGTGGCCAAAAAATTGGCCTAAACAAAAGGCTGTTACAGGACTTGTCAGCATAGGCACTGCCTCAGAAGTGTATCAAATTACTATGATTTTGCATTGTTCAGGGCCGAATAATCAAGAAAGTACTGTTCAGCCAATGATTACTTCATTTCCTGTTAATCCGTGGGGTCATTTATTACAACAATGGGGTGCAGAAATCACTATGCCGGCTCCATTATACAGCCCCACAAGTCAAAAAATCATGACTAAAATGGATATATACCAGGAAAGGGACTAGGAAAAAATGAAAATGGCATTAAAGTCCCAATTCAGAGTGACAAAAATCGAGAAAGAAAAGGAATAGGGTATCCTTTTTAGGGGCTACCACTGTAGAGCCTCCTAAACGCATTCCATTAACTTGGAAAACAGAAAAACCGGTATGGGTAAATCAGTGGCCACTACGAAAACAAAAACTGGAGGCTTTACATTTATTAGCAAAGGAGCAATTCGAAAGAGGACATATTGAGCCTTCATTCTCTCATTCTCGCCTTGGAATTCTCCTGTGTTTGTAATTCAGAAAACATCCGGCAGATGGCGTATGTTAACTGACTTAAGGGCCGTAAATGCCGTAATTCAACCCAAGGGGCATCTCCAACCCGGGTTGCCCTCTCCGGCCATGATCCCAAAAGACTGGCCTTTAATTATAATTGATCTGAAGGATTGCTTTTTTACCATTCCTCTGGAGGAGCAGGATTTTGAAAAATTTGCCTTTACTATACCAGCTATAAATAATAAAGAACCAGCCACCAGGTTTCAGTGGAAAGTGTTACCTCAGGGAATGCTTAATAGTCCAACAATTTGTCAGACTTTCCTAGATCAAGCTCTTCAACCAGTTAGAGATAAGTTTTCAGACTGTTATATCATTCATTATGTTGATGATATTTTATGTGCTGCAGAAACGAGAGACAAATTAATTGACTGTTACACATTTCTGCAAGCAGAGGTTGCCAACGCAGGACTGGCAATAGCATCTGATAAGATTTAGACCTCTACTCCTTTTCATTATTTAGGTATGCAGATAGAAAATAGAAAAATTAAGCCACAAAAAATAGAAATAAGAAAAGACACATTAAAAACATTAAATGACTTTCAAAAATTGCTAGCAGGTACTAACTGGATTCGGCCAACTCTAGGCATTCCTACTTATGCCATGTCATATTTGTTCTCCATCTTAAGAGGAGACCTAGACTTAAATAGTAAAAGAATACTAACCCCAGAGGCAACAAAAGAAATTAAATAAGTGGAAGAAAAAATTCAGTCAGCGCAAATAAATAGAATAGATCCCTGTGGGGAAAAGAGAGATCAGACTGTGACTGTATCTATGTAAAAAGAAGTAGACATAAGAGACTCCATTTTGTTCCATACTAAGAGAAATTCTTCTGCCTTGAGATGCTGTTAATCTATAACCCTAGCCCCAACCCTGTGCTTGCAGAGACATATGCTGTGTTGACTCAAGGTTTAATGGATTTAGAGCTGTGCAGGATGTGCTTTGTTAAAAAAGTGCTTGAAGGTAGTATGCTTGTTAAAAGTCATCATCATTCTCTAACCTCAAGTACCCATGGACACAATACACTGCAGGCACCTCTGCCTAGGAAAGCCAGGTATTGTCCAAGGTTTCTCCCCATGTGATAGCCTGAGATATGGCCTTGTGGGAAGGGAAAGACCTGACCGTCCCCAAGACACCCATAAAGGGTCTGTGCTGAGGAGGATTAGTAAAAGAGGAAGTCCTCTTTGCAGTTGAGATAAGAGGAAGGCATCTGTCTCCTGCTCCTCCCTGGGAATGGAATGTCTCGGTGTAAAACCCAATCGTACGTTCCAGTTACTGAGATAGAGAAAACCGCCTTATGGCTGGAGGTTAGAAATGCTGGCGGCAATACTGTTCCTTAATGCACCAAGATGTTTGTGTAAAGTCAAACATAAATCTGGCCTATGTGCACATCAAGGCACAGCACTTTTCCTTAAACTTATTTATGACACAGAGATCTTTGTTCACATTTTTTCCTGCTGACCCTCTCCCCACCATTACCCTATAGTCCCGCCACATCCCCTTCTCCGAGATGGTAGAGATAGTGAACAATAAATACTGAGGGAACTCAGAGACCAGTACCGGCGGCACGGGTCCTCCATATGCTGAGCGCCGGTCCCCTGGGCCCACTTTTCTTTCTCTATACTTTGTCTCTGTGTCTTATTTCTTTTCTTAGCTTCTCATCCCACCTGATGAGAAACACCCACAGGTGTGGAGGGGCAGGCCACCCCTTCAGATCCCTTAGCCCCACTCCAACTTTTGATTTTTGCTCCTGCACATTCTCCAACAGGCATCATTGTTCAAAATACTGATCTTGTGGATTGGTCATTCCTTCCTCACAGTACAATGAAGACTTTTACGTTGTACTCGGATCAAATAGCTACATTAATTGGTCAGGCAAGATTACAAATAATAAAATTCTGTGGAAACGACCCAGACAAAATAGTTGTTCCTTTAACCAAGGAACAAGTTAGACAAGCCTTTATTAATTCGGGTGCATGGCAGATTGGTCTTGCTGATTTTATGGGAATTATTGATAATCATTACCCAAAAACAAAAATCTTCCAGTTTTTAAAATTGACTACTTGGATTTTACCTAAAATTACCAGACATGAATCTTTAAAAAATGCTCTGACAGTGTTTACTGATGGTTCCAGCAATGGGAAAGCGGCTTACACAGGGCCAAAAGAGCAAGTAATCAAAATTCAATATCAATCGGCTCAAAGAGCAGAGTTGGCTGCAGTCATTATAGTGCTATAAGATTTTGATCAACCTATTAATATTGTATCAGATTCTGCATATGTAGTACAGGCTACAAGGGATGTTGAGACAGCTCTAATTAAATATAGCATGGACGATCAGTTAAACTAGCTGTTCAATTTATTACAACAAACTGTAAGAAAAAGAAATTTCCCATTTTATATTACTCATATTCGAGCACACACTAATTTACCAGGGCCTTTAACTAAAGCAAATGAACAAGCTGACTTACTGGTATCATCTGCATTCATAAAAGCACAAGAACTTCATGCTTTGACTCATGTAAATGCAGCAGGATTAAAAAACAAATTTGATGTCACATGGAAACAGGCAAAAAATATTGTACAACATTGCACCCAGTGTCAAATCCTACACCTGCCCACTCAAGAGGTAGGAGTTAATCCCAGAGGTCTGTGTCCCAATGCGTTATGGCAAATGGGTGTCACGCATGTACCTTCATTTGGAAGATTATCATGTGTCCATGTAACAGTTGACACTTATTCACATTTCATATGGGCAACCTGCCAGAGAGGAGAAAGTACTTCCCATGTTAAAAAAAAACAGTTATTATCTCGTTTTGCTGTAATGGGAGTTCCAGAAAAAATTAAAACTGACAATGGACCAGGATACTGTAGTAAAGCTTTCCAAAATCCAAAAAATCTTATATCAGTGGAAAATTACACATACAACAGGAATTCCCTATAATTCCCAAGGACAGGCCATAGTTGAAACAACTAATAGAACACTCAAAACTCAATTAGTTAAACAAAAAGAAGGGGGAGACAGTAAGGAGTGTACCATTCCTCAGATGCAACTTAATCTAGCACTCTATACTTTAAATGTTTTAAACATTTATAGATATCAGACTACTACTTCTGCAGAACAACATCTTACTGATAAAAAGAACAGCCCACATGAAGGAAAACTGATTTGGTGGAAAGACAACAAAAATTAGACGTGGGAAATAGGGAAGGTGGTAACATGGGGGAGAGGTTTTTCTTGTGTTTCACCAGGAGAAAATCAGCTTCCTGTTTGGATACCCACTAGACATTTGAAGTTCTACAATGAACCCATCGGAGATGCAAAGAAAAGCGCCTCCACGGAGATGGAAACACAGCAATCGAGCACCATCGACTCACAAGATGAACAGAATGGTGATGTCAGAAGAATAGATGAAGTTGCCATCCACCAAGAAGACAAAGCTGCTGACTTGGGCACAATTAAAGAAGCTGACGCAGTTAGCTACAAAATGTCTAGAGAACACAAAGGAGACACAAACTCCAGAGAGTATGCTGCTTGCAGCTTTGATGATTGTATCAACGGTGGTGTCTCCCCATGCCTGCAGGAGTAGCTGCAGCTAATTATACCTACTGGGCCTATGTGCCTTTCCTGCCCTTAATTCAGGAGTCACATGGATGGATAATCCTATTGAATTATATGTTAATAATAGCGTGTGGCTACCTGGCCCCACAGATGATTATTGCCCTGCCAAACCTGAGGAAGAAGGAATGATGATAAATATTTCCACTGGGTATTGTTATCCTCCTATTTGCCTAGGGAGAACACCAGGATGTTTAATGCCTGCAATCCAAAATTGGTTGGTAAACGTACCTACTTTCAGTACCACCAGTAGATTTACTTATCACATGGTAAGTGGAATGTCACTCAGGCCACAGGTAAATTATTTACAGGACTTTTCTTATCAAAGATCATTAAAATTTAGGCCTAAAGGGAAACCTTGCCCCAAGGAAATTCCCAAAGGATCAAAAGACACAGAAGTTTTAGTTTTGGAAGAATGTGTGGCCAATAGAGCAGTGATATTACAAAACGATGAATTTGGAACTGTTATAGATAGGGCACCTCGAGGTCAATTCTACCACAATTGCACAGGACAAACTCAATCATGTCCCAGTGCACAAGTGAGTCCAGATGTTGATAGCGACATAACAGAAAGTCTAGACAAACATAAGCACGAAAAATTATAGTCTTTCTACCCTTGAGAATGAGGAGAAAAAGAAATCTCTACTCCAAGACCAAAAATAATAAGTCCTGTTTCTGGTCCTGAACATCCAGAATTATGGAGGCTTAATGTGGCCTCATTACCATATTAGAATTTGGTCTAGAAATCAAGCTATAAAAACAAGAGATCATAAGCCGTGTTACACTATCAACCTAAATTCCAGTCTAACGGTTCCTTCACAAAGTTGTGTAAAGCCCCCTTATATGCTAGTTGTAGGAAATATAGTTATTAAACCAGACTCCCAAACTATAACCTGTGAAAATTGCAGACTGTTTACTTGCATTGATTCGACTTTTAATTGGCAGCACTGTATTCTGCTAGTGAGAGCAAGAGAAGGCGTGTGGATCCCCGTGTCCATGCACCGACCGTGGGAGGCCTCGCCATCTGTCCATATTTTGACTGAAGTATTAAAAGGCATTTTAAATAGATCCAAAAGATTCGTTTTTACTTTAATTGCAGTGTTATCGGATTAAGTGCAGTCACAGCTACGGCCGCTGTGGCAGGAGTTGCATTGCACTCTTCTGTTCAGACAGTAAACTTTGTTAACGATTGGCAAAAGAATTCTACAAGATTGTGGAATTCACAATCTGGTATTAATCAAAAACTGGCAAATCAAATTAATGATCTTAGACAAACTGTCATTTGGATGGGAGATAGACTCATGAGCTTGGAACATCGTTTCCAGTTACAGTGTGACTGAAATAGGTCAGATTTTTGTATTACACCCCGAGTTTATAATGAGTCTGAGCATCACTGGGACATGGTTAGATGCCATCTACAGGGAAGAGAAGATAACCTCACTTTAGACATTTCCAAATTAAAAGAACAAATTTTTGAAGCATCAAAAGCCCATTTAAATTTGGTACCAGGAACTGAGGCAATCGCGGGAGTTGCTGATGGTCTTGCAAATCTTAACCCTGTCACTTGGGTTAAGACCATCGGAAGTACTACTCTTATAAATTTCATATTAATCCTTGTGTGCCTGTTCTGTCTGTTGTTAGTCTGCAGGTGTACCCAACAGCTCCAAAGAGACAGCGACCATCGAGAACAGGCCATGATGAACGGGCCATGATGACGATGGCGGTTTTGTTGAAAAGAAAAGGGGGAAATGCGGGGAAAAGAGAGATCAGACTGTTACTGTGTCCATGTAGAAAGAAGTAGACATAAGAGACTCCATTTTGTTCCGTACTAAGAGAAATTCTTCTGCCTTGAGATGCTGTTAATCTGTAACCCTATCCCCAACCCTGTGCTTTGCAGAGACATGTGCTGTGTTGACTCAAGGTTTAGTGGATTTAGGGCTGTGCAGGATATGCTTTGTTAAAAAAGTACTTGAAGGCAGCATGCTTGTTAAAAGTCATCATCATTCTCTAACCTCAAGTACCCAGGGACACAATACACTGCAGGGACCTCTGCCTAGGAAAGCCAGGTATTGTCCAAGGTTTCTCCCCATGTGATAGCCTGAGATAGGGCGTCGTGGGAAGGGAAAGACCTGACTGTCCCCCAGCCTGACACCCATAAAGGGTCTGTGTAGTAAAAGAGGAAGGCCTCTTTGCAGTTATGATAAGAGGAAGGCATCTGTCTCCTGCTCATCCCTGGGCAATAGAATGTCTCGGTGTAAAACCCGATTGTATGTTCTATTTACTGAAATAGGAGAAAACAGCCTTAAGGCTGGAGGTGAGACATGCTAGCAGCAATACTGCTCTTTAATGCACCCAGAGATGTTTGTGTACGAGATGTTTTTGTACATGCACATCAAAGCACAACACGTTTTCTTAAACTTATTTATGACACAGAGACCTTTGTTCACATGTTTTCCTGCTGACCCTCTCCCCACTATTACCCTATCATCTTGCCACATCCCCCTCTCCGAGACGGTAGAGATAATGATCAATAAATACTGAGGGAACTCAGAGACCAGTGCCAGCACGTGAGCGCCAGTCTCCTGGGCCCACTTTTCTTTCTCTATACTTTGTTTCTGTCTCTTATTTCTTTTTTCAGTCTCTCATCCCACCTGACAAGAAACGCCCACAGGTGTGGAGGGGCAGGCCACCCCTTCACCTGGGCTCAAGCGATCTGCCCACCTCGGCGTCCCAAAGTACTGGGATTAGAGGCGTGAGCCACCGCGCCCGGCCTTTCCTTAATTTTTGCCTTTAAACAAAATCCCAAGCACCAGAAACCTCTGATTGATGGCTTCAGCCATTATTTTTCTGGCCTAACAGCTCAAATTCAAATGTCCAGAATAGAGCAAGGTGAATTAAAATCCTTGCTTGGTATATAAAACACTCATCAACAGAAGGCCAAGGCCTTACGCCCCAGCAAGGGATTGAACCCTGAATCCTCAGGCTAAAAGTCTGATAGCTCTACCGACTGAGCTACCCAGGCTCACGACAGCAACCTTCCCTCATAGCTTAAGTACATAGCTTAAGTACAGAGAAATACAGTTATCGTCAGCTTTGTCTTCCATTCCAAACGAAAACAATCGCTTGCAGAACTACCTCACGTGCTCAAACCAAAAGCAGCCGGCAAATCCCATTTCTACACTCACCAACCTACTCCCACCACAACCATCTGGCTTTTTTCGAAAGCCACCAATACCAGCCGCTACTACACCTCAAACAAAACCTAGCTACGCGGGTACGCTCCCGAAGCGTTCAGCTCTGGAAACAGCCCAACGACGCTCTCAAAAGCCGACAGTTGTTTGCGTAAAAAGGAATGGTATCTTACTAGGGGACGAAAGGTTTTGGCCTACTTCCTTTCAAACATACAAGACTGTAATATTTTTTCGTACCTAGAGGACTCAGAGAAAACGTGCAGAGCTTGGACACGTCCTACTTATTCATCCATCCAAATCCTGTACGTGCTGTTTTGCTAACCCCAACCTCGCCTCACCCCCTCTCTCCAACCACCCATCCCTTCACCCTTTCCCTTCTGGTCTCCTCACTGCCTCCTCCTAGGCCACGACTTCCCAATAACTCAGCCCACTCCATCCAGCTTGAATTCTTGATTTTCCAGGCCAGGATTTCCCAAATCTGCCGGATTTCGAATTTAGGGAGCTTTCTAAATGATGTAACTTAACTGCCCGGCCCCGCCTGGACCGTGATTTCGGTCGTCATCCAAAACTCATGTCTGGGTTGACTGTCACACAAAACACTGGCGAGAGGATGACAGCGTCGACCCTTTGAGCTGTGTCAGATCACGTTTGAGACGCTCACCAGGCGTACAAAGTGTTAGTTCCTTGCATAGATCGTGCCCCAGTCCACACACCTTCTCCCTTGCCCTCTCCTGATTCCAGAGAGAATCCCATCTGAAAGAGGCTATGTATCCGACTGCAGCATTCTCCCTCCTCCTCCCTACCCCGCCTCCTCTCTTTCAGATCAGAGCTTCGGCGATGGAAAAGCAGCTGTCGGTCCTGGCCGTGTAACCACCCCAGATTTGCCAGACACACGCTGTCGCTCTGCATTTCAGGCCAGGTTTTGTGAATTCTGTAAGCTTCTGTTTTACATCCTCCATTAGGACCTAGAGTTCGCCAAGCAGCATTTAACTTTACTTCTTTGATTTCCTTTCTGTGTTACCTTTGGTGTCCTTAGGCAGAAGAAGTTGAGGGAAAGGGGCAACTTGAAGAGGCAAGAAAATGCTTCATTCCTGGGGCTTTGTGAATGGAAGTGCCCGCCAGGGAGTCGGTTGTGGAGCGGACCTTGGAGCAAGCTGACAGGTAGGAAGATGTGTGAAGCAGAAACAATGAATCCCAGGGTCCAAAATCGGTCTAAGGCCAAGTTTTATTTTGTTTTCTAGAAATCTATATGAATGCATTTCCAGTCTTCCTGCTACCCTCACTTCAAAGGCCTTCTCCCTAGACACGGGAAAATCCAGAGCTCCAGAAGCAAGTTCTCAGCAGAATTCCAGCTTTTTCACTTTTTGTCCCCCGCTTTGATACATGAACTAGCATTCAAAAGGAAACAAAAATGGAACTGATTTTGGTACATTCCTCCAGTGTAGGACTATGCTTAGAAACAGAGGAGTTCTTCGTCTTATCATTTTTACTGGCCCCTTGTTTATACCGTCAGTGTTTATTTCAGGAAACTCAATAACTTAGGCATCTGTCTATGCTTAAACTGTTCCCCACCCCGCCACCACACACACACACACACACACACACATACACACACACACACACACACACACACACACACACACACTGCCCCTTTGGCTGCATCTACCGCAGGGATCTTTGGTGTGCTGTTAACTCATGAATTCTACTTTCTGGTTGTACAACTGTAAACACAAGCAACTTGATTTTTCAGAAGGCAAGTGTAAGAGAAGAAATTTTAACCCATCGCCCACTAAGACTCTTGCAATTTTATTTCAACTAAGTATGCGATAACACAGCGTGTCAAAATATTCAATGAGAATCTATTTACTATCTACCAGACTAATCACTCTGCCAAAATCCGGCGTCGAGAAGAAAACTTTTAAGACTTTAAGCCCCCTACCATATCTAATTCTCCCTGCATGCTGATAGCATCTGGCCCTCAAACTTGCAAATGAGTTTTCTTTTTCTGTTTTTTTTTTTTTTTTTTTTTTTTTGAGACGGAGTCTTGCTCTGTCACCCCGGCTAGAGTGCAGTGGCACGATTTCGGCTCACTGCAAGCTCTGCATCCCGGGTTCATGCCATTCTCCTGCCTCAGCCTCCCGAGTAGCTGGGACTACAGGCGCCCTCCACCACACCCGGCTAATTTTTTTGTATTTTTAGTAAAGACGGGGTTTCACCGTGTTAGCCAGGATGATGTCGATCTCCTGACCTCGTGATCCACCCGCCTCGGCTTCCCAAAGTGCTGGGATTACAGGAGTGAGCCACCGCGTCCGGCCGCAAATGAGTTTTCAAAGTTCACATTGGCAAGCTCCGCATTCCTTAAGAAACGCGGTTTGGGTTATCCAAGTTCTTCCAATCACTCACCCAAACAGACATGAGATCTGCTTCTCCCAAATCAATGGAGGTCCATAATGAGAGGATGGATTGGCTGAAGGAAAAATGGAGGTACCAGGGATTGAACCAGGGACCTCGTACATGCGAAGCATGCGCTCTACCACTGATCTACACCCCCTGACTCTCAAACTTCCTGGGTTCTTTTATAAAATGTTGTTGCTATTTTTCTTGTTGGTTTTGTTTTGTTATAGTTTTTTAACTTAAGAGTTAGGTAGAGAAAGTCCACTGGATTAAATTTCATTATCTCTGAAATTACAAGACTGGATACTGTGTAGTGGCTTCATTAGACGAGTAACAGATTTTAGTCTGAATAGCACCGTTTTTGATTCTAGGACCTTCCCATTCCTGTTAACTTGCTCCAAGGTCCACTTGCCGGCGACTCGGTGAGAGTTTCTTGCCTCCACCAGGAAGGTCCTGAGACAGTCTCAAGTCTCCAACATATATAGCAGCGATAATGACTCAGAAAAAAGTGTTTTTCAGTCCAGAGGCAGCCGCGGGCTTTCCTTGATCTTCACACCATGCTGGGTCGGAGGCTCTGCCAACATCCATTTTCCAGCTCTTTTCGTGAGTCCCAGGTTCTGAGATTGTCCTGCTCTGATTCCACACCCCATCTCTATTTCTCGCTTGACGATTATTATATCCACAAACGGGTTTTAAAACAGCGACTTCAAAACTCCATCAACTTTAAATGGAGTGACATATTCCCTCCCACCCAGACTTAGGGAATAAACAGGGCAAGGTCAGACGCAGGGCAGCGGAGAGAATTTCCAACTGCCTTCCCTTTGAGAACCCACGGACACAAGGAGGAATTCTGCTATATATGTACATATTTGAAAGAAAAAGTCAAAGAGGCCCGGAAACCTTCAAGCAGTGCCACCGGGGGATTGGAAAATGCGAGCAGGTCCTGGATATGGCAAAGCAAATAGAATTGAATTGTCTGGGAACGAGCAGAGCCCTTTGTTCACGGGAAGCTTTCAGCTTAGCATATAAGGCGAAGGATGTACATATTCACGTCAAAGCCTTGGGCTGCTTCTTTATCCAAGAGCTGTTGTGTAACACTGACGAAAGTTATATCAAGCAAGTTTTCCTTTAAAGCCTCAAAACACTGAAAAAAAAAGTGTTCACTGGCAAAGGCAAGGAACATTTAAGCCACCCAATTTTGATTCTCCTCGCCTTAGCCCTCTAGAAGATTTCCTTGAAAAGTGAGTGCAGGAGGATGTTTGTGATCAGGCAACATGCTGCTGAAACACATCATTGATTTCAAACTCTGAGGAGGGATATGGGAGTTTTAGACCTTTAATCGGGGGCTCTCCCAACTGAGTTATGTCAGCTGCACCTCTACCTTCACTGACACTAGTAATTATCTCAGCTATTGAGTTTCGAAAGCACTGCATTATTTGAGAGATGTCTTTCCCTTGATCCCTCACTCAGAAGTTGGGATCAATAACCTGCCACATTTGGTAATTGATTGAAACTACTGCCATCTGTGTGCATGGAAGAGCAGTGAGGGGAGAGAAAAATCAGTGGGTGAGTTTTGGCTCCTCAGGCTTCACACAGGAACAACCACAAAAAGAGTTGTTAACAAAGATTGCTTAAGGGCCTCTTTTTCTTTTCCTTGATCATTCTTTTTCATCGTTGTTCCTCAGGAAACTGTGTAATGGAACGAAAAGAATGAGAGCTTACTAATGTGATGGTGACACGATTGTTCCTCTCCTTTTGGGAGATCCTGAGTGAGGGGGATATTTCTCTCTCAATTCTTCTTGTCTTATGCTTATGCAACAGGGTTGTGTTATTTAAGTACAGCTTTGAAGAAGTAAGAGAAAAGCAGTATGAAGGAATAAACCTGGACTCACCTGCATGCTTAGCCGGTGCTCTGCCACCAAGCTATATACCCCAATTGACCCTACATTTCAGTAAATCCTCTAAAACTGATGATTGTCCCAATTTCTGGATATCCAGTGGTTGGTAGGACAGTTTACTGTATTCAACCTCACTATTTCAGAAAATCCTAGACCAGTCCCTTTTTGCAGCTATGCCATGAAAAGTAATGGAATGCTAGACCAAAAAACAGTTTTGTTTACTAAGATCTTCCTCCTCCAATTTTCTCACTCCAGTCAGGCCACTCCAAGGTCTGCTCACCAACATACTACAGAGCATCAGCTTCAACTCATCGAGGAGAATCCCAAGTTGAGATATTTACTTCTTTTCAATATTATTTTCTTTCAACTTCCATGTTGTCTACAAAGTATCAAAAAAGACAAAAGAGTGCAGGCCGGGCCCAGTGGCTCATACCTGTAATCCCAGCACTTTGGGATGCCAAGGCAGGCAGATCTCCAGAGGTCAGGAGTTGGAGACTGGCTTGGCCAACGTGGTGAAAACCCACCTCTACTAAAAATACAAAAATTAGTGAGGGGTGTTGGCACATGCCAGTAGTCTCAGCTACTTGGGAGGCTGAGGCATGAGAATCACTTGAACCCAGGAGGCAGAGGTTGCAGTGAGCCGAAACATGCCACTTCTCCCCAGCCTGAGTGACAGAGCAAGACTCCATCTCAAAAAAAAAAAAAAAAAAAAAAGACAATGCAGAAGGACAAAAAGAAGAAGACCGTGCAGAAGGACATAAAGAATATTAGCAATGTGTTACCTCAGGGGATTTAGATCCAGGTAAGTGGGAAAGATAGAAGTGAAATAAATTAATAATACTTGCTGAGAAATGAAGTATGACAAAATGAGAGACATGAGTGCCAATCTCAAAATATAGGCTAATGTTGGGTAGATAAGACAGAAGAGGAAAAAATTTATCTCAAAGCCTGGCTATAAATGAAGAGCAACAACAGTGTTTCACAGTCACTGTTCTAGCAAACCCTGGCCTGGACCCAATTAATGGATGCTTCAGCTCTAGTTAAGGAGGCCCCATAGAAGGAAAGGGAAAGAGTAAAAGAAGGGAAAAGCTGCAATGTATTATAAAGCCTCATTTGGATAAAATTCTGTCCAGAATAAAGAAAGTGGAAAAGAAACAATATGTGATCTGGAACATTAAGTCTTTATAACGTCTTTGTAAAAAAACAAACAGATAGATAGATAGATAGATAGATAGATAGATAGATAGATAGATAAATCTGCTGGGCACAGTGGTTCACACCTGTAATCCCAGGACTTTGGGAGGCTGAGGCAGGTGGATTATGAGGTCAGGAGTTGGAGACCAGCCTAGCCAACATGGTGAAACACGATCTCTACTAAAAATACAAAAATTAGCCGGGTGTGGTGGTGCATGCCTGTAATCCCAGCTACTAGGGAGGCTGAGGCAGGAGAATTGCTTGAACCCGGGAGGCAGAGGTTGCAGTGAGCCAAGATCTTGCCACTGCACTCCAGCCTGGGGGACAAGAGTGAAACTCCATCTCAAAAAAAAAAAAAAAAAATTCCAGATCCTCGTGAAGCCTCTTTAGGCCTAGAGAAGTCCTCAAACTTTGCCACATAAGACACGAAGAGTAGTCCCTGTGAGTTTTGCCAATATTTTTGTGTGACTGTCAACCCTCACAGGAGCTTTGGAGAAAACCCTAGGGTACCTTCTAGCAGAAGCAGCCAGTAAGGTACATGATTTTAAAGCTTCCCAGATGATTCCAGTAATCAGTCAGCTTTGAGAACCAATAGCCTAGGAAGTCAAGCACCCAGAGCCTGTATTGAATTAATTTTTTAGGAAAATTTCATAGAAGAGGAGGTGAAGTGAACATATAGTAGACAGGATATATCCAAAGGTCTATATCTTTCTTGTTATCACTAGAGTACAAGTTCTTATCTATACAAGTTCCCCTTTCTTCTGGAAGAAAAAACACTAAAGACATTTGTCCCACAGGAAGATCTGACTTGTTTAGTCTAAAATTGTTATGGCTTTGACAATGCCTTGCTGCCCTTTTCTGTCACTGGACAAACACTATGAGCACTTTGGAGGGCATGCGTGTAGCTGATTTGAAGGTGCATGGTGCAGGAGCCACTGTTATTGGTGGCTTCCATAAGCACCACAGTGTGCAAAGTGTGAGTGGTTACACTGCAATCAATGTTAATTATAGAAGTGGAATTTATGGCTGATTTTGGCTTTAGCATCTCAGGTATGTGTGTAAGCAAAATACAGTGTGGAGGGCCGGGCGCGGTGGCTCGCTCCTGTAATCCCAGCACTTTGAGAGGCCAAGGTGGGCAGATCACCTGAGGTTGGGAGTTCAAGACCAGCCTGACCAACATGGAGAAACCCCGTCTCTACCAAAAATACAAAATGAGCTGGGTGTGGTGGCACATGCCTGTAATCCCAGCTACTCAGGAGGCTGAGGCGGGAGAATCACTTGAACGCAAGAGGTGGAGGTGGTGGTGAGCCGAGATCGCACCACTGCATTCCAGCCTGGGCAACAAAAGGGCAACTCTGACTCAAAAAAAAAAAAAAAGTGTGGAAACTTGAAATGAAAGAGAAAATATGAGGCAAACAGGTTAGAGTATAATTTTTAAAATATTCACTTGACAAGATTTCAAGAAGCTCTTTAACTATGAAGGGGCATAGCCCATTTGGTGGAGGTTTAGTCTTTTAAGGTGAGATTTCAGGATTTAAACCCTTGGTAAAGCTAATCTTTTATTTCACCTATGTATTTCTAACTTTTTGATAGAGGTAAATTGAAACCTGGATTTCTCTTAGGAAACTAAGTGTTTATAGTGAGCACATCCTTCCATACATCCTCCTGTTTGCTCAACTGGATTCTAAAAGTCGAGAGTTTGAGGGAGCAAAACCAAGGTTGCAGTAAAATAAGAATTCCATGGTTTAAACAGATGCAACCCAGAAATTTTCTGCTCTATTCTACCACTGTAGGCAGAAGCCAACATTGAAGACTTACGAGAATTAAATGGGTTACCAGAAGAGTGACTATAGGCATGAAAGTGGAAAAACAGATTTAAGAGAATGAGGAAGAATGCAGACTGACGGGGGATTTAGAGTTATGGATTTAGTGAGTGAGGGATTTACTTAAGGAGACTTCCAAGTAGCTTGATTAGTCTTCTATCTAGCTAGTAAGTACAGAAAGATAAGCAGAATCTCTGCCAGGTTTTTTGTTGCTGTTAGGTTGATTACCTTTTGAATTAAAAGTAAGAAACAAAATCCCTCCCACTGTTATGTGGCATTAGGTTTTGTATTGGCATTAAGGAAAATTGAGCATGAAGAACCCATGAAGTTAAATGGAAAAACACTTAATTCCCAATCAGAAAACTGACAGCTCACAATGAAAATTGGAACAATACTCAAAAATCTTATTATCTTCTGATAAGAATGGGTAATTTTGAGCCCTCATGCTACCCACTCTCCAGAGGACCTCTCCTTCATAGCCTCATGAAAATGCAAAACTCACGGTAAGAGATGTCATGTCTGCAGAGTTTCTGACTCAGAGATTAGGGTGCCTTCCAAAAACTCTGTATATTGTTACTTAGACATAATCCACTTTAAAATGAAAAGAAGTGGCATGGTTTTGCCATGTGATATGCACGTAATTCACTGATAATGATGGTGAAAATGTCTGACCCACGAGATGAAGTCTGCAATGAAGTTTGTGTAGATAAAAATGGAGAATGACAGCAAAGACAGAAAGGACAGAGGATCAGGAGAGAGTGGCATATTTTCTGCCTGTGAGCTTCTTTTTCCTCATTTCACAGTCTTTCTTTCTCTTCAGTACTATTGCTAAATGGTAGACCAGGTAAATTTTTCTTTTCTTTTCTTTTTTTTTTTTTTTGAGATGGAATCTCTCTTGGTCACCCAGGCTGAAGTGCAGTGGCGGGTTCTCGGCTCACTGCAACCTCCATCTCCTGGGTTCAAGCAATTCTCCCACCTCAGCCTCCCGAGTAGCTGGGATTATAAGAGTCCACCACCATGCCCAGCTAATTTTTGAATTTTTAGTAGAGACAAGATTTCACCATGTTGGCCAGGCTGGTCTTGAACTCCTGACTTCAAGTGATACATCCATCTCGGCCTCCTAAAGTGCTGGGATTACGGGCATG
Source organism: Homo sapiens (assembly GCF_000001405.40). Classification (NCBI taxonomy): domain Eukaryota; kingdom Metazoa; phylum Chordata; class Mammalia; order Primates; family Hominidae; genus Homo; species Homo sapiens. The sequence goes on from NC_000006.12 coordinate 28,701,907, forward strand.
AGCCACCACACCCAGCCTAGACCAGGTAAATTTTAAAAAGCTGATTAATCTGTTGGCTACTTGGTGCTTTGCACTCATGCCTTTCTTGTGTTTTCCCAATAACTCTGTGTAGTGGCAACCCATTACATTTTGTTTTACTTTGCCAGGGAGCAGAAAATAATGAGGGGAAAAGGGGGAGTAAAGGAAGGTGCTGATTCCACATTGTCAGAACTATGGAAAAAGAAAGCAGCACAGGCGCTCCCAGGGATCAAATTTGAGACCTTACACTTGGAAGAGAAAAGCTATACCATCAAGCCACAGCCCCATCACTGTTGCAATTTCTTGTTGCATATTCCCTAGTTTTACATTTTACATGGTTTTGTGAAAGTGTAACATTTAAAAGTAAATGTCTATTCTGTTAAAGTCCATTTCAAAAATCTTTTCCTAGAACCTTTCTCACACCTATGTTAAAGAAAGGATAATAAATTCTAAAGCATATGACACCATTTTTGCTGGGGTTTTTTTGACAGAGTCTTGCTCTGCTGCCCAGTCTGGAGTGCAGTGGCACAATCTCAGCTCACTGCAACCTCCACTTTACTGGCTCAAGCAATTCTCCTGCCTCAGCCTCCCAAGTAGCTGGGACTACGGACATGAGCTACCACGCCCAGCTAATTTTTGTATTTTTAGTAGAGACAAAGTTTCACCATGTTGAGTAGGCTGGTCTCGAACTCCTGACCTCAAGTGATCCACCCATCTAGGCCTCCCAGGTGTAAGCCACAGTGCCTGGCCCCTGCTCAATCTTACCTGCCAAGTAAGTCCTCTCCCAGATCCTGTCACTGGTCTAAAGCTTCTTTTTATTTTTAATTTTGAGCCACCTACACATGTGAAAGTGGAAATGGAAGACAATAATTTTTATTTTGCACATGTTGATGTTGAGAAGCTTCTTAATTTTTCAAGAATTTTTTTTGGACTTTGTTGATTGCTGCTGAAGAAAGAAGGGCATGATATAGAAAGCAAAGGTGGAAATTATTTCTAGATAGATAATATTTTTGAACACATGGGTATGGACAAAATGGCCAAGAAGGACTGGATAGCTTGGTCTATACCGTAAAAAAAAAAAAAAAAAAAAAAAAAAAATGAAAAAGAAAGAAAGAGAAAAGAGAAAAAAGAAACAAAAAAGAAATTGCAGTGAGAAAGAGACTGAAGACCCAACAGAATATTCCACCCTGAGACTTTCCATGTGTCAACCTAACTAACAGAGAGAGGTTCTCTAAAAGAAAATATGTTTATTTGTGAACAGAGCATTGCAGTGGGAATAGGCATGCCATAGTAAACGATGTATGTCTTCAGGGAGGTAAAGAAAGACAAAAGTTTTTAAAGAAAAGTTGAGGAGGGCTACATAATTGTTTTTGAAATAATTATCTTTGGCTGCAAATATTAATAACAAGGGTGACACTAGTCCAAGGTTGGACAGGCAGTTGCTAGGCAGATGTCCTTGTAGACATATTTTTTGTGTGTAAGATTGCAAGGTTGTGGTTTTCACAGTCTTTTGTGATAGTTTTTTTTATTAGGCATACAAGCATGAGAATCCTCTCTTCATGGTTTTCCCCTGCTTTATTTGTCAGGGTTTTGTTAACATTAGTGACTCCTTTTTGACTCCCATTTCCAATTGTCTTGTTTGTCTCCATTTCGTATCTTATGAAATGGCTGTACACTGCAGCTGGTAGGACCAGAGAATAGTAAGTTATCAAATAGTCTTGTGGGTTTTGATGTATTTACTTTCTGATCTTCTCCAGTTCTATCTCCTTGAGGTCAGGGATTATTTCATTCACACCTTTGAATCAAGAGATTAACCCAATAATTGCCCCATTATACATTGCTGATACTTATCTTTGATTGAATGAATGGAAGATAATGTGCACAGCTACTGTTTTTTATTCTTCTTGAAGGGAAACAATAGTTGCATGAGATTCCTTTCAAGTAATGCAACAAAAACGTAATTGCAACTAATTTCTTTGGTCTGGATTTATAACTCTCCTTTAGGGACTGAGGAATTAGGGTTTCAAATCTCAAAAATGCTGGGATAATTTCCTTACCATCGGAGCTTCTTTCTTCTGCCTCCAGAGCTTCTTCAGTGTTACCTGGCTTCTTCTAAATCTATTTTCCTTCAGTGGTAAATAATTTTCCCATTTATATTGTGGAGTTCTCCCTGTTCTTTCTTTTTTATTTGTTATTCCTTTTTCTGCTTCTTTTTCTCCTCTTCTTCCTGTGTCTCCAAACTTTCCTGTATTTTCTTTTTTCCTTTCTTTTTTTTTTGTTGTTTTTGTTTGTTTGTTTGTTTTTTTGACTGGACAAGCCTGGGTTCTAATTTCTGTATTTTCTGTTCCTGTTTTCAACCATTGCCTATGCTGACAAAGGCTTATGTATTGCAACTTGCTCAGCACCCCACACACATCTTTAAACCGTACTTACCTTCCAAACAAAAACAAAATCCATGGAACCCTCTTTTGGTGATGTTTATTCCACTCCTCTTTTGATATACAGTTACTTAAATTCAGGGATATAAATGTAACTAGTATTAATATATCTTATGTTAGGTGGTAGTTGTACTGGGTTAATACTGTCCTTCCCCCCAAATCATAAACTTCTTGGAACCTCAGAATGTGACCTTATTTGGAAATAGAGTCTGTGCAGATGTAATCAAGTTAAGACAAGATTATTAAGGTGGACTCTAATCCAATATGACTGATGTCCTTGCAAGAAGAGAGAAATTTGTATACAGAGACACTGTGAGAATGCCATGTGACCAGAAAGGCAGAGATTGGAGTGATGCTGCTACAAGTCAGAGAATACAAAATATTGATGGCCACCACCAGAAGCTAAGACAAGGCAAGGAAGGATTCTACCCAGAGTCTCAGAGAAAATATGACCCTGTTCACACCTTGATTTCACACTTCTTGCCTCCAAAACTATGAAAGAATAAATTTCCATTGTTTTAAGCTACTGAGTTTGTGATAATTTGTTATAGCAGCCCTAGGAAACTAATACAGTGGGTGAGCCAGAAAAGGAAAGAAAAAAGACTGGTTACGATAAACACACAGAAAGAATGCTCATAACTATTAGAGTACTTGTATCTGCAGCTGATTGGTATTTGTAATTATCTCTTTCACTCCATATTCTCTTTGCTTTCGGCAAGTACCTCAGCAGTTAAGGCTCTTTGCCTGATGGGGTAAACCAAACCTTCACTCCTAGAGAGTTTATGACATTTAGCAGTGCCCTGTACAAAAGATTGTTCTAGTTTTTGATTGACTTTAATCACAGTGGATGATATTACTCACTGAAAGGCACTGCTAAAAACCCCCTTAAATTCCAGACATATTCCTTCATAACCCCATTTGTGTAGTAACGTCCCAATTTAAGTTGGTATCAGGATCAATCACCATGAGCAATCACCAAGAGTAAGCCCCTTCCTTGCCTGCTGGTTTATTGGCACAAAAAGGCCAAAGTGGTAAAATGTCATTCTCAACTTCCGGTTTAATGGAACCGTTCCTTTGGTGGCCTCTGGTGAAAGCATTTTTCCCTTGGGAGCTCTAAGAATCAAGCTCAACATTTTAAGAACTAAAAGTAAAACTTTACAAGCAGAAGATTCCAGGTTTTCTATGTTTGCATAATCCCATCACAATATATCTTGCTGATTATAGCAAAAATTATGGGGAGAGGGGACACACACACACACACACCCACCCCCACCAAACTTATCAAGCAACAAAAGCAATTAGATTATGGAGGCAATAAAAACTTGGAAGGGTGACCCGCAAGGAATTAAAGATGAGTTTTTTTATTTTTAGTATTTTTCTCACAGCTCTTTACTGAGAGTGAGCCCCAATCATGAAGCAGTTGTGTAGGCAACAGAAACTGTGACAGAAACTCCATATTTCTAGCCAAATTATCAAGGAAAAGTTGAGAAAAGTCTGAAGAGTTAAGGAGAATCCTGAAAGATTGAAGAAAGGATTCCCTAAAATCTGTATATAAAGCCACATACGTCTTGGGCTTAGCTCTGAGCTGTGCATGCTATAGACAGAACCAGAACAGCATAACAAATTCTTTCCAAACTAACAGTATATTTATACGAAGACCTCCATCTCAGACTAACACCAAGTGGGACATGCTCAAGGGAAGACCTGAAACAGCATAACAAAAGCTTTGAAAATAAAACTTTTTTTTTTTTGAGATGGAGTCTCGCTCTGTTGCCCAGGCTGGAGTGCAGTGGTGAAATCTCTGCTTACTGCAAGCTCTGCCTCCCGGGTTCACGCCATTCTCCTGCCTCAGCCTCCCAAGTAGTTGGGCCTACAGGTGCCCGCCACCATGCCCAGCTAATTAATTTTGGTATTTTTGTATTTTTAGTATTTCTAGTAGAGACGGGGTTTCACCGTTTTAGCCAGGATGGTCTTGATCTTCTGACCTTGTGATCTGCCCGCCTCCGCCTCCGCCTCCCAAAGTGCTGGGATTACAGGCGTGAGCCACCATGCCTGGCTGAGACATAAAACTTTCAGTATGAACTAATCAGGTAAGTTATCTGCTAAAAACAAGTAAATAAATCAAGCATTCTCCACAAAATCATCACAATAAAAAATTTCTCAACATACAAAGATCCAGGGGGATATATTCAATCTTCAAGACAAAATACAATCAATAGATGGCAAATCCAAGGTGACTCAGATCTTGAAATTATCAGATGAGGACTTTCAGTGTCTATTTTAACTGTGGTCTATGCCAAGCATACTTTAACGAACTAAAATGTAAAAATTTTTATTAAAAGAAATAGAAACTGTTCAGGCATGGTGGCTCACAACTGTAATCCCAGCACTTTACAGGGGCTCAGGGGAAGGATTGCTTGTGATCAAGAATTTGAGAGCAGCCTGGGCAACACAGCTAGAGATATCTGCTATCAAAGGTTAAAAAAAAAAAAAAAAGCTAGGTGTGGTGGTAAGCACCTATAGTCCCAGCTACTCAGGAGGCTGAGATGGGAGGACCACTTGAGCTCAGGAGTTCAAGGCTGCAGTGAGCTATGAACATACCACTGTACTTCAGCCTGGGCCTTGGAGTAAGACCCTGTCTCAAAAAAAACAAAAAGAAATAGAAAGTATTGAAAAAGAAACCAACTGGAAATTTTAGACCTGAAATATAATATCTGAAATTAAAAGTTCAATGGATAGACTCAGTGGAGATGTAGAGAAAAAAAATCAGTTAACTTAAAGATAGATCAATAGAAACCATTCAATTTAATGGGAAGAGAGAGAAAAAAAAGACTGAAAACAATGAATTCAAGGTCCTGTAGAATAATATCAAATAGTCTAAAATAGATGTCATTGGAGTCTCAGGAGAAAAAAGACTGGTGTAGAGAAATATTTACATAAATAATGACAAAAATAAGATGTAAATTTACAGATTCAAGAAACTTCCAATCAAAATTTAAAAAACTAATTAGACACATTATCATCCAGCTGCTGAAAATAAAAGCTTTTTTAAAAATCTTGGAGCTGGGCATGGTGGCTAACGCCTGTAATCTCAGCACTTTGGGAGGCTGAGGCAAGAGGATCAATGGACTCAGGAGATTGAGACCCGCCTGGGCAACATAGTGAGACTCCATCTCAAAAAAAAAAAAAAAAAAAGAGGAAAGAAGGGAGGGAAAGGAAGGAAGGAAGGAAGGAAGGAAGGAAGGAAGGAAGGAAGGAAGGAAGGAAGCTATTTTAGCCAGGCACGGTAGTGCACATCTGTAGTCCCAGCTACAGAAGGCAGAGAGGCATGCTGAGGTGGGAGGATGATTTGAGCCCAGAAGATCGAGGCTGGAACGAGCTGTGACCACACCATTGCACTCCAGCCTGAGTGACAAAGTGAGACCCTATCTTAAAAACAAACAAAAAATAATCTTGGAAACAACTACAGAAAATAACACAATTTTAAAACGGAGACCACAATCCAAATATGTGGATTTTTCTTTCAGAAACTATGATAGTCAAAAGACAGTGGAACAACATCTTTAAAATGATAAATGAAATATTAATCCAGAATTCAGTATCTAGAGAGACAATCCAGAAATGAGGAGAAAATAAAGGTATTCTCAAAGAAGGGAAGCTACAAGAATGCATTACCATCAAATCTTCTGTGTAAGAAATATTGAGAAAATTATTCAGGCTGAAAGGAAATGATACCAGAGGGAAACTTGGATCTTCAGGAGTGAAGGAAAAGCCACTGAAATGATAAATATCTGTGACAATATAAAATAATTTTTTTCTCCTAGGTTATTTTAAATATATATGGGTGTTATCTAGTGGAATTGTCCATGTGTCAGTGTAATACATTTGACAACTATAACAAAGTTGGTGAAGGGGTAAAGGATCCTATATTGGTGCTGGACTTTCATGAAGTCTAAGTGGATGGCGTGCATATTGTAATCACTAAATCACAGAGCAATCACTAAAGTAACAAGATATAGAGAAAAAGCCAATGACTAAGTTAAAATGGAATACGAAAAACATCAAAGACATCCAGAAAAAGGTAGAAAAAGGATAACAGAACAACAAATGCTACAACAAAAACACCAGAGAGAACAAATGGAAATCAAATAAGAAAGTGGCAGACATAAATCCACACATTTGATAAGGGCCTAGTATCAATATATAAAGAACTAGAATACAACTTCCAATCTCAACAGTAAAAAACAAAAAATTAATTAGAACATGACATAAAGAAATATTTTACCAAAGAAAATATACAGGTAGCAAAGAAGCACATGGAACGATGTTCAGCATCATTAACCATTAGGAAAATGCAAAATAAAACCATAATGAGATGTCATTACACACCTGTCAGAATGGTCCCTCATCTTCAGCCCATTAATTAATCCCTATGAGATGAGGCAGACAATAGTGTGGTCCTACAACACTATGGCAAACATATTTTCTCTGCTCAAATTGTTTCTCTTCTGACTCCAGCTAAGACAAGTGCAGGATGCAAGTAAAGAATACCGAAAGAGTCCGGGCGTGGCTTTCAAGATGTTCTTTATAAAATTGCCTTTCCCCACGCCTATAATCCCAGCACGATGGGAGGCCGAGGCGGGAGGATTACGAGGTCAGGAGTTCGAGACCAGCCTGACCAACATAGTGAAACCCGTCTCCGCTAAAAAAAAAAAAAAAAAAAAAAAAGTGAAAAATTAGCCCGGCGTGGTTGTGTGTGCCTGTAATCCCAGCTACTCGGGAGGCTGAGGCAGGAGAATGGCGTGAACCTGGGAGGCGGAGCTTACAGTGAGCCAAGATCGCGCCACTGCACTCCAGCCTGGGCGATAGAGCGAGACTCCGTCTCAAAAAACAAAAACAAACAAACAAAAAAAAAACTGCCATTCCCAGTACCTATTGCACAAAAATTCAGCCACACGAACGCCTGGTGAAGCGCTCAACCTGTTTATCCAGAGAGGAAAAGAGCAACGAATTGCTCTCAACCCGCGACAATCTAGAACAAAACAAACCAAATCTTCGTGCAGGACCTACGTTTTCAGCCTACTTTGTTTAGAAGAGTGAAACCTTCTGTCTTGCCGTGGGCCTGGTGAAAACGCGACAGATAGGGGAACTTGGATACGTCCAGTCTCCCTCCCTATTTAAATGCTGATGGTGTTTCGAGTCCCCTGCCTGAACCCGCTTCCTGTCTTCTCGTCCTCTTGTTCTTCTTCGTCTTTCGCTGCTTCATCTCTTCCACTTTCCCCACTCTCGCCCATAATACCCTCCACTCTCTATCTCCTTCCTTCTTCTCGTCCTCCTCTTCAGTTCTCTTCCGTTCTCAGACATTCCACTTGTAACCGAACCGTGCTGATTTTCAGAGTCACCTGGGGGAGTTCTTAAATTACTTACATTCTTGCCCCCAACCCCCATTGTCTCCAAAACACTTGCCTGGGTTGACTGTGGCACACGCATGTTGAATAAAGACAGGAAACCCTTACCTTTTGTGCTCCAGGAACACAGGGTCTGAGGACCTGTCCAGGCGCAGGGAGGTCTTAAAAAGAGCGAATTCCTTCCTCTTGCTTTCTTTGTGTTCGCCTCACCGTGAAAGGATTTTGCCTGAAAGAGGTGAAAGTCGCCTGGAGCTGTTTTCTTTCTGGTCTTCGCTCTCTAGGGATCTCAGCCAGTGAGCAGCGTCTTGGACAGAATGCCGCTTCCACGCTTCCGTAGACGCTGGGCCCAGCGGCTTGGGAGGGTTGTGACTGACACATGCTTTACACTTCATTTCACGCTGATATTGTGAATTAATTCCCCTCCAGTCTTATCTCCTCTCTTGGACCTCCGTTCCCTGAGTAGCTCTCCTAGTACTGGTCTTAGTATTCCCTAGTAGTACCGTTTATGTTTTTCTGGGAGCACTGCAGACAGAAAAGTAGGAAGTTGACTGTTTAAGATAATATTTCTACCTGGGATTCTCCTTGGTGGTGGACAAAAGCTGCCATTCGGGAAGTTCCCTAGGAACAGTCTTTGGAGGGTCCGCCATTATGAAAGACCCTAATAGCACTAAAGGGATCTTTCGGTCCAGAATGCAACTTGAGGGTTTCAGAAATAGTAGAGTTGGATAGAGTAGACTTTGACCTCGGTTTAAATCGTAGAACACTAGCAGATAACAGTGACAGCCAGTTATAAAATATAGCAAAAAAGCTAGCTTTAAGGGGGTGTAGCTCAGTGGTAGAGCGCGTGCTTAGCATGCACGAGGCCCTGGGTTCAATCCCCAGCACCTCCATGTATTATGCTCATTTGCCTAGCGGCCCAGAGCAGGGACCCTTGGCAGAAAACAGCACGATTTGCTTCATGAGTGGCAACAGACTCAAAAGTAGCCTAAGGTCTACGTTTTGGGTGGTATGTCTAAATAATGCTGCATTGAAGCGTGGGATTAGGAAGAACCAAGGCCCTTGGAATTAAAATGAATAGCAGTAATCCACTTTCATCGTTTGTTTCTTACCCACAGTCAACCGCGATCTGAGATTACTACATGAAAAATTCCAGAAATAAACAATTCATAAGTTTTCAATTTCTCTGTTGTGAGCAGCATGATGAAATGTCGCCTCATGTGCTCCATCCCGCCTGGGAAGTAAACCATCTATTTGTCCAGCATATCCACGCTGTGTAGTAAGCCACCCACTAGTTAGTCAGTCAGTAGCCATCTGAGTTATCTGAGCTACTGTCCTCACGTTGCTTGTGTTCAAATAACCCTTATTTTACTCAATAAAGGCCCCAAAGTGCAAGAGTAGTGATGCTGGCAGTTTGGGTATGCCAAAGAGAAGCCCTAAAGTGCTACCTTTAAGTGAAAAGGGGAAAGTTTTCTACTTAATAAGGAAACAGAAACAAATTCATATCAGAGGTTGCTAAGAGCTATGGTAAGAATAAATCTTCTATCCATGAAATTGTAAAGAGAAAAGAAATTTGTGCTAGTTTTGCAGAAGTTACTGCTACAGTGTGTGATAAGTGCATAGTTAACATTTAAAAGACAGTAAATATGTGGGTGAAACACGTGAACAGAACACTTAATCTACTTGAGGGCAACACGTTATACCAGAAAACACTGAGCCCATATGAAGACTTCATCAAGGGATCCTCTGAAATGATTGACACCAACCCATATATTGCAAGTAGGGGATGGTTACACAGATTCAGGAATAGGTTTGGACTGAAAAATATAAAAATTATTGGAGAGGCTACGTCTGCCAATGAAGAAATCACATTTTACGAATCCAATGATTACACTCTAAAGAGTTCAGAAGAACATATTGCTAGATGTGTTATTCTACATTTATGCTATTAAATTTCAAATAGTAAATTTAACTTGACTGAAAAAGTTAACCTAGCCAGGCGCTGTGACTCATGCCTGTAATCCTAGCACTTTGGGAGGCCAACGCAGGTGGATCACCTGAGGTCAGGAGTTCAAGACCAGGCTGGCCAACATGGCGAAACCCTGTCCCTACTAAAAATACAAAAAAAATAGGCAGGCATGGGGTGCACAGCTGTACTCCCAGCTACTCTAGAGGCTGAGTCAGGAGAATCACCTGAACCCGGGAGGCAGAGGCTGCAGTGAACTGAGATTGCATCACTGCACTCCAGCCTGGGTGACAGAGACTCTGTCTCAAAAAAAAAAAAAAAAAAAAATGTTAACCTGTACACATTTTCCTACATACTGTGGATATGACTTACATTTGTGGTCATTATTAACATAGTCATAGTAATAACCTTCTAAAGAGAAGTTGGAAGCCAGCATTTACAGGTGGAAAGAAAGCTGATGCAGCTTCATGAGTAAGGATGCAGTCAGCATCCAACAAAAGGCATTTGGGAACTGTACAAGCAGGAAGATCCATATTGTTTCAACACAAAAGAGTTCCAAAGAGCCGCGGTATTGTGAGTAATAACAATGTTGCTACCTTTTACTCATGGTAGGAAACATAGAATTAGCCAGAAACAGTGTGATTAACAATAAATAACATGAACAGATAGTTTCTGGACTGAAAAGGATGAGTTGGTGCCAGAAAACTACGAAAAATGTTTCTGAGTATTGATTAGGCTGTAAACAAATATGTAAGTACCCATTATTCTAAATCTCTATTAATACACAACAAGATCCTCACAGGATCCCCTAAATTTTGTAAAACATTTTTTAATCAAATTATATACTCGTTAGCCAGATGTGGTGGCTTTTGCCTGTAGTCCCAGCTAGTCAGGAGTCCAAGGTGGGAGAATCACTTGAACCCAAGAGGCAGAGGTTGCAGTGAGCCAAGATCCAGCCACTGCACTCCAGCCTGAGAGACAGAGTGATACGCTGTGTCAAATATATACGTATATATTTATAAATATATTTATATATATATAATATTTTTATAGATATATATAATTTTTATATAATATTTATATAACTTTATATTAATTTATATATAAATATATATTATATATTTAATATACATTTATATATATAATAATATATATATTTATATTTATAAATATATATATTTATATATTTATATATAATATATTAATATATCATATATATTTATATATATGATATTAATATATTATATATAAATGTATGTTATTCACATTATATAAATAAAAATATATATATTAATTATTCACTTTATATATATATAAATATATATATTATTCACATTATATATATATAAATATATATATATTATTCACATGGACAGGGGCCCCACAAAAAACAAATATGTTTGTCTGGGTTACTCAACATCCTAGGGGTGGCTCTGCCCCATTTTTATTCTGTGAGTCTTGGCACCATCCAAACAACTGTCATCACGAAAGAAGGAGGATAGAAATTAGTAACAGATCTGATTTACACAGGTTCTTTTGACATCAAGATGTACTATCACAATAATGAGGATATTCAGTTTGTCTTCTATTTTTCCCTATTATTGAAGAAAAGGAGAAATAGAAGAGGCTCATGAAAATTTTCCTTTACTTCTCATTATTTCTTTTTTCTTTTTTTTTTTGAGATGGAATTTCGTTCTTGTTGCCCAGGCTGGAGTGCAATGGCACGATCTCAGCTCACTGCAACCTCTACCTCTCGGGTTCAAGTGATTCTCCTGCCTCAGCCTCCCGAGTAGCTGAGATTACAGGCATGTGCCACCACGCCGGGCTAATTTTGTATTTTTGGTTGAGACAGGGTTTCCCTATGTTGGTCAGGCTAGTCTCGAACTCCTGACCTCAGGTGATCCGCCTGCCTCGGCCTCCCAAAGTTCTGGGATTACAGGTGTGAGCCACCGCACCCGGCCCCCCTCTTTTTTTTTTTTTAGACAAAGCGTCACCCAGGCTGGAGTGCGATGGCGTACTCTCATCTCACTGCAATCTCCGCCTCCCGGGTACAAGCGATTCTCCTGCCTCAGCCTCCCAAGTAGCTGGGACTACACGTGTGTGCTACCACACCCATCTAATTTTGTATTTTTAGTAAAGACGGGGTTTCACCATTTTGGCCAGGCTGGTCTCGAACTCCTGACCTTGTGATCCGCCCTCCTTGGCCTCCCAAAGTGCTGAGCTTACAGTCATGAGCCACCACGCCCGGCTTACTTCTCATTATTTCTAGTGCAAATTTTAGACTTTTACATTTACAACTAACTTTGGATTTACAGAAAGGTTACAAAACAAATACAGAGTTTTTATATTTCCCACCTAGATTCTTCTAATCTTTTTATACTTTTTGTATACATAGTGGTTATCTTTTATCGGGCATTAATTATCAATTAGAATATGAAAGGATTAAGCAAAAATCATGTTCCTCAAGGAGAGGTGCCAGGTTCCTCAAGGAGAGGCGCCAGGACAAAGAAGGCCATAGTCAGGAATGCAGGGTACTCCCTCTACACAGGCTTTTTTTTTCCTCCCCAGTGATATTTTCATAGCTATTCATGTTTCATCTCCTCGTAAGAATGAGAGAAGCTGAAAAACACGTAAGCTGCCACCACCGTAGAAACCCCGTCAAGTGGAACACGTGTTCTGTTCACGTATTTCACCCACAAATTTAGTGCCTTTTCCATGCACTTATCACACACTGTAGCAGTAGCTTTCGCAAAACTAACAAGAATTTATTTTCCCTTCTTTACAATTTCACGGAAAGAGGATTTATTCTTACCATAGCTCTTAGCAACCTCGGATACGAATTATTTTTCTCTTTTCTTATTAAGTAGAGAACTTTCCCCTTCTTTACAATTTCAAGGATAGATTTATTCTTACCATAGCTCTTAGCAACGTTGGATACGAATTTTTTCTCTTTCCGTATTAAGTAGAGAACTTTCCCCTTTTCACTTACAGGCAGCACTTTATGGCTTCTCTTTGGCATACCCAAACTGTCTGCTGTCTTCCTCTAATCTTAATATCTATGTGAACACAGTGTGATGATCAAAACCAGGAAAGCATCAATGAATATATGAGAAGGTGGAAGAACAGAGCATTTTCTCATTGATCATCCTACTAGTCTCCTCCCTTCACCTCAATCTTCACAGTACCTGCCATCAAAAGTTTGGTCTAACAATGCGAACAGATGGCCGTAGATAACAGCAATTTCTAGGTGAGTGGGTGGATGGACATTGGACAACAGAACAATGGCTTTCAATGAACTACAATACTGCCAAGAATAATAGGTGAAAAAATAAACAAGTCTGCATTAAATGAATTAGATAACCTACCATGCCAAAATATTTTATCCTATCCAGTTCTCTGTATTTCTTCACTCATCTCATTTTTTCTTCTTTTTGAATAGATAAATGAAATATTTTCTGCAAACATCCATTATCATCAGAAGACACCCCATGTGGAAGAAGCAAATTATTTTTGTGTTAAAATGGATATTATCAACTGCAAAGAAAAAGGTGAATATTTCACAAGTGAGCCAGAACATTTACAGTGTAAACAAGAGCAGTTGCTACCTTTGCTTTTTTTTTCCCACTTCTTCAATATGATCACCATGCTTTTCATTACCCTGCTACTCAGTATTTCTAGTCAACTGACTGATATTTTTAAAGGTTTTCAAAGGTATGAATATGAATACACTTTTTTTATATTGAATTAGCCAGAGGAAAGCAATTTCTATCTGCCAACTTTACTTTTTTCTTTTCACCTGGCAGCCTCTCTTCACATTCTAGCCCCAAGAAGGAAATTCCATTTCTTTACTCAATGGCTGCATTCTTAGATCTTGTTTTAAATATCTTTGGTTAATGAGTTCTAAAGCAAGGAGTATGAGAAAACTGGTGCAAAACCTCCACTAACTTATATGAGTTCGGAAGTTTGTTTCTTTGTCTCTGATTTTTAAGAGCTTTAATAAAATAAAATCAACCTGAGACACATTCATACTACAAATCCTGAAAACAGGATTTGTGGAGGGCAAGATCTGCCCTTTCCTCACCAACCTCTTGGCAAATCTTCAGCAAACATTATATAAGACCGCACTGCCGGGCGCGGTGGCTCACGCCTATAATCCCAGCACTTTGGGAGGCCGAGGAGGGCGGATCACGAGGTCAGGAGATCGAGACCATCCTGGCTAACACGGTGAAACCCTGTCTCTACTAAAAATACAAAAAATTAGCCGGGCGTGGTGGCGGGCGCCTGTTGTCCCAGCTACTGGGGAGGCTGAGGCAGGAGAATGGCGTGAACCCGAGAGGCGGAGCTTGCAGTGAGCCGAGATGGTGTCACTGCACTCCAGCCTAGGCGACAGAGCAAGACTCCGTCTCAAAAAAAAAAAAAAAAAAAAGAAAAGAAAAGAAAAAAAGACTTCACTAGGGCACAGTGGCTCACGCCTGTGATCCCAGAACTTTGGGAGGCCGGGACGGGTGGATCACTTGAGGTCAGGAGTTGGAGACCAGCCTGGCCAACATGGCGAAACCGCATTTCTACTAAAAAATGCAAAAATTGGCTGGGCATGGTAGTGGGTGCCTGTAATCCCAGCCACTCAGAAGGCTGAGGCAGGAGAACAGCTTGAACCCAGGAGGCGGAAGTTTCAGTGAGCCGAGACCACCCCATTGCACTCCAGCCTGGGTAACAGAGCAAGACTTTGTCTCCAAACAAACAAATAAAAACTTACTGAATGGATCAGATGATGAAATTTCAAGTTTCCTAGTGGACATCTAGAATTATTGACTGAAGGATTGGATGAGAACTGAGAACTGTTCAACATTGAAGACAACATGTCTTCCTATGAGTGATACTGACATTGTCAAAGAGAAAATGAATCCAAAAGTCACTCTTTTTCAAACTGTCTTTTGAATTCAGGATTTTTGTCTCTAAAGAAAATATCTGGAGCAAGTGCTTTGGAGGAAATCTGTCTGGCTTTGAAACCTGTCCTGCTACATGTTGGCTGTGAGCTATGTGGCCAATTATTTCACCTCTGAAAAAGTTGGTTTATCAAAGGAGTGATGTGCTCATTTAATGCAACCCGTTGTTATGACATTATCCACGTGTTATCTCCAGCTACCTCAAGCATTCAGGGTCATATTGACCACAGTCAGAACTCGACCTTGGATTCTATAAGTAGGATTCAAAGTTGCCCTTGAGAAGCCTTCAAAATTCAAGCTTCCCTACACCTGGTAGTAAATGTACCTCATTTACTACCTTCAAAATTCAGTGCCTTCAAAATTCAGTGCCTTCAAAATTCAAACTTCCCTGCACCTGGTAGTAAATGTACCTCAACTATCACTCACCTGGAGAAGACATTATGATTCAGTTTAAGAGCACTAAATCTTGGATTTGGGAAAAACTATAAAACCAATAAAAGCCTATAAAACAAAATAAAACAAAAAAATGGAAATGCCCATTTCCAATTTCTCTAGTTTAGGGAGGAAAGCAATATACAGCCCCTATAATGAAGAAAAGAAGATGTTCAGGTAATGTCAATTAAATGAAAGCTCATCTGTACTAAAAACATGAGACACATTTTTGTTTCCTCAGCTTTTGTCTGCCATACTCTGGAAGCCTTAGAAGTGGATGATCAGTGCTTGATGTGTGCTACAGAAGAAGGAGCTGTCCCCAAGTCTCCCTGCTAATCCAAGTAACGAAGCCAGGGAAGAAAGCAAGAAAGAAAGGGGAAAGAGAGAGAGCGTACTACATTTGCCCTATTTCAAGAGTTTGTAGTTTCTTACATCTTTTTTTCTTTTTTTTTTTTTTTTTGAAACGGAGTTTCGCTTTTGTTGCCCAGACTGGAGTGCAATGGCATGATCTTGGCTCACCGCAACCTCCGTCTCCCGGGGTTCAAGCGATTCTCCTGCCTCAGCCTCCCAAGTAGCTGGGATTACAGGCATGTGCCACCACCCCGGCTAATTTTGTGTTTTTAGTAGAGATGGGGTTTCCCCATGTTGGTCAGGCTGGTCTTGAACTCCCGAGCTCAGGTGATCCGCTCGCCTCAGCCTCCCAAAGTGCTGGGATTACAAGCGTGAGCCACCGCGCCCGGCTGGTTTCTTGCATCTTATAGCCCACCAATCTTTTAGGCAACATTGAAAGTCACACAAAATGACCCTAGACTTTTGTGTAAATGAACTCACAATAAACTTATTGGGGTCCCACTCTAGCCAAAATACATGGAGTTTTAGATATTTAATCCAAGTGTCTGATTGACCTGTTTTGGCCACTGGGCTCTCAGTTTAAACTTAAGTTTGGAAGCCCCAAGTTCCACAACAGATAACACATTCTTTTCACCCTCAGAGAAAAAGTTAGGGGTACTCTCACCTTGGCCACCTCTTCACTCACTCACCTCTTTAGTAATTCAGTTAATTTTTTGGTCGAGGATCAAGTTGCTAAAACTTCTTTTAGATCAATAAATGAGATAGACAAACTGCACATTGGAAAGCATGCATAGAGTTTAATTTTTGTTTTTGACAAAGTAGCCACTGATATTGGTGGCTTCAAAGAAAACAGAAGGAAAGCCACTCCCTGACTCCATTGTGGCTGTGGTGGAACCTATTTGAATGAGAAGGAGGATCTGTTGGCAGTTTTGAGCTTGGGTACCTAAGTTTTGGCTAGGAGTGACTACTAGCACACTGGCTCATAAGGCAAGGGAAAGCATTAAAAAATATAGGTTAGGGCTCACACCCATAATCCCAGCACTTTGGGAGGCCGAGGCAGGTGGCTCACCTGTCAGGAGTTTGAGACCATCATGGCCAACATGGTGAAACCCCATCTCTACTAAAAATACAAAAATTACCCAGGAGTGGTGGTGGGCACCTGTAATCCAAGCTACTCAGGAGGCTGAAGCAGGGAGAATTGCTTGAATCTGGGAGGGGGAGGTTGCAGTGAGCCGAGGTCATGCCACTGCACTCCAGCCTGGGTGACAGAGCGAGGCTCTGTCTCAAAAATAAATAAATAGAATAATTTTTAAATATATATATGTGTATGTATGTTATATATACACATATTTAAAAAAATATATGTTAGGATGGTAACCAAATATTTTTTAATTGAAGAGATTTTGAAAATCAAAATGTCTTTAACCCTGAATAATTTGTTAGAAAATTAAACTTTCAATTTGATGGTCCAGTGTTTGAGCTCCTTTTCAGATCCTGATAATGTTTTTTGTTTCCCTTACTCAGTTCTAATAGAATCCTAGTAAAACCCAGCTTTCTCCTGGATAAACTTGTCTATGTTTCATTCTCCTTGCGTGTGTTATTTTGGCTCAGCAGAAGTAAGAAAAGCCAGTGTAACTGTATGACTTGAGGCTGTCTATTCTGTTCTACTGTAGGGGAGATCATCTATTTGCAGTTCTTTTGTATCTAGAATGTAGTTATAAGGTCAAACTACCGTGTAAAACATTTACCTGGATTGGTTCTCTTTTTAAATTCCGATATTATTCATTTGAAATGATTTTATTTTTTTCAATTTGTTTTCAAATTTAAAGTACTTTTTCTCTATAGTTGCTAGTTTTGTTTTTAAATTTGACTGTGTAAACCATTAACATGATTCTAAGAAACAAAACTATACAGAGAAGTATCACTCAAGAGAAATTTTCAAGCTGCTGGAGATTGTTACATCATGGGACCCTCTCAGGTGGAGGAATGGAAGTGCCCTTCAGGCCTCTTCTTGGGAACCAAATTTGGGGTGGGCTGACAAGACTGGAATGGTAATATTTTTGTGTAGCATCAAATTACTCTTCTCCTGATGTACCTGTAAGATAGAAAGAAAAACCTAGAGGTTTCAGAAATAGAGTCATACATAAGGGATCTTTGTATTAAATTTCAGATTCTCAAAACTCACAAGCAAAGAGAAAGATTAAATTATAATGTTTAGAACAAAAAAAAGGCTATTGCAACGGGGGTGTAGCTCAGTGGTAGAGCGCGTGCTTAGCATGCACGAGGCCCCGGGTTCAATCCCCGGCACCTCCAGTAGTTGATACCACGTTGTGTATCACCACCAATGAAGACGGCGGGTTTCATTGCCACGAGTCTCGGATTTTCCTGGGGTTTTCAAAACCATCTTGATTTACCAGAAGATAATCTGTGCTACTATCCTATCCTAAAAAAATGTGCTATGTAACATTTTTTATTTGTATTTAAAATTTTAAATTGACAAGTAAAATTACGTTTTTATTATCTACAACATACTATTTTGAGATACATATCTCATATGATAAAAACAATTTTACTTGTCAATTTAAAATTTAAAATACAAATAAAAAATAAAATGTTACACGCATGCATTGTGGAGTAGCTAAATCGAGCTAATTACCATATGCATTACCTCACATAGTTATCATTTTTGTAGTGACAACACTTTAAAATCTCTTCATGTTTCAATACATTGTATTGTTTTTACCTATAGTCATCATGTTGTACAATAGATTTCTTGCACTTCTTCTAACTGTAATTTTGTATTCTTTTACCAACATCTTCCCAAGGCTTCCCCGACCCTACCAAAGTTACTTGTTGACATTTTTGTTACTCACTTACTCTCTCTAGCCACTCTGAGCAATCACTGCTATGTTGGCTACAGTCTTATACTTCACAAAAATTTAGTGGGAAAAATTAAAGTTCTGAGGGCAGAAAAATCACCTTAACTTGAAAAGGATCTCCTTAGACACTTAACCACACTTCCACCTCATCTTTCATGCACCTCAGACTAGCATCAGGAATTAATTCAAGAGGGTTCGTTCTTGGATTTGGGGGAAAGTTTAATATTAATATTAGGATGTTGTAGTTTTGTTTTGTTTTGTTTTGTTTGTTTGTTTTACGGAGTTTCGCTCTTGTTACCCAGGCTGGAGTGCAATGGAGCGATCTCGGCTCCCGGCAACCTCCGCCTCCCGGGTTCATGCGATTCTCCTGCCTTAGCCTACCGAGTAGCTGGGACCACAGGCGCGTGCCACCACGGCCAGCTGAATTTTTGTATTTTTAGTAGAGACAGGGTTTCACTGTGTTAGCCAGGATGGTCTCGATCTCCTGACCTCATGATCCGCCCTCCTCGGCCTCCCAGAGTGCTGGGATTGCAGGCGTGAGCCGCCCCGTCCGGCAAGGCTGGAGCATTTTTAAAAAGTCAGCCTGCTCGCGTACTTTGGAAAAAGCAGCATCCTGTGGGATGAAGAACCCAGTAATGAAAAGCAAGACTTCGTTACACAATGTGTGGAGCCCAAAGTCCTGTGAACCGCACTGGTCACAGACCCATGAAGCTGGCCCTGATGAGAGGTGTAGAAGAGATCATCCCCAACAAAGAAACAAGCCGTTTTCTTGTTTCTTTACCTTCTCCTAAGAGATAGAAAAGTAGGTGTTCAACAATGCCAGTTTTGAACTGAGGAAGCAGGAGATGCTTATTCACCACAAAGACTTGCTACCCTGTCCTGCCCGGTTTGAATCCTGAAGTGAAAGAAGTGAGAGTGCAGAAAAACTCCTTTGTCTTCTACCAGTGCTGAGCTCAGACTCTGGGTATTGTTGAGAGAGCATCCCCTTTTGAAAAGGCTGCAAAAAAAGAAATGGAGTGGAAGTCCTAAGCATTTATGGAGACATCAGAGGAGGGCACAGACACATCACCACATGAACAGGTGTCACAGACACACCATCACATGAACAGGGGGCGCAGACACACCCTCTGCACTGAGTTAGGACAATCGCCTTATGTTTGTGGGATATTTCTACATTTTCCCTCCCAGTAGTCTAAATTTGTAGTCCTAATAATAACTTTGATGAATCAACATAAATTTGATCACACAATCCAGTTTATGACAGAAAATAGTTTTTGTGTTTCACTTAAACCAGGAGAAAATATTATAGAGGGAGACCTAAATGCATAAGGCAAGAGGTTTGAAGGAAAGATAAAGGCTATTGTATCTGTTGAATAAAATATCTAGGAGGCCATTGATTTGGACTGGCCTCCTCCACTAAGCCTAACAGATCAAACTAATATGGAGTTGAATTACAGTAGCTGAGCTTTAATTACTTGCTGGAGGCTCTGTAACCAATTAACAAAGTAAGCTGTAACCAATGAGGTTGTCTCCACTGTACTTATGTTTCCCACCTATGCTGTTAGGCCATGTTATTGGTTGGCATTCTCTGAACCTGCTCTGGTTTGTAGGGTTGCCTGATTCTTCAATCGTTTTTGTTGTGTTTTGCTATGTTTCATTTTGTTGTTCTTTGCTCAAATAAGCCCAGTTAAAATTTAAACTTGTCTAAGGATATTTCCATGAAACATGAGAAAAGGACATTGGTCACAGAAAAGATGATTGGTCTGGTTTGTGTTAATTTAGTGCTTGTTGCAAATAATTCGCCACTTTTTAGAAGAAACCAAGTGGTCACATAAAGTCAGAGGCCACTGCAAATGTTTCAATAAAGGAGTTTAGGAAACCTACATCTCAGGCCAGGCGCAGTGGCTCCCACCCATAATCCCAGCACTTTGGGAGGCTGAAACAGGCGGATCACCTGAGGTCAGGAGTTCGAGACCAGCCTGACCAATATGGAGAAACCCCGTCTCTACTAAAAATACAAAATTAGCCAGGTGTGGTGGTGCATGCCTGTAATCCTAGCTACTCGGGAGGCTGAGACAGAAGAATTGCCTGGGAGGCAGAGGTTGTGGTGAGCTGAGATCGTGCCACTGCACTCCAGCCAGGGCAACAAGAGCGAAACTCCATCTAAAAAAAAAAAAAAGAAAGAAACCTGCATCTCTCCTACCTCACAAATTTGGACAACTTTGAGTCACAAAAAGTCACCAGCTGTTCTGTGAACTAAATTACACAAGCTCTAGAACACATGCTCCATCCAAAGTAAGTGGGAATTGTCTTTTCCATGCAAAAAGTGCCACACCAAGCCATTCCATGCCACCAGCTTTATGTAGCATCAAAATTACATTTTCCACAGAAAACACTCCTTCCACTTTCCCAGAAAGACCATCCACCCTAATGTCTGGTAATTCAGCCAAGCACATATTATAGGAGCATGTTCCTGAAATCTACAGCATAAATGAATTGTATTAAAGACTTCTCCCCTCTCTAGTAGAGATGTCAGTTGCTGCTTACAGGTCCTTTTGGAGTGAATGCTGTTGTCATTCCCCTGAGACTCAAGCCTGCCAAATAAACCAGACTCTCTCTCTTCTGTTCCTATCATCTCCCATTGTCATTTTCTTTTTTTTCACTGCAGATTCAATCTCTGGATCTTCTCCACCCCAAGTGCTGTCATTATCATCAAATGACTTAGGCAGGGTTTTTGTGCTCTATTTTGAATATATATTTGTGTGTGTACATATATTTAAAATTGCTTACATATCTATATAAAAAATGGCTTATATACACCTATTATTATAGATTTAATAATGTATGTATATAAATAATATAAACAATATATTGTATGTTTTTATATACATATTTATGTAATTATGGGAGTGGCATCCCTTTACCTTTGCCATATTCTATTGGTTAGAAGTAAATCACAAGTCCCATTCACACTCAAGGGAAGAGTATTACACAAATACTTGAACACTAGGAGATAGAAATTATTGGAGATCAACCTAGGGAATCTTTGTCAAAGTAAGCTTGTGCAAAATTAATTGTGTTTTCCAGGCTTTTAAATATACTCCTACTGTAATCTGAATATTTGTGACTGCCCCATCACTGAAAATTCATATGTTGAAACCTAATCACCAATATTATTAGGTTAGGCTTTAGGGCCTTTGGAAGGTGATTAGGTGATAAAGGTGGAATCTTCATGAATGGGATTAGTGCTCTTATAAAATATGCCTGAGAGAGACCTTTTTCTGTAAATGGCCAAGTAGTAAATATTTTAGGATTTGCAAGTCAAATGGCCAAATCAAGGATATTATGTAGGTACTTATATAACAAGGGAGAAAAAAAGTCTACTCATATTTATTGATGCAATTCAAAACACAATACTAATTGAGTATAATTATTGATAACGAGAAAAATTAAATAATAATAATAATTATTATTATTACAGATGGGGGCTCAAAGTTAGCCTTTCCTATCATCAAAGTCATTTGCTAATGCTCATCTGTTAATGACCTGTAGTGCAATTTTATTTATTTCATCTTTGAAAATATCTTTTCATAAAGATAGGAGATGCCAAATGGCTAATATTAATCTGTGAGTATATAATTTGGGGCATATTCATTGCATGGAAGACATTTATGGATTCTAGTAGGTTCATCTCTTTATGTTTGCTTTTAGCATGTCATTACATTGCAAATTAGTCACTTCAAAGTGAGGCTTAGTGTGAAGCTCCTCAATTGCACAATTAAGTAGATTTTGAAATATGAAAATTGCTTTTGCACTTGCATTAAGTTTTTAACATACTGTTGGTACTGTAGTTCGAGTTAGGAGAATATATCTGCTGAAAATTTCTGTGGGATTGGAGAATTGCTTCTTTTAACTTTTGACAGCACAAGCAGTGCACAGGGCAGCTTGATATTACTATGATTCTAGCAGTGTTAGCTGTCATCAAAATGACTTTACTGCAGTACAAGTTTTATACATAAACATTGTTTTACCTTGTAATTTTGGGCTGAATTTATTAAAAAGCATTATCCAATCTGAAACAAAAGCTAACTTCCAAAGCCAGTCAGTGTTTGATCATAGTAATTGAGGGCAGTTCTTCCCCTTCAAAAAAAAATTTCCATCTCATCCCTGAGTTAAACACACACACACACACACACACACACACACACATACAACTTGTCAGCGTTAAGTCATTAAACTGCTGTGTGATCCATCTTGTCAGGACCTTCAGCTTCTAATTTCTGTCAAAAATTTGTAAAAGTGATGCCTGGTCCACCAGAGCAAATTAAGTCTACTGTTCAATAACACCTGATACCATCAAATTTTTTCCACAAATTATCTGTTAATGAATAATATAATAGATAACAATAGGTTTACATTTATCACAAGTTATTTAAACTTTTTCATCTAAGCCTCTTCCTCTCCTTCTCATAATTTTGCCATCACTAGCTGTAACATATCTTAGCAGATTTAGCTGCAGGTTGCAGTGAATTATTGTTTTTCAACTTCTTAGAAAATACTGTACTTCTAGGCCGTGCGTTGTCGCTCATGCCTGTAATCCCAGTACTTTGGGAGACCGAAGCAGGTGGATCACCTGAGGTCAGGAGTTCGAGACCAGCCTGGCCAACATAGTGAAACCCCCGTCTCTACTAAAAACACAAAAATTAGCAGGGTGTCATGGTGCATGCCTGTAATCCCAGTTACTCGGTAGGCTGAGGCAGGAGAATTGCTTGAACCCAGGAGGCGGAGGTTGCAATGAGCCGGGATTGTGCGACTGTTCTCCAGCCTGGGCAGCAGAGTGAGACTCCGTCTCAAAAAAAAAAAAAAAAAAAAAAAAAATACTGGTGACAGAGACTCGAGTCTTCATTCCTTACATTAATAGTTTGAATGCTTATCAACTGAACTGCATGAATCTATCAATCTAGCTGGGACACACATATATATTCCACTAACTCATTTGGTAGCTGTTGTCCTAATCTGTGAATCTCCTTTGAATTTTCCTCTTGGCAGAGAAAGTTCCATTTTAAAGGGACAGTATAGTCGCTAAAGCTCCAGAACACTCTGTTTTCCTCCCTCCTGTCTTCCTTGTCTTCCATCTCTTTATGAGTCTAGATAAAGAGTTGTAATGTTCCCTAGAAAAAGTCACTGAGGTTATTAACTCCTTCACTCATTTTCCTTCCTTTTCAAACTTAGTAAACCATAGGAATTGCTTGAGCTCATTTCCAGGGGTTGACTTTTAAAGTGAAAGAACTTGTGGCATTTCCCTTCTGTCACAGATGCACAATCTGAACATTAAGTCAAATGCCTTAGAAAGCCTAAAATGATCCTGAAATAAAAATATTTACTCATAGTTCCTTCTTTGATCTTGCTTGAATTTTTCCCTCGGCTTGTGTTCCCATGAGGCAACAAGGCTCCAAGACAACTACAGTGAGGTTATGAAGAGCAAAAGAAAAAGACTGGCAAATCAGTGCTTCCATTAAAGCTGTTATTCACTGTCTTGAGTGGCTGTGAGTGGAATCAAAGGCCAAATAAAAATCCAAGAAATGAACAACTTTTTTTAATAAAAAGGAAAATCTAAATTCTACCACAAATACCAAGGTATACTCTGATAGAAGGAAACCAAAAACAGTCTCCGTGGGCTCCGTAGCTTAGTTGGTTAAAGCGCCTGTCTAGTAAACAGGAGATCCTGGGTTCGACTCCCAGCGGGGCCTTGGTTGGCAAGGTCAGTGTGCCTTTCTGCCAACTCTCTTAAAACTTGAGATTTTTCTATCGTTCCTGTCTACCTTCGAAGATCCTCCACCCCTGATTTTGGACATAACAGGTGGCATCCAAAGGCTTTGGAAACAAACTGAAACTGTACATCCTCCCAACATAAGACTACATAAAAATAGCAAAGATCAGGACAATAATTATAATATACTGCCCATTTTTTTGTTTGCTTTAAAAAAAAATTCAAGCCATATCTTCCATTGGGATTTTCTGTGCAATGTCGTTTCAAGTATTCCAATTTATATAAAGAGTTAAGAACAACAAATTGAAGTTTAGAGAGGGAACGTATACTGTAGGCGTGGATTTTAATACAGTACTGGCCAGTGCTCTTGGGATTATAATTCAACTATAGGCATGCGAAGAGTTAGAATGTCTTCAATTCTCCAAATTTGTAAAATGTCAACTATGAATTAATAATCTGTAATTATGAATGCCGATTATAGATACTACAATTACATGTACTGTGAATGTCGATTTAATATTGAAGAAGGCCAGCTACATAATTTACAGGCCCAGTGTAAAATGAAAATACAGGGTCCCTTATTCAAAAAGCAGGGGCAACTGCCATCAAAAGTGCTAAAATACAAAGCTTTTCCCTTTCAGTCGCTCTTTTTTCGGCCTGTCATGGTATTTTTCATTTTCTGTCTAATGTCACTCTAATTAAGAAAAAATAAAATAAAATTGTGAGTATCAAAATGAATTTTACAGTTCATCTTTATTTCACACATCAAAATTCACGGGGCATCGCGATTGCTTTATTATATATGGAGAAGCAAAGGAAGTCAGACACGAAATTCCTTTGCTTATGTGCCATGCTCTTTTGCTCCCCCGAATATCAATTACGAAATATAAATTAAGAGATGCAGTTCATATGAAATTTTAAGACTGCAAAGGCAGATCGCTGGTAGAGTCTCTGAAAAGGAAAAGTTGCCAAAACCCAGAATTGAACCAGTCTCCTTTAGATCTTCAGGCTGATGCCCTCCCAACCGAGCTATCTCAGCTTACTGTAGACTGAAAATTTTATTCAATTTCTCTTTCAATACTTCGATTGTTTCCAACTTTTTAGCTTTCAGGTTTCTTAAGTACTTTTATTATACAATGTATTTACCCACTAAGAAAGACTTGGAACTTATTGACTCCTACATATGATGGCTGAATCCAATTCCCTGGCAGTGTGGAATGGATAGGTGGAGGAGGGAGATAGAAGAAAAGTAACAGGAATTAAAAAACAAACAAAAAACTTTCTGCTCTTCCACATCCTGTTGGTTGAGCCAGACACAGCAAAGAAAATTTAAAAATAAAAATAAAAAATAAAATGTGGTGGCGTTCTTTGTTTTTCTTTTCTTTTTGTCTTTAATAATCTTCGAAGATGTGGAGAATTGGAACCCAAGGTTAATTTCTGTTAATGTGGGGTCAGGTTTCTGTCTCCTAGCGATGATTTTGAATGAGCTATTAATCCTTTGTTTTATCCTCTTTCATCTAGTCTTTGTCATAGTCTTTTGCACTGGGTGGTGCAGAAGTTTATGGCGTACAAATGGAGTAGCACTAAAGGGAGTACTTTGGATCATGTATGCGAGTAAAGCGTATGAGAAAAGAAGGGGTGGCTGTTGGTGAGTAGCTAAAGAACAGCAACATTTTCAGGAAATGAAACCAAGACAGCACACATTTTAAGTATGCATTCTACCACCGAGCAACATTCTTGTGATAGCCAAGCTCTCTTGGAGATACATCTTGATATATCTGTGTCAGTATTTCTAATTTTCAAAACATAATGGTTGGCGGGAGAAAATCCACTGAGATAAATCCCACTATTTCTGAAATCACTAAACTGGATCTCGTTTAATCGCTATACCACGAGAAAGGTTACTGAATTGCAGACTAAATGACAATGCATCTGCTTCTAGGACATTCCCAGTCCAACCTGAAAAGGGTAGACAATTGCTGAAACATGTTTATATGAATATTGTTTTACTTGCACATAATTAACCTAGGGTGAATAAGTTTCTTTCTTTTGAACTGATAGAGCTTTGTTTTCTTTTGTTTTTCACATTGTGAGATTTGTCACAGACAATTGTCACAATTGTTTTGACCTAATTAAAGTGTGGAGCACATTACTGCTAATTATTTTCAATATTCACCTTTTTATTAAGAGCTAGAACAAGTCTTTATTGTGGATCGGAAGCTGATTGGGAAACTAGGAGCTAGTTTTAATGTAAGAAACATCATACATTTTTTATTATTAAAAATGTAGAACTTAAATTTAGGAAAGACAATATCAAAAAGAACTGCCAAATACAATTGTATTACATCAGGATACTAGATGTGTAATGTAAAAAAAGTTTTTTTTTGCTGTAAAAATTATTAGTTGATCAGGAATGGTGAGAAGGGAAAAAATTTATTAGGTTTCTTTGTTTTGTTTTGTTTTGTTTTGTTTTGTTTTGTTTTGTTTTGTTTGTGTGTGTGTGTGTGTGTGTGTGAGACGGAGTCTCGCTCTGTCGCCCAGGCTGGAGTGCAGTGGCTTGATCTCGGCTCACTGCAAGCTCCGCCTCCCGGGTTCATGCCATTCTCCTGCCTCAGCCTCCCGAGCAGCTGGGACTGCAGCTATTAGGATGCATTAACGAGGATTGAGAGTCAGCTGGAAAATGGATGTTGTCACACTGTCCGACAAATACAGTGTGAATTCAGCTCGCCGACGGCTGCCTCTGGACTGAGGAGCACTTCATTTGAGTTAGTATTGCGGGAGAAAATAGAAGTGTGGCAAACATAGCTCAATTGGAAGAGCTCTGGACTAAAGGTCTAGACTAAAATCAGGGATCCTTCTCCATGACTGAACAGTCCTCAATGTTGGAAGTTTGTGCTTTTTGCTGGTGGAGGAAAGTAGCTTTCATGCAGTTTGCTTGTGAATGGAGCTTGAAGCAGGCTAACAGGAACTGGAAAGTCCGAGGATAAGAAACTGCGTCATTTGGACTATAATCTTAGTGTCTTAGTATACTGTTATAAGTATATTAGGATACTGTTAGCTGCCAAACAGTATCCAGTTCAGTGATTTCACGAAAGTAGTGGAATTTAATCCAGCGATCTTTCTCCAACCAACAGAAAATGAAACCAACAAACTGAAAACAAGTGATATTTTATATATAAGCCAACAGAACTCTCATGCGGTCAGGGGGTGTAGCTCAGTGGTAGAGCGCGTGCTTCGCATGTACGAGGCCCCGGGTTCGACCCCCGGCTCCTCCAGTTGTCCATTTTCTTCATTCTCCTTTCTGGTTCTTTGCATGCGTTTGTCACTTTTTCTCCTACTCCTATAAAAAGAGGACAGTGTCAAATGTGTTGCTTTTAATACTATGCTATTTATTCTGGCACTCATCTGTGGCTTTTTATAAAACTTAGCTTGAGAAGAATGTCTTGCTAACGTGAGTGAAACAAGCAGACATTGAAAGGGGGACACAAATTACCCCACAAGGAGTTCTTCTTTATATTTTTTCCAGACGCAAATATCTTTTAAATTATGTTGATTAAGGTTAAAACTTTCTAGGCTTACATCAAAGCTGTGTGTGGGTCATGGCATCATTTCTAACTGTATGTAGATATCGACTTGTAGCCCAGCGTAAAAAAAAAAAAAAAAAAAAAAAAAAAAAAAAACCTAAATAGATAAATTTTCCATCAAGATCTCCTTGGCAGGAAGCACGAACCCTGCAATCTCATTACGGACCCATGCACTTTGAGTTCCGTTTGGCGGTATCGCTAAAGAGATAGACTAAAAAAGAATGGAAATAAGAAAAAATAGGCAGCTCAGAGAAAATTTTCCGTGCATCTCTGCTTTAGGGGCATTAGGTCGTCCAAGGATGAGGAGCAGAAAATCTTCCCACTGGTTGCCTTCCGCCTCTCTCCTCGGGGCTTCTCCACCAGCCGCCTCTGCCGCTGATAATTGAATTGTGAGCAGCAGAGGGGCTGGGCATTAGGTCCCAAGTTTTTCTGGGTGAGTTAGTGTGTAAAGGTTGTCTAAATGTAAGGTGGCACTCAGCGCTTTGCCTCGCGAACGCTTAAAACATCATTTGGGTGACTGAAAACAGCCAGCTCTCGTTCGCTGCAATAGCTTACAGCCTACAGCAAGCGATCTACCAACAGGTTTTAAAAGTTAGGTCTTGGCTGGGCACGCTGGTTCACGCCTGTAATCCCAGCACTTTGGGAGGCCTAGGTGGGTGGATCACCTCAGGTCAGGAGTTCAAGACCAGCCTGGCCAACATGGTGTAAACCTCTTCTCTACTATTAGCCGGGCGTGGTGGCCGGCGCCTGTAATCCCAGCTACTCGGGAGGCTGAGGCGGGAGAATCGCTTGAACCCGGGAGGCGGAGGTTGCGGTGAGCCGAGATCGCACCTCTCCAGCCTCGGCGACAGAGAGAGACTCCGTCTCAAAAAAAAAAAAAAGAAAAGAAAAAAAAGTTAGGTCTTGGGTTTTGGCAGCAGTTATTTTTATTGCATATTAAATCGACTTTCACAGGAAATGTACACAAAATATGTAATAGAAGACACCGAATAACTCCCCCCATTCCTCAAACCAAAACATCTAGCTGCAGTAAAAATCTCAGAAGCATTGCCAAATAGCGTATTTAAATTATTTGCCTTCTACATTTCCTCGATGAATTTCAGGGTTGTTTGTTCTTGAATCTTTAAATGAATTAATAATACTTCACATATCACTGTACCAAAGGCCCCAAAGGCAGGTGTGGCCAAAGGTGTGTGGATGAGGAATAGGACTAGATAAAGTTGCTTGAATTTCTAGAAAGAAACACTTGTTAAAGAGTAAGTAAAAACTATGGTATATCATTGTTCTGCACTTTCTTTTCCATACAAATCGTGTATTGGTGAATGTATCAAAATCGATACCAGTTTTCTTTGTCAAAGCTTTTGCATGCTACCTTTTGTATTAAAAAAGGATGTTTTAAATGTGAAGTTGAAATTCCAAATATAGCGTCAAATTTCCTTTGTTTGAAAAAACTAAGAGCGTGCTCCTCCTAGTTCCTTAAGGAGCAGGAGAGGGAGCAAGGATGAATCACTAGCTCAGTTATCTCTGAGACCCAAACCCAGGACAGAGGTTTTAACCAGCTAAGTCACAGAGTCCCCTGGCAGGGCTATCCCCATCAGGTATATTATGGTCATGCTGCTGTCTGAATTATTTCTGGGCAAAGAAAAAATGATAGACCTTCTTTCTCTTTGACCCTCATTTCATTGACTCCTGATTGGCCCGCAGAGTTGCCAAATCAGTGAAAAACAGCTTGGACCACCTTCCATTTTGCCAAGCATGGATTCTCAGGGCATCTTTTACCTCTTGCTGTTTATAACCCTACAGTATTTGGTGTGGAGCCCTCAACACATCTCTCAGGCAGCTATCAAGAACGATGAAAGACAAAACATCCCCATGAAGCAGTAGAACTCTGGCCATTGTAATCCATGAGGGAATCCATATTTTGGAGACCCCTTTCCAGGAAAAGGGAATAGCTAAGACCCACGACCTCAAAGCTTCACACACAAACAAGCCTGGCCAACGTTAACACACTTGGCTTCAGGTTGGAACTCCAGTGTGTTTCTCTTTCTCCAGGTAGTCTCCACCCTATCACAGATTTCCTACACCGTTGCACCAGAGCCCCTGAATTTTCACTGCTTCTGGCTGTCTGCACAATTAGAAATACTAGGAGGAGGGTACAAAAGAGCAGAACTCAGAAAGTTGTCTGGGGAAATCTAGATTCAGATGGAAGAAGAAAACAGGTCCCAAATGAAAACCTATGTGTGCTTTTCCGCGCTACCCACAGAGGGGTCCATAGGGCGTTGTTTTGGATTCCCGTTGTGACTTGAAGGGAAACTTTCACAATGTTCGGAGCCCTTGATGTACTGCAGATGAATGAGGAGGATGTCCTTAAGTTCCTTGCCGCAAGAACCCACTCAGGTGGCACCAATCTTTACTTCCAAATGGAACAGTACATTTATAAAAGTAAAAGCGATGGCATCTACATCATAAATCTGAAAAGGACCTGAGAGAAGCTTCTGCTGGCAGCTCGTGCCATTGCTGCCATTGAAAACCTTGCTGATGTCAGTGTTATATCCTCCAGGAATACTGGCCAGAGGGCAGTGCTGAAATTTGCTGCTGCCACTGGAGCCACTCCAATTGCTGGCTGCTTCACTCCTGGAACCTTCACTAGCCAGATCCAGGCAGCCTTCCGAGAGCCACGGCTTCCTGTGGTTACTGACCCCAGGGTTGACCACCAGCCTTTAATGGAGGCATCTTATGTTAACCTACCTACCATTGCTCTGTGTAACACAGATTCTCCTCTGTGCTATGTGGATATTGCCATTCCATGCAACAACAAAGGAGCTCACTCAGTGGGTGTGATGTGGTGGATGTTGGTCCCAGAAGTTCGGCGCATAAGTTGCACCATTTCCCGTGAACACCCGTGGGAGGTCATGACTGATCCCTGCTTCTACAGAGATCCCGAAGAGATTGAAAAAGAAAAGCAAGCTGCTGCTGAAAAGGCTGTGACCAACGAGGAATTTCAGGGTGAATGGACTGCACCAGCTCCTCAGTTCACTGCTACCCAGCCTGAGGTTGCAGACAGGTCTGAAGGCCTGCAGGTGCCGTCTGTGCCTATCCAGCAGTTACCTACTGAAGACTGGAGCGCTCAGCCTGACACAGAAGACTGATCTGCAGCTCAAACTGCTCAGGCCACTGAATGGGTAGAAGCAACCACTGAATGGTCTTAAGCTATTCTTGCACAGGCTCTTAGACAACATGGAAATAACATTGACGGGAAATAAACATCAGTTTCAAAAAAAAAAAAAAGGAGAGAGAGAGAGAAAGAAAGAACGAACGAAAGAAAGAAACAAAGAAAGAGTAAGAAAGAAAAGAAAAGAAAGAAAAAAGAAAAAAAAACCTAAGTGTATGCTGTCACAGTCACTGCTCTAGCAAACTCTTCAGTGGATCATCATGATCAGGAAACTCAGCAGTGGCTTCGTCTCAGGGACGCTGCAGTTCCGTTCCTGAGACCTACAAAGAAACACATAGGAGGCATTTAAGTTTAAGGGACTTAAACTTCTGTTACAACCTCTTTACTCTTACCCCGTGCTCCTGGAGAGATTCTGAAACCTCAACCATCACAATGGCACAAATAACAGACACTTTCCTCCTGTTGTTAAATTTTGGGGTGTCCAACTATGTCCACATAAATTTTAGGAGGTAATCCTAAACCATTGTGTCTTCTCTTACTTTTACCTTTCTCTCTAATATTTTTCCTATTTGTGCAAAATCTGTATCTTCCTGAATATGTGAATAAATTATGTATCAACTTCTTGGTTCCTTCCCAACTTTTGTCTCCTGTCCCCACCCCCGCTAGAATTAACGGAGTGAGGCTCAGTTGTGGCTGGAAAGTCACTGAGATGGGCGTTTAGAGGCAAGGCGCCATTTATAACATAGCCAACCAGAAACAACCTCCAATAAAGAGTCAAAAGGTTTTAGACTGGAATGCAGTGTTTCCTGAGCCTGAGGAACCGCCCTGAGAACTTCAATGGTATACCGGTTTGTAACTTACAGCTCCATAGTGGACCGATAATCACCGGATAGGGAGAAAGATGGGAATCTTCACAATTGAAAGGTCTCCCTCAGACGATTATCATTCAGGCTTGAGAACGCCAACCTAGAAAGTGGAGCTGCAGAAACTGTAGTGAGCTGAGCTGCTGGAGGACATTTAGGTAGGAGGAAGCCGTGGAACTGAATCAACGGGAATGGGAGAAAGTGGAAGTGAAGGTGACAAGAGGTGGTGAAGAAAACGAGTCGGGAGATAGGTGGAGGCAGGTGGTTGCAGAAGAGGAAGGGACGAAGGAGAGAGCTTCAAGCCAGATCTTTACGGAGGCCTAAGATTTGGATGGCCCTGAAATTGTCCGCATTGCCAATGTCTCCTAGGCTCCTCTATAATGTTTTGTTTTGAGACGGAATATCGCTCTATCGCCCAGGCTGCAGTGCAGTGGCGCAATCTCGAATCACTGCAACCTCTGCCTCCCGGGTTCAAGCGATTCTCTTGCCTCAGCCTCCCAAGTAGCTGGGATTACAGGCGAGCGCCACCGCGCCCAGCTAATTTTCCTGTTTGTAGTAGAGACAGGGTTTCCGCCATGATCTCGAGCTCCTGAACTCAGCTGATCCGCCTACCTCGGCCTCCCAATGTGCTGGGATTACAGGCATGAGCCACCGAGCCCGGCCCCTCGGCTCCTCTTTGGCTGTAGGAAACCAGGTCTTTCCCTCCCAAGGGAGGTGAACTACAAGCTTCTGTTCCACAGGAAAACATAACCCTTTTTGTCCAAAACTGACACCGCTTTGAGAGCGACCAGCGGCTTTTTCCATCTCTGAAAATAATTTTCTCAACTGTGTATTTTGAAAGTCTCGGAGTTTCGCCAGAAGCGTCTTTCGTTCGGAAAAAATTCTAAACATTCCTTCTTTAGAGAAAGCTGAGATCACAGCGCTCCCATGACTAATGATTGGACCCACTTTTGCCGCCCAACCAAGATTCTATGAGTGGTGGAAATGTAGGGGAGAATGAGGAAAGGTCTGTAGTCTGTCAGATATGGGTGGAGTGGGGGTGGGGGGGGGAGGAGAGAAATCTAATGGATGTTTTCCAAGGGCGATTTTTTTTTCTTCTCTTTCTGTTTTTTATTCCCCCCCGATTTCTTAATAGTAATGAGAAACGGCAGCAAAGGAGAACGAGTCTTTTTTTTTTTTTTTTTTTTTTTTGTGATGGAGTCTTGCTCAGTCGCCCAGGCTGGAGTGCAGTGGCGCGATCTCGGCTCACTGCAAGCTCAGCCTCCCGGGTTTATGCAATTCTCCTGTCTCAGCCTCTGGAGTAGCTGGGACTACAGGTGCCCGCCACCACGCCCGGCTAATTTTTTTTTTTTTTTGTATTTTTAGTAGAGATGGGGTTTCACCATGTTAGCCAGGATGGTCTAGGAGAACGAGTCTTCTATGACCGGCATGCCTGTTGCTTCACTCTCAGGGGATCTTGAATAAGCAGCTTCTCTATTTCAGTAAATAACTATAAAGCTGTGCTGAAGCAGTCAGGTTGGGAGGCTGAAGGAGTGTTAGGACCCATAGTACAAATGAATGAGTACCAAATGGCTTACCTTCGCTGTGAGTAGGAAAAACACAAGCTAGTGTATGCACAAAGAAAAAAGAAAAGACTGGAACTAAGTATTCAAAGACTGAAACGAAATGTTCAACGATAGATATAAGGAAATGTACTTGTGGAAGTGCTGGGGATCGAACCCAGAGCCTCATGAATGTTAAGCATACGCTCTACCACTGAGCTACACCCCCACTTACAATGCCGTTTTCTTACTGATTTATTATATGCTATTATCTAAAGGTGAGGGCTTAAGGCATGATAGGTTAAAGTCCGCTATGTTTTAACTCCTGTTTCTGAAACTTCTGAATGGAATCTTGTCTTGACGCTGTGTCAAGAGGAGAAAGGCATTCTGGACCGAAAGACCCTTGGATCCTCTCACAGCCGTCATCTATTTCAAGGACTGCTGTTAGCCAACTTTCTTTGTCAGTTTCCGTCCACCTGGAGCGAAGTTCCAAGATTGAATCTTCTGGTATGTCTTCAGATTCTCTCCTTTTTAAAAAAACCTCCTCTATGGAGCTGCCAACACACACACACACACACACACACGCGCGCGCGATAGTGCCAGAGAATATAAAGACGAGTTCTGTGAGTGCTGCAGAGGAAACGTAGATCCAGGTGAGGAGACAAGACAAGATGTTAATGCACAAAAGTCAACTAAAAACGAATTTAAATCTTAAACTTAAGCCCCTAAACTGTAAAATTCCTTGAAGAAAACAGGGGGGAATATTCTTGACATTGGTTTAGGCAATGGTTTCTTGAGTATGACACCAAAAGCACAGGCAACAAAAGCAAAAATGGATAAGCGAGACTATAGCAAACTAAAAAGCTTCTTCACAGGAAAGAAAACAATCAACAAAGGAAAAAGGCAAGCTATGGAATGGGAGAAAATATTTGCAAATCATTTATCTGATAAGGGGTTAATATACAAAATAAATTTTTTAAACCGCTACAAGTCAATAGCCACACACACACACACACACACACACACCCCTTAGAATCCCAAATAACCTGATTTTTAAAACGAGCATAGGACTTGAATAGACATGTCTCCAAAGAAGACATACAAATAGCCACTAGGTATGTGAAGAGGTGCTCTTAACATCACTAATCATCAAGGAAATGCAAATCAAAATCACAATAGATACCACCTCACACCTATTAGGATGTCTGTTATTAAAAAGAAAAAACTCAAAAGGTAAGTGTTAGCAAAGATGTAGAGAAATTGGAACCCTTCTACACTGT
This sequence comes from Homo sapiens, assembly GCF_000001405.40. Taxonomy (NCBI): domain Eukaryota; kingdom Metazoa; phylum Chordata; class Mammalia; order Primates; family Hominidae; genus Homo; species Homo sapiens. Next base: position 28,736,552 of record NC_000006.12, read on the forward strand.
TGGTGTGTAAAATGATGACACCACTATGGAAAATAGTAAGGGGTCGCCTCAAAAGATAAAAATAGAACTACCATATGATCCAGCAATCCCACTTCTGGGTATATGTCCCCAAAAAATCGAAATTAGAATTTCAAAGAAACATATGCACTCCCATGTTCACTGCAGCATTATTTACAATAACCAAGATAAGGGAACAATCCAAGTGTCCATTGAGAGATGAGTGGACAAAGAAAATGTGGTATATACATACAATGGAATATTATTCAGCCTTTTATAAAAAAGAAATTCTGCCATTTGCACCAGCATCAATGATTAACCTGGAGGACATTATGCTAAGTGAAATAAGCCAGTCACAGAAGGACAAATATTTCATAATTCCACTTATATGAGGTATCTAAAATAGTCAAACTCATAAATGCAGAGAACAGAATGGTGATTGTCAGGGACCAGAGGCAGAGGGAAATGGGGAGTTGTTGCTCGGTGAGTTAAAATTTTAGTTATGAAACATGAATAAGTTCTAGAGATCTATTGCACAACCTAGTGCCTTCAGTTAACAATACCATAATGTACACTTAAAATTTTGTTAAAAAGATAACTCGGCCGGGAGCGGTGGCTCACGCCTGTAATCTCAGCACTTTGGGAGGCCGAGGCGGGCGGATCACGAGGTCAGGAGATCGAGACCATCCTGGCTAACGCGGTGAAACCCCGTCTCTACTAAAAATGTTTTAAAAAATTAGCCGGGCGCGGTGGCGGGCGCCTGTAGTCCCAGCTACTCGAGAGGCTGAGGCAGGAGAATGGCGTGAACCCGGAAGTCGGAGGTTGCAGTGAGCCGAGATCGCACCACTGCACTCTAGCCTGGGCGACAGGCGAGACTCAGTCTCAAAATAAAAAAAAAAAAAAAAAAGATAACTCTGATGTTTAAGTCTTCTTACCACCCATGAACATGAAAGAACACAAAGAAACTTTTGGAGTTGATAAGTGTGTTTATTACCGATTGTGGAAATAGCATTATAAATGTATGCATATGTCCTCACTCATATGCTTACCTTCAACGTGTAGGGGTTTTGCATATATCAACTGTACTTCAATAAAGTTGTTAATAACTCCTGAAAAACAACCAAACAAGCAAAGACAAGAGGTTAATTCACAACATTGACAAAAACAAAGAGTGACAAAGGTAGCAGTTTTGCACAAGGTTGCGTCCAACATCTGGATTTGGAAATGTGGCAGCGGCTTCATCGGCGACTCTACAGCTATAGGTTTTTTTGTTTTTGATTTTTTATAGAGACGGGATGGGGGAAGGGGGCGGGTCGGTCTTCTCCCTGTGTTGCCCAGGCTGGTCTTGAATTCCTGGGCTTAAGCAATACTCCCGCCTCCGCCTCCAAAAGTGCTCGGATTACTGGTGTTTGCCGCCAAGCCTGACTAGCTCTGGTTTTAAAGACAACACAAACGAAGCCGAAGACAGAGGACTCTTTCAGAGCAAATTTTTTTGAGCAAGGAGGAAAGCACAAAGGAAGCTGGTCTCAACCTGAGAAAACCAATTCACCCTTTGTAAAACCCTCCCTACACCCCCACAAGTGAGAAAATTTCATCAGTCCCTGAAGTGCAGAAAGTAGACCCTTCCCATCTGTAGCCAAAATGTGGTGCGACTGTTTAATCCAGATACGAATTTTGGAGAACATTGTAAACCCAGCAGGGGCGTAAGGGAGAGTAGGGAGAAGTTTGTCCCTAATGTACAGGTTATGTTCTTACTATACTAGAAAGGCAAGTGGCTGGGAACTGAAATGAGCTGAGGAGTGGACGCAAGGGAAGGCTTTGAAAAGGAAGGAAGGGCTCTTGGAGCCGGGAGGGATAACACTGAGTGGAGGAGAGAAGAAGCAGCGGAGAAGAAGGCAGAAGAAAAATCGGGGACGCGTCTTTAAAGACGGATAGTATTGAGACAAGCGTGGAGGAAGAAAGCAGCCAAGCGCCGCGTCTCTGCCAAGCTTTCTCTAGGCCCTGGGGAAGAGAGAAGGCTCTAGGTGAGTGGTTTCAAAGTGTATATCCCACAGAAGGGTACGGCTCGTGTTGCCCAAGATTTTGTGACTCTGAGAGTGCCTCACTGCACTGCACTCTCCATCGCAGGAAACAGGCTGAGCATTTTCGAGGGCGTGTGGTTGAGTATTCGTGGAGCAGTAGCCCCTGGTATTGGAGGTTTGAGGAAAGTGACGTTGTGTCAGTTCTCATGTGGAAGCAGCCTGCAGCTTTGATGCAGGCAGCAACTGTTTAGTTTGTGTTTCTTTTTGTTTGTTTGTTTATTTTCGCGTGTTTGGGTTTAAAATACAAGAGAAAGAATGAGGAAGAAAGGTTAAGTAGTGACTGAACGTTTTGGGTTAGAGTAGATACCCACTAAAACCATCGTACTTCTGGCTAGCTCAGCTGGAAATGCATCAGGCCACTAGTCCGGAAATTTAGGAATCACGATCCTGTTCTGATGTAGATACTTTTCATTTTCCCATACTTCTTTTTGATTCATACTCAACAGGCTACTGAACCCAGCTTTCTCCTGGAGCAACCGGGAGGGTATTTGCGGTGCGTTTTGCTGCTTATATTCTCTCTAGTCTCAGCGGAAGAGACAAGATTTGAACGGGGAAAGTCGGATTTGCAGAGAGGTATTCATTCAAGGCTCTTTTCTGCCCTACTGTCAAGTGGATGAACAAAACGCTGACTTAAGATATGAGGAGGATTGCAGTGTTGAGAGTGCAAAAAGTGTCAAGTCAAAACATGGACATATTTTGCTCATAATGTAGATAAATTATTTTGGTAGACATAAATTTTATTATTATTATTATATTTATTTATTTTTTGAGACGGACTCTCGCTCTGTCGCCCAGGCTGGACTGCAGTGGCGCGATCGCGGCTCTCTGCAACTTCCGCCTACCGGGATCAAGCGATTGTCCTGCCTCAGCCTCCCGAGTAGCTGGGAGTACAGGCGCCCGCCACCACACCCGTTTAATTTTTGTATTTTTAGTAGAGACAGGGTTTCACCATATTATTCGGGCTGGTCTCGAACTCCTGACCCCAGGTGATCCGCCCGCCTCGGTCTCCCAAAGTGCTGGGATTACAGGCGTGAGCCACAGCACCCGGCCATAAATTTATTAATATAAAAAATTATTGGTCAGGAGCAGTGGCTTACACCTCAAATCCCAGCACTTTGGGAGACCAAAGCAGGAGGATCAATTGAGTTCAGGAGTTGGAGACCAGCCTGGCTAACATAGTGAGAGCCTGTCTCTACAAAAAAATAGAAAAATTAGCCAGGTATGGTGGTGCACACCTGTGGTCCCAGCTACACCAGAGGCCAAGGCAGGAGGATTGCCTGGGCCTAGGAGTTTGAGGTAGCAGTGAGCCATGCTTGCAGTGCCACTGCACTCCAGCCTGGGTGACAGGGCGAGACCTCAACTCAAAAAATAAATAAAATAAACTTTACTTAAAAAAAATTACTGAGGGGACAGCCAGAGTGGCTCACGCCTGTAATCCTAGCATTTTCGGAGACCAAGACAAGAGAACTGAGTCCAGGAGTTTGTGCTCAAGTAATAACAATACTATCAGCACTCAATCTTGGTATCTTAAAACTTGACATTTAAATGAAATTTTAATTTGAGTCAATTAAGAATAGAATATTCCACTTTTGCATAATTAACCATGAATTCACACAACAAATCAGAATTTATTTATTTCATTTTTATTATTATTATTTTTTGAGATGGTGTCTCACTCTGCCACCCAGGCTGGGGTGCCAGTGGCGTGATCTCAGTTCACTGCAACCTCCACCTCCCGGGTTCAAGTGATTCTCGTGTCTCAGCCTCCCTAGCAGCTGGGATTACAGGCGCACGCCACCAAACCCAGCTAATTCTTGTGTTTTTAGTAGAGATGGATTTCGCCATGTTGGCCAGGCTGGTCTTGACCTCCTGACCTGAGATGATCCGCCCATCTCGGCCTCCCAAAATGCTGGGATTACAGGCATGAGCCACCATGCCCGGGCCAAATTGGAATTTAGCACCCACATTTATCTTAACTCAGTAGTTCCTAAGTAAAAGAGATTTGTAAGGCCAGGCGCGGTGGCTCACGCCTGTAATCCCAGCACTTTGGGAAGCCGAGGCGGGCGGATCACGCAGGAGATCAAGAACATCCTAGCTAACATGGTGAAACCCCGTCTCTACTAAAATTACAAAAAAATTAGCCGGGCTTGGTGGCATGCGCCTGTAGTCCCAGCTACTCAGGAGGCTGAGGCAGGAGAATCGCTTGAATCCGGGAGGCGGAGTTTGCAGTGAGCCGAGATCGCAGTTCACACCACCGCACTCCAGCCTGAGCGATAGAGCGACACTCCGTCTCAAAAAATTAAATAAATAAATAAATAAATAAGTATTTGTTTGTATGTCAATCTAGGAACAATTCACAGCCGTCTCTACTTTGAACCACCCAAAAGGCTGATTTATGTGAATTTAATTTCACTTGACAATTAATTAAACTCCTCTGCATATCCTGCCTTTTGTTTTGTTTCTTGTTTTGTTTGTTTACTAAGAGACTGCAATCTGCTTGTAGTTCACCCCTGCTCAAGCAAGACATACATTCAGTTTTGTTTTTTCAGTTGTGAGTAAATACCTCTTTTCCTCAGCAATATGTGGGTCCTGTGAGTTTCTTAGAGGGCCCTGGCTCATTTTGCTGATAGGGTTGCCAAACTCTTAGTGTGATAATAGTGCATTCTTTGACCACTTTGTTTCTAAATTCTGGCCATCCTTCAAAACTATGAGCTCGAGCGAGTGTCCCAACCACATGAGTTCCAGGTTGTTGTAATTGAGCCTTTATCAGTACATTTTGATGAAAGCTTTTCCTATTAGGATTTGGATTTGTGACCTTCAGATTTTTGTGGAAATTTATTAACAATGTTTGACTCTCGAGTTTTGAGAGCCCAAAGAAAGTTTTTGATAGAAACTTTCTTTTCTTGGTGATATACTCTCCTTGATTGTGACTTCTTCCTCTTCTTCCTCTTTTTGTTCTTTTCTTTCTCCTTCACCTTCTCCTCCTCGTTCTCCTCCTTGTTTCTGCTTTTGTTAACCAAGGTCTGGAAAGATTTTACTTTTCTGTTTACTGTTTTATTTAAGCTTGTGTTGAGAGTAATAAGGAAATCGTAGAAATCAGAGAGAATGGCATAGGCCCTGTAAGTCACCATCATCTTTAATGCGGATGTTAACCAGTACAAGAACCCCGTTAGAGTTGCATTTGCTTTCTAGGGCAAGATCTTTGCTCTAAGTTTTTTTAAACACATGGCTGTCTATCTTTAAAAAAACAAATCATTTTTATTTTATAGAGTATAATTGTCGAACAGTCTTAGCTTTACAGAAAAATTTAGAAGATATTAGAGTTCCCATATACCCTGCACCCAATACCCCTACTATTATGATAGTCCTTACTATTAAGATGGTACTTTTCTGCCGCGCGCGATGACTCACGCCTGTAATCCCAGCACTTTGGGACGTCAAGGCGGGCAGATCACCTGAGGTCAGGAGTTCGAGACCAGCCTGGCCAATATGGTGAAACCCCTTCTCTACCAACAATACAAAAATCAGCCAGGCATGGTGGCGGGCACCTGTAATCCTAGCTACTCGGGAGGCTGAGGCAGGAGAATAGCTTGAACCCTGGAGGTGGAGATTGCAATGAGCAGAGATTGTGCCACTGCACTCCAGCCAGGGCGACAAAGTGAGACTCAAAAATAAATAAATAAATAAATAAAATGCCGGGCACGGTGGTTCACGCCTGTAATCCCAGCACTTTGGGAGGCCGAGGCGGGCGGATCACCTGAGGTCAGGAGTTTGAGACCAACCTGGCCAACATGATGAAACCTCGTCTCTACTAAAAAAACACAAAAATTAGCCGGGCGTGATGGCGGGCGCCTGTAATCCCAGCTACTCGGGAGGCTGAGGCAGGAGAATCGCTTTACCCGGAGAGGCGGAGTTTTCAGTGAGCCGAGATCGTGCCACTGCACTCCTGCCTGGGTGACAGAGCGAGACTCCGTCTCAAAAAAAAAAAAAAAAAAAAAAAAAAAAAAAAAAAAAGAAAAGGGTGATTTTGTGTTGTGTTTGTTAAATTCATGAAACAAGTAGGACAAGACCATAAATTGAAAAACCAAGCCCATTCCAAATTACGAATGCCTCCGGTAGTACCTATGCCAGGGACAAAGTGCACTTTAATAGTCAATACACAGGTTGCTTACCGGGTTCTTGTTTTTTTTGTCAATAGTCTTCTTTCATTTCAAGTTCCCAAAGTCTTGGGAACAAGCCGGTTTTTTTTTTTTTAACTGGCTTGCAGAAAGCTCAAGGAGATGTGCAGAAAGTAAAGATATTTCCTGACAATAGTAAGAACACGACCACGAAGGGACTCGAACCCTCAATCTTCTGATCCGGAATCAGACGCCTTATCCATTAGGCCACGCGGCCGCACGCGGGTGCTAATTTGCACACATCAAGACTGAAGTGTAGTGAGGAAACGTTGAGTTTCTGTTTTCAAACCTTTAACTTCGTAATTAGAGATTTAACAACTTGAAGGGGGGCGGGGAGAGGCGGGGGAGGAGGTGGGCAGAAGGAATAAAACTCCATCTAAAATTCCTAATAGCAATTCCTTAGAATTATAAACTGCGAGATGATCAGAAGTGACATCTTTGCCTTCTTTGAAGGCTCTCTTCTCTAAGTTACTAATAATGATAATGCACGTTCGGGTACAGAAATATGAGCCAAGAACTCAAGTCTGCAATGAAGGAGTGGACATGACAGCGTAAGAGGGAGCATCATTGTTTGATCTATTTTAACCTTTTCCGTCTCAAAGATACGATGGTGCTTCCTCCAGGAAGAAAAGCCTGTAAGCTCAAACAAGAGCTCCCCTGGAACAGAAGACACTGGAGACCGTAAGAGGTGGGAGGTTGGAAGGGGGAAAAGGATAGAAAAACTGCCTGTTGGGTATTATGCTCACCACATGGGTGACGGGTTCAATCGTACTCCAGACATCAGCAACACGCAATACACCCTTGTCCCAAACCTGCACTGTACTCCCTGAATCTAAAATAAAAGTTGAAATTAAAAAAAAAAAAAAAGCTCCCCCTTGTCAGAAAAGCCCCAAGTATTTTGCCTAAAGGTTGATTGCTCTAAGCTCACCTTTGGATTGATCCAGAAAACAGTCTGGGGCGATTTTTTGTTACCCTTTCCCCAGCTATGTCCCCTATGTTGATAGGGTAGGAAAGATTAAAAAAAAAAACAACAACCAAGTTTGTAAAGTAAACCAATCACAGATTCCCTCAGTTTTCGCATCGTCTTGGCTTCATGGAAATGACGAGTTACTGGGAAGAAACTATTTCATTTTTCCAGTGCCCAGTCCTATCTCCTTTCCCCAGAGAGATGCATCTCTCAGCCCTAAACTTTTCCTGGATCCCTTGTACACCATTTTCTCCAGGTTTCTCCAGTCAAAACTCAAGAATTGTTTTAGGCCATATTTTGGATGGTGTATCCTATGTACACTAATTTATTAAGTAATGACCCATGTTTGAGACCACGGAACGCTAGTTCTGGGGCCGGACTAGATGAGTCTGGGTAGACAAAAGAAAGGTCTTCTGCTGTTCCCTATGAAACTGATTTAGTTAAGTCCCTTTCTTTCTCAGAAAGCGTCCTATGAGGAGCATTAGATTGAATAAGGGTTTCTGGTGTGATCCAGTTTGGGGAGGCTACTTGCTCTAGTCAGTGCTGAAGAATCCATCTCCATTTTGGGCAAGATGCACTACCATGACTTATGTTTCAACAGACTCAAACTTATTCACATGTTTTGAAATTGTTCTCAGTTTTGCTTCCTCACCTTCTCACTAGTGGATTTTGTGCCCAAAGAATAGCAATCCAAAATCTCAAAATCTAACAAATTTAAATAAAAGGGCATTTTTTGTTCAGTCTGGAGGAGGAAAAGTTAACTGGCAGACGTAGGCAGCAGATAGTAAAGTTGGCACAGTTAGTAAGGTTGGTAGACTGAGCCAAACCATCGAAATCTATTTATTTATTGTTATATTTATTTATTTATTTATTTATTCCTGCTGTTTGCAGAGCAGGGGTACCCTATAGAAAGTGTGTCCAAAGTAGCCTGAAATTTCTTTCTTCAGGAAGATGCTAAAAAGGATTGGCACTGAGATTTGAAAGAATAATGCTAAGAAACTATTAAATTGTATGAAATGTTTGTTTATACCAGTGATACCATTTCCTTTCCAAAGCCTTTCAGTGTTTTCTCTGATGCCTTTTGATTTTTATCTGATGGGTTCCAGGCAAGATTCCTTTAAAATGTTTAAATATTTCTAACAAAAGTATTTTGGGAGGAATCCAAGAGAGATTTGAAAGTATGACATTCTTAATCTCTCTATAACAATCTGTCTAGATAATTTCACTGAAGAAATGAATGGAGGAGGGTGTCTGTAGATAAAGGTTTCTATAATTGAGATTTGAAAAAAATAGAATTTATTTATTTGTTTAGATGAAACCAGACAACTTTCCAAGCCCTGAATCAAATTGGGGGATGTATTGCACCTTTAGACAAAGAATCTCCCAATGTAGCTACTTTAGCCATTTTACAAAAACCCATAATGCATGACCCTAATAATGTTCTTAACTTTAGAATTTGGAAAACTCAGCATTTCCTGTGAGGTGTGATCCAGTGTACAACAAACGTTCACTCACACACACAGAAAGAACTAAGATTTGCAGCACTTATGGTCTGGTTATTGACCTGACGTGTGTGTGTGTGTGTGTGTGTGTGTGTGTGTGTGTGTGTGTATGTGTGTGTGTGTTGGGGATGGGGGCTACTGTGAAAGGAAAGGATAAAGAAAACTCAGCCAAGTAAAGATTTTCTACTCACATATCTATTTACCATTCTTTTGTCTATATGTCTTTTAAAAGAAGACATACAAATGGCAAATATATGAAAAGGTGCTCAACACCATTGATCATCAAATAAATGCAAATCAAAACTAAAATGAAATGTTATCTCACCCAAGTTAAAATGACTTTCATCCAAAAGACAGGCAAGGACGTGGAGAAAGGAGAACCCTAGTACACTCTTGGTGGGAATTTAAATTAGTACAACCGCTTTGGAGAATAGTATGGAGGTTCCTCAGAAAACTAAAAATATTACCATATATTCCAGCAATCCCCCTATTAGGCCTATACCCAAAAGAAAGGAAATTAGTATATCGAAAAGATATCTACACTGTCATCTTTATTGCAGCACTATTCACAATAGCCAAGATTGGGAAGCATCCTAAGTACCCATCAACAGATAAATGAATAAAGTAAATGTGGTACGTATACACAACGGGGTACTATTCGGCCATGAAAAGAATGAGGTCTTGTCATTTGCAAAGCGGATGGAACTATGTTCTGTGCGGGAAATGCGAGAGGGGAGAAGAAAAGACACACACACAATACCTTTAAGGGTAAATAACCTTTATCCCACGTAAACGGCAATGCAGATATAATAAACAAATGATACAATAAGCAAATTGCAATGGGAAGGGGAGAAGGGAAAAGATATATATATATATATATATACACACACTCACCAAATATATATATATATATATAAATATATATATTTATATATATGTACACTCACAAGACTATGAAGGATTCATCACCACACCGGGAAGCAACAGCCCCGGCTCCAGAGTCGGCCACTCGTCCATGCACAGAGAAGGAGAGGTCTCATGAAGCTCACGAGAGCCCTTCGCGACTGAGCTCAAGGAACAAGAAAAGGTCAACTTGTTTTTGCGATTGTCTGTTGTTTTTCAATAACTAACGTATAGGAATAGATTGAAATAGAGATTTCTCCAAAACAGCACTGGATGAACACCTCAAGGGGTTCATACAACCTGTTCAGGATTTGGTGACCATTGTTTGTGTCCACGTTCAATTGAGTTCAAATTTAATACGTAACTTTTCCTCCACAAACTAGAGGACATTAAGTTAAGCTATACACAGAAAGTAAAACTTCACATATTCTCTCTCATTTGTGGAAGCCAAAAATAAAACAATTGAACTCATGGAGACAGAGAGTAGAATGATGGTTACCAGATGCTGGGAAGGGTATTGGAGGGGGCAGTGAGATGGTTAATGGATACAAAAATATAGTTAGCATGAATAAGATCTATCATTTGATAGCACAACAGGGTGATTATAGTCAACAAAAATGTATTGTACATTTAAAAATAACTTAAAGATTATAACTGGAATGTCTGTAACAAAGAAATGATAAGGTGTTGAGGCGATGGATGAGGTGATGGATGCTTCGTTTATCCCAATATGATTATTACACATTGTATGCCTGCATCAAAATATCCCATGTATCATATATATACATATATATACTATGCAGCAGTAAAAATTAAAAATTAAAAAAAAGATCCATAGACGAAGAAAAAATATCTTCAAAAATAAAACAAGAAAAAAACAAAGAAAAGATCCATTATTAATTACTGCCTTTGTCTGTCTGTGTTTGGAGAACGAATATCTGGCAGAAAAATGCTTGCTGTGTTTAACATCACTATTTCTAAAACCTTTAGACTGTGACCAGCAAAAGCGGCACTAAATACTAAACCAAAAGACACTGTTACACGCGGTTTTCCTCTCTGGCCAGCCAGACCGCCGGTCTGAGGTCCACTTGCCAAAGTGATGCCTGGCTGGCAGTTTCATCCACCAACAGAAAGGGGTCCATTATGGAATGTTCTCTTGCATCTTCAAATTCTTCCTCCTTCGTCTCTCTTACCCTCTGCCTACAAAGGCTTCAAGAAAGAGATGCAAGACAATACTGAGGGATACGAACAAAAGTAGCTCCACAGTTGCCTCGAGAAGTTTAGGTTGCAGGTAATTGGCGAGAATGAAACCCTCTGTATCTAGCAACTCCGCAGTGCTTTGTGTAGAAGACGCTCCATCTCAGGTTACGAAAATCTACAGAAAGGAAATGTTTAAAAAGAGAAAAGGAAAATATTCCTAGGGATTATAATGTCTCTCTTAAGCAGGGTCTTCGAAAAGAGGATAATTCAAGTAATATGATTTACAAATTGCAACATGAAACAAAATGAACTGAACAAATGGAGAAATCTAGATTACATACTCCGTGGGTTGCGTCTACCCAGGGCCTGGATAGCTCAGTTGGTAGAACATCAGACTTTTAATCTGACGGTGCAGGGTTCAAGTCCCTGTTCAGGCGAAATATTTGTGTGTTTTACTCTAGCTCCGGAGTCCCCAACCTCCAGTAAACGTAACCGCGTATCAGGCAGCGCGGCAGGCGAGCCAGAGAAGTTTCATCTGTCCTTATACAGCAACTCCCCAACGCTCCTGCGACCGCCTGAGCTACTCTTCCTCCCAGATAAGCGGGGGCGTCAGATTCTCACAGAAGTCCAAACCCTATTGTGAACTGCGTATGAAAGGGATCTAGATTGTGGGCTCCTTATGAGAATCTAATGCTTGATAATCCGTCACTGTTTTCCATCAGTGCCAGATGGGACTGTCTAGTTGCAGGAAAACAAACTCAAGGCTTCCAGTGATTCTACATTATGGTGAGTTGGATACTTATTTCATTATATATTACAATATAATAACAATATTAAAAAAGTGCACAATAAATCTAATGTGCTTGAATCATCCCAAAATCATCCCCCCCAACCCCTGCTCCCTCATCCATGGAAAAAACTGTCTTTCATGAAACGGTCTCTGGTGCCAAAAAGGTGGGGAACTGCCGCCCAAGATAGTTTATACCAATTAAGCACAGGAAGAAGTTCAGATACTTGTTTGTACAGTGACTAAAACTTTGCTACTTTATGCTTTACAAATGTGGAATGATTTACATCATGAAATTACCAGCCCTAAGGGATTGCCTTAGTGAAGTTGTTTTCCAAACACCAGAATACAGAAATCTAAACTATTTTAGAGACTGTTGACCTGGAGATTTGCATTTTTACATATTTTTTAGAGAATCTCCTTCAACGGTTAACTGAAAACAAAATCAATCAAAATTTCTAAACTCTAAAAACAGAGAAAGAGATATTGAAAGCAAGAAAAGAGACAAAACACCTTACCTACAGAGAAAACCAATTTGCATAACAGTGGGTATCTTATCAGAAATCACAGAAGTCAGAAAGAGTGGCACAACAGTTTTCAAGGACCGAAAGAAAAGAATTGTTAATTCTGAATTCTATATCCACAGAAAATATCCTTTAGAACTGAAGAAGAAATCAAGACATTTTCAGAGCAAAGAAAACTAAGATAATTAGCTTCTAGCAGAATTATCCTTTAAAAAATAGTTAAATTTCTCCAGATGGAAAGAAATGATAAAAGAAGAAATAATTGACACCAGGAAAGAAGAAAGAACATGGTAAGCAAAAAAAAAAAAGGTAAAAACAATACATTTTCCTTTTCCTCTTGAGCTTTCTAAATTATGTTTAACAGTTGAAGCAAAAAGTGTAACATGACCGGGCACGGTGGCTCAGGCATGTAATCCTACCACTTTGGGAGGCCAAGGTGGGCAGATCATGAGATGAGGAGATCAAGACCAGCCTGACTAACATGGTGAAACCCCGTCTCTACTAAAAATACAAAAAATTAGCTGGGCATGGTGGCACACACCTGTAGTCCCAGCTACTCGAGAGGCTGAGGAGGGAGAATCACTTGAACCAGGGAAACGGAGGTTGCAGCGAGCCAAGATCACGCCACTACACTCAGGCCTGGGCAACAGAGTGAGACAATGTCTCAAAAAAAAAAAAAAAAAAAAGAAAGAAAGAAAAAAGTATAACATGGTTCGATGTGGTTCGAAATGTATGTAGAAGAAATAATTTAAGACAATTATATTACAAGTAGGAGAGGCAAAGTGACAAAAAGGTAAAGATGACACACATCACTTTAACTGATAAAATAATGATACCAGTACACAGTGATAAATTAAATAAATATGTAATACTCAGACAAATCACTAAAAGAGTTATATAAAGAGATCATTTAAAAACACTACAGATAGGCTGGGCACAGTGGCTCACACCTGTAATGCCAGCACTTTGGGAGGCTGAGGGGGATCACCTGTGGTCAGGAATTCGAGACCAGCCTGGCCAACATGGTGAAACCCTGTCTCTACTAAAACTACAAAAATTAGCTGGGCATGGTGGCGCATGCCTGTAATCCCAGCTACTTGGGAGGCTGAGGCAGGAGAAAAAAAAAATCAAAAAAACAAAACCACACACACACAAAAACGCTACAGATAAATGACAATGAAATTCTAAAAAAGTATACTAGTAGTCCACAAAGAAGGCTTTAATAAATAAATACATACATACATACATATCCCCAGAAAATGGCAGTAACAGGGTACAAATAGAAAACAAACTGCTAGATTTCAGCCCTAACATATCAATAATTACATTAAATGTAAATGGTCGAAAGGTACCAATTAAAAGACAGAGATTAACAGAGTAGATTAGAAAATATAATCCAACTACATGCTGTCTACAAGAAACTTATTTCAAATATAATTATACATACAGGTTGAAATTAAGCATATAAAAATATATAACATTCAAATGTTAATTAAAAGAAAGCAAAAGTGAGTATATTAATATAATATGAACTTTATTTATTTATCTTTTTTCTTTGAGATGGAGTTTCACTCTTGTCACTCAGACTGGAGTGCAATGGCGCGATCTCTGCTCACTGCAACCTCTGCCTCCAGGGTTCCAGTGATTCTCTTGCCTCAGCCTCCCAAGCAGCTGGAATTACAGGCACGTACCACCATGACTGGCTAATTTTTGTATTTTTAGTAGAGATGGGGTTTCACTATGTTGGTCAGGCTGGTCTCAAACTCCTGACCTCAGGTGATCTACCCACCTCAGCATCCCACGGTGCTGGGATTACAGGCGTGAGCTACCACGTCTGGCCTAATATAAGCTTTAGAACAAAGAAAAATTTTAAAAATCCACCAAGAAGGCATAACAATCCTAAATATGTATAAACCAAACAGAGTTGAAAATATGTAAAGAAAAAAAGAATTTTTAAAAAATAGACAAATCCACAATTACATTAGAGACTTCAACACTTCTCTCATAATAATCGATAGAACAACTAAACAGAAAATCAGCAAGGATGTTGAAGAACTCAAAATCATCTTCAGCTAACAGAATTCAGTCAACATTTAAAGAAGACTCCACACAAGAAAAGCAGAACACACAGAACACAGGTCAAGATGGAACATATTCTGGGCCATAAAACAAACCTCAAATTTAAAAGAATTAACTCACACAGTATGATCCCTGACCACAATGAAATCAAACTAAAAGTCAATCACAGAAAGACAACAGAAGAACATCCAAACACTTGGAAAATGAACAACACACTACTAAATAGTACACAGGACAAAGAGAAAGACTTAGTAGATATCAAAAAATAAATTAACCTGAATAAAAATGAAAGCACAATATACCAAAATTTTCAAGACAACCTAAAAAAACACTGAGAGAGAAATGTATACCACTAACTGCATACATTAGAAAAAGAAAAAAGTCTCAAGTCAGTCATCTAAACTTTTATTTGAAGAACCCAGGTGGGGAAAAAAGCAAAATAAACCCAAAGCAAATAGACAAAAGATAACAATAAAAATAAGAACAAAATTCAGTGAAACGGAACACAAACAAAAAAAGAAAAACAAACAAAAAGCTAGTTCCTTTAGATCAATAAAAGAAGACCTCTAGTAAGACAGAAATTTTAGGAAGAGAGATGACACAAATTACCAATATCAGGAATAAAAAGAGGATATCACTGTAGACTCTGCTGACATCAAAAGGATATGTTTTTGGATGATTTCCTTTAAAAAATTTAGCCGGGCTCGGTGGCTCACACCTGTAATCCCAGCATTTAAAAAATAACTAGCCATGCATGGTGGCGGGTGCCTGTAATCCCAGCTACTCGGGAGACAGGTAGGAGAATCGCTTGAACCGGGAGGTGGAGGGTGCAATGGGCCGAGATAGCACCATTTCACTCCAGCCTGGGCAACAAGAGCGAAACTCCGTCGCAGACTTTTTCTCCCCCTTGTAAGGTCGGAGCGTTCCCACTCAGGAAACAACATTTCTCTACTCTAGGTTTATCTGGCCTCGCATCTCTCCCCAGCTGGGCCCAGCCTCAGCCTATGCTGCAGAAATGTTTAAAGTCAAGCATGTAGAGAAGGAAAAAAAAAAAGGAAAGTGATGTGGAAATTAAAATAGCAGCTGCATAGGAATCTCAACATAGTGCTTAAAATGTGCATAAACGAGACTAGGAGTGCCCTGCGCTTTTGTGAAAACTTCATTTAGAAATAAATGAGAAAGAAGGTGGAGAGGAGCCGAGAACCAGCAGGTGGGGAAAGGGAAGAGGCAGGCTAGAGTTAAAAAATGAAGGAGGAAAAGCATCCTCAAGATTATTCAGAATATATATATATATAATATACATAGTATATACTAATAATATATAAGGATATATTATATCCTAATAATATAAGTAAATAATAATATATAACTTGTTAAATAATCATATAAATAAATATATTTTATAATTATGTTATTTATTATATAATATTAACATAACATATTATCAATATAATATTTTATATAACATATGTAGTATGATATATCCTAATATATAAAAATAATATTAGGATAAGGGAATACTATTGTGGTGGTAAACTGAGGAACGGAAAGACTGATACAGGAGAACAGGAGGATATTTATTTTAAGGTAAGCAGCCACTGAGTGGATTCACATCCAAAAAGTTGAGCACTGGCCGGGCCTGGTGGCTCACGCCCATAATCCCAGCACTTTGAGAGGCCAAGGCTGGCAGATTACCTGAGGTCAGGAGTTCGAGACCAGCCTGGCCAACGTGGTGAAACCCCGTCTCTACTAAAAATACAAAAATTAGCCAGGCGTGGTTGCACATGCTTGTAATCCCAGCTACTCGGGAGGCTGAGGCAGAATTGCTTGAGCCCAGGAGGCGGAGGTGACATTGAGCCAATATCGTGCCACTGCACTCCAGCCTGGCCGACAGAGCAAGACTCTGTCTCAAAACAAAACAAACAAACAAAAAATGCTGAGCGTTGAACAAAGACAGAGCAGGAGTTTTTATAAGCAAAACAAAGGCAGTTAATCATACAGTGCTTAATTTGTGGCCTTGCAGCTGCGTCAAAAGAAAAACAAGAACTGACTAAATACAGACATTTGTAAAAACAGTTATGCTTAAGAAGCCAGGGAAAGGAGTAACAGTATAGGAATTTGCCTTTCCTTTTTTTCCCTTCAACCTTGTTCTTGGGTGGGGTGGGAGAAGGGCGTGTCTGGAAGCCGTTCCTTTGGCCTTGGCTTTTCGGAAAGTGTTATCTTGTAACTGTCCTTGAAGTGAGCTGCTAGGCAAACGAAAACTTGTTTCTTTTCTTTTTAACCCTTTCCTGTTACTTTTCTTGGAGTGAATGAATGCATATTTATTTTTAAATTTCTGCCTTACTATGAATAACTCTTTACACACAAACTTGACAATTTAGATGAGATAGACTAATTCCTTGAAAAACACAAATTAACACAACTAACTCAATATGTAATACATTTTTTATAACCCTGTAACTATTAAGGGAATTAAATTTGTAACATAATTTAAAAAAAAAATCAAGAATCTGGCCGGGCGTGGTGGCTCATGGCTGTAATCCCAGCACTTTGGGAGGCCAAGGCGGGCTGATCACCTGAGGTCAGAAGTTCGAGACCAGCCTGGCTAACATGCTGAAACCCCGTCTCTACTAAAGATACAAAAATTAGCCGGATGTGGTGGCAGGCACCTGTAATCCCAGCTACTTGGGAGGCTGAGGCAGGAGAATCGTTTGAACCTGGGAGGCAGAGGTTGCAGTGAGCCAAGATCG
The DNA here is from genome assembly GCF_000001405.40 of Homo sapiens. Classification (NCBI taxonomy): domain Eukaryota; kingdom Metazoa; phylum Chordata; class Mammalia; order Primates; family Hominidae; genus Homo; species Homo sapiens. Next base: position 28,753,520 of record NC_000006.12, read on the forward strand.
CACCATTGCACTCCAGCCTGGAGGCCAAGAGCAAGACTTCGTTTAAAAAAAAAAAATCAGGAATCTTCGAATCCAAGAAAATTTCACTGAAGAATTCTAAGAAGTTCTTAAGGAGGCCAGGGGCGGTGGCTCATGCCTGTAATCCCAGCACTTTGGGAGGCCGAGGTGGGCGAATCATGAGGTCAGAAGACCGAGACCATCCTGGCTAACACGGTGAAACCCCGTCTCTACTGAAAAAACAAAAAATTAGCTGGGCGTGGTGGCAGGGAGCCTGTAGTCCCAACTACTCGCTGGAGAATGGCGTGAACCCGGGAGGCGGAGCTTGCAGTGACACTCCAACCTGGGCGACAGAGCGCGACTCCGTCTCAAAAAAAAAAAAAAATGGTTAAAGAATTAAAACAAGGTCTACACAATCTATTCTGAAAAAAACAGAAGAGGACAAAAAACTTTCCATTTATTTATGAAGTTAATAGTATCCTGATGCTAAAACCAGGTAAATACAGTACAAAATAATGAGTATTGGTGCATAAATACTTACCAAAATATTATCAAATAGAATTCAGGAATATATAAGAAGCATTATACACCATGATCAAGTGGGGTTTATTCCAGAGACGTAAGACTAGGTAAATTTAGAAACAATCACTGCAATCCACCATATTAACAGGCTAAAAAATAAAATCACGTGATCATATCACAGTAGAAAAAGAATTTGTCAAACTTCAATAGCTACTCATGACAAAAAGTCTCAGAAAAATAGGAATAGAGAACAGCTAACACTGTACATCACGGTAAAAGACAGAATGTGTATTAGTCCGTTTTCACACTGCTATGAAGACACTACCTGAGACTGGGTAATTTTTTTTTTTTTTTAAGATGGAGTCTTGCTCTGTCGCCCAGGCTGGAGGGCAGTGGCCTCCTCTCGGCTCATTTCAACCTCCGCCTCCTGGGTTCAAGCAATTCTTCTGCCTCAGTCTCCCGAGTGGCTGGGACTACAGGCGCAGGCCACCATGCCCGGCTAATTTTTGTATTTTTAGTAGAGACAGGGTTTCACCGTATTGGTCAGGCTGGTCTGGAACTCCTGAACTCATGATCCGCCCGCCTCTGCCTCCCAAAGTGCTGGGATTCCCGGCGTGAGCCACTGTGTCTGGGTAATTGATAAAGGAAATAGGTTTAATTGAGTCACATAGCTGAGGAGGCTTCGGGAAACTTACAATCATGGCGGAAGGGAAATGGGAAGCAAGGACCTTCTTTACATGACAGCAGAAGAAAGAAGTATGAGCAAAAGAGGAACTTGCCAAACACTTATGAAACCATCAGATCTCATGAGAACTCACTCACTATCACCAGAACAGCATGGGGGAAGCCACCCCCATGATCCAACTACCTCCCACCAGGTTTCTCCCACAAAGTCAAAGGAATTAGAATAATTATTTAAAATCTAGGAGGGAAAAACAGTCTACCTGATTTCAAGACTATTTCATTACATTGTTGTATTCTTGTATTATTGTATTATTACTACAGTAATTAAGACTGTATAGTATTGGCAAGGAGATAGGCACGTGGTTAATAGAGAGAATGGAAAAATAAACCTACACAAATATTCTCAACTGGTTTTTGACAAAGTTGCCTAAGTAGTAATTCCATGGAAGAAAAATAAGTCTCATGCCTTCACAAAAGTGAACTTAAAATGGATCGCAGATATGAATATAAAATGTAAAACTATAAAACTTTGAGGAAAATATATGGAAGATAATATTTCCAATCTAGGGCTAGACAAATAATTTTACAGTTGACAGTGAAACATGATCCAGAGATCTTGTAAAAGCTGGTTCTTTTTTCCTCCTTTCCTCTCCTGCTATGTCAGTTGCTTTGGCTGGTACAGAGGCTGACCAAATAGAAATAGAAATAAGAGAGCAGTAAAGGCAATGAATTGGGTCATGTTTTTACTTTTTATGTGACAAAGAAATGACAGAATTGGTGGCCAGGTGCAGTGGCTCATGCCTGTAATCCCAGCACTTTGGGAGGCCAAGGAGGGCAGATCACCTGAGGTCAGGAATTCAAGACCAGCCTGGTCAACATGGTGAAACCCCACCTCTACTAAAAATTAGCTGGGCATGGTGACGCGCACCTGAAATCCCAGCTACTTGGGAGGCTGAGTCAGGAGAATCACCTGAACCCAGGAGGCAGAGGCTGCAGTGAGCCAAGATCACGCCACTGCGCTCCAGCCTGGGTGATAGAGTGAGACCCTGTCTCAAAAAAAAAAGAAAAGAAAAGAAAAGAAAGAAATGAGAGAAAAGGAAAGAAAAGGAGAAAGAGAGAAAGAAAGAAAGAAAAAGAAAGAAAGAAAGAAAGAAAGAAAGAAAGAAAGAAAGAAAGAAAGAAAGAAAAGAAAGAAAGGAAAAAGAGAAAGAAAGAGAAGGGAGGGTAGAATGATAAGAAAGGAAAGAAATAAAGAAAATTGGCTCAAAAGAGTCTCCTGGCTGACAAGAACTCTGGTGAGTTCTTCTACAGGAAAATCAGTCTCTTGTGTGTGACTACCAAAATCATCTAAAATGTTGACGGTGTCAAAGAGATAATAAATGCATCCCCACCCCTGATGTAAGGCAAATACAAACCTCACTGGCTTTCCTAGGTGGTTTGAGTTTTTGATTGAGAATAGGCAGGGAACCCCGGGAACAGCTCTTCCTCCTCAGCAGGCGCCTGGCCCTGGACCACCTTCTTAAACCTCTAGAACAGTGCTTCTCAAACTTTAGCATCAGCGGCTGGGCGGGTGGCTCACTCCAGTAATCCCAGCACTTTGGGAGGCCGAGGCGGGCGGATCACGGGGTCAAGAGTTCGAGACAAGCCTGACCAACATAGTGAAACCCCGTCTCGACTAAAAATACAAAAATTAGCTGGGCATAGCGGCGCGCGCCTGTAATCCCAGCTACTTGGGAGGTTGGGGCAGAAGAATCGCTTGAACCCGGGAGGCAGAGATTGCAGTGAGCCGAGGTTGCACCACTGCATTCCAGCCTGGGCGAGAGGGCGAGACTCCGTCTCAAAAAACAAAACAAAACAACTTTAACATCAGAGTCACTTGAGGGCTTATTCAAACACAGGCGGCTGGACGCCACCCTCAGCAATTCTGACTCAATAGATCTGAGGTTGGGCCTGGAATTTGGCATTCCTCTTGTAGCACCCTGATCCCTCACCCCTTATTCTCCTGTGCAGTGTCCACTGTGACTAACATGCCACTATTTGCTTAAAGTGCCTGGAGAGAACCAGTGGATAGAAGGGAAAACAAGTATGAAACGAAAAGAAAATGTCTGCATTACCTTCCTTCAAACAAAAAAAAAAAATGTATCTTATAACGAACATATGGTTTGTCCCTGGGGCACACAACCAGTCTTCAGCTAAGCAGGTTTCACTAGACAATATCTCTCCTGTAGGCTGGTTATGGATATTTTCACTGAACAAAAGAATCGAGAAGTAAGGACAGCCTACCCTGACAGAGTGTTAGACTGGTGGACTGATGACAAACATCGTACTCTGTTGCCTCTCAAAGACACTTTTGATTCAACGGCAAACATATACACAGAGGACAGCAGTTTTGAAACATGCAGCATTGGAAACCCCTAAAAGGTGTCATCAGTAGATAGGATTTCCTGGAGTTCCCTCGTCATACAAAGCAGATGTGATAGGATTGACAAAGAAAAAAGAATTTTTTTTTTTTAATTAGAAGTGCCAACACACCTGCAATTTACTCACCTTTACTTTGCATCTATTTTCCATTGTGGCAGAAAAGCTTTCTCTACTTTTTCATATGGGGCCTCTGTTTGCTGTTAACAGAGGTTTCCAGGCAATGTTTTATGTTATGTTATATTTTATTTTATTTTGAGACGGAGGTTCTCTCTTGCTGCCCAGGTTGGAGTGCAATGGTGGGATCTCAGCAAACTGCAACCTCCGCCTCCCGGGTTCAAACGATTCTCCTGACTCAGCCTTTTGAGTAGCTGGGATTACAGGCGTGCGTCACCACGCCCGGCTAATTTTGTATTTTTAATAGAGACGGAGTTTCTCCATGTTAGTCAGGCTGGTCTCGAACTCCCGACCTCAGGTGATCGCCCCGCCTCGGCCTTCCAAAGTGCTGGGATTACAGACGTGAGCCACCGCGCCCGGACCTCAGTGTTTTATTTTAACGAGGAGAATGGAGTGACTGATGCAATACAGGAAAATGAATCAATCGTATGGACTATCAGTAGGGAATGTGTTGATCCTTATTGATTTCGCTCCTTCCGTGTTGAAGACCTCTAATTCCCCGACAGTCTTCGTTCGGTTGTCCAGCGTCCTGCCACTCTCATCTCAAGCGGCTGGAGAGCCACATTTTCTCAGCTTTGGATCGCACTTGTGGCTGTGCTCTCTGCGCAGTTCGACAGGGAGAGAAATCAGTGGACAGATGCTTTGACTCTGGATTTGGCTCAGAAAACAAAAACAACGACCAAAACGAAATGCCCGGGGGGCGGGGGGGGGCTTTTCTGCCTTTCTTCTTCTCAGCCTTTCCTTCTCTTTAATCATAGTACAAAACCGAAGCCAAAGTGAGCCGCCTGTTGATGTGCACGCTTTTGTTTGCTTTCAAGAGACCCTGTTGCGACCTCATTCTTCTTTCTCCTCTTCCTTCTGCCGTCGCAATCGCCTTAGGTGATGTTGAGGCTTACATTATAGAGATGGGAGATAAGTGAAGGCAATCCATTGGGTTACGTTTTTACTCTCTATACGTGCAGAAATAGGATAGAAAAAGGTGAGGAGGCAGAAGGCTATGTTGCTTGAGAATTACATTTAAGCACTGCCAGAGCAAAACCACCATTTGGAGGTGCCGGGGATCGAACCCGGGGCCTCACACATGCAAAGCATGTGCTCTACCACTGAGCTACACCCCCCTCCTGAAAGACTGTTTTGTAATAATTTTCAGGAGGTAACTTTCATTTTCTGAGACTGGCTCCGTGAGCATGCTGGTAGTAGTGGTTAGTATCATGGAGCGCCTTCAGCTGCTCTGAGTAGAAGATACTCGGTACTAATGAGGGGATACAGATTCTTTAGTATACTGTACAGGACTTGAAATGGAAAGCAAAGTATTAGAAAAGTGTCAGATAACCGCCAAAAGAAGTTTCCAATGTGGCTTTAAAACGTTGAGTTGTCAGGATCTCCTTCTTCTGTTATGCTTGGCAAGGAATCAAATTCTGGTTTTTCATTCTTTCGATTTCTTTCAGAGATGACGCAAAGTTATTGAAATTCAGCTTTTTCTTACCTAAAATGCTTCATATTTGTTGTTTACTCAGCCGGAATATTAAAGGTTAGATTTGATTGAGGAAAATCACAGTCAGAAGAAAACCTGAGAGCGATGCACTCAGCATTTCATCTTAAGGGTCTTTAGCTGGTGTGTTGTCCTGCGCCTGTACTCACAGCTATTCCAGAGGCTGAAGCAGGAGGATCACTTGACCTTGGGAGCTGGAGGCTGCAGGGAGCTATGATCACGCCACTGCACTCCAGCTTGGGTGATGGAGTGAGACCCTGTATCAAAATCAAAAAGAAAAGAAAAGAAAAATTTATAAGGTGTGAGTGAAACAACACCTCTAGGGATGACGAGAAGAGTTGAATTATGAGGGTGAGATAAAAAATAAGTAGAAACAGGATTTAAGAGGTACGGGGGAAAGTGGTTTAGAAAAACAAACAGGCTATTGCCAAACAGAAGGAGGTGTAGAAAAGGGGAGTTTTTAACAACTCTTTAAGGAATGGGAGAAAGATTGGAAGATGGAGAAGATAAGTTAGCTTGGCTCATGCTAAATTCGGTGTATCTGTGGGGCACACTGTGAGGATGTTACATGGAGAACTCAGGCAATTGACTCTCCAGCCTGGGGTTTGTGAGCATTAGTAGTAGTAGACATATTGCATAGAGGGTGGATAAAGACTAAAAAGGGTCCTTTTAGATTTGGGAATTACAAACCTATTCACGATATTTGTTTAAAAGAAAAAAAAGCCGGGTGTGGTGGCTCACGCCTGTAATCCCAGCACTTTGGGAGGCCAAGGCGGGTGGATCACCTGAGGTTGCAAGTTCGAGACCAGGCTGGCCAACATGGTGAAACCCTGTCTCTACTAAAAATACAAAAATTAGCTGGGTGTGGTGGTGCATTCCTGTAATCCCAGCTTCTCGGGAGGCTGAGGCAGGAGAATTGCTTGAACCTAGGAGGTGGAGGTTGCAGTGAGTGAGATCATGCCATTGCTCTCCAGCCTGGGCAACAAGAGTGAAACTCTCTCTCAAATAATAATAATAATAATAATAAAGTAAAAAAAAATTTTTTTTAAAGTTTGCTCCTCTATGTTCTTGAACCCTGGTATTTATTATTATTTATCATGATTAGGGCTGTGTTCTTTGAACTACATAAGAAGATGAGAAGAAAATCCATTTCCTGACACCAAATTTCTAGTGACTGTTAACTCTTTCTCATTCTGATTTACTCATATATGAGCCTTTGCCAACACTCATGAAATAACATTGATCCCTTGTAGAACTGGCAGAAAACAGCAGGTTATATGGCAGACTTGTCTTTTCGGTTGGCTGATGGAATTTCTAGAACAAAAATAGGAAGCACTGAATGCTAGGTTTCACTGAATAAGAAACAAGAGAAGTGTTACACACAAAACTAGTGTTTGTGTGTGTGTTTGACTGTCTGTGTGTGCATGTAAATGCTAGGGAGATAATCTTAGCTCTTTGATGCTGCAGAAGTAATATTAGGACAATTTGCAGAAACACTCCTTCATCATTATGTCATGTTGCACCCAGAGAAACCTGGATGTCTACTGGATTCTTGGGAATTCATCATAATATGAAGGTCTGCTTTTTTGTTTGCCTCTTGAAAAGGAGAGAATTTTAAATAATTAAATATCTGTAGCTCTCTTCTGACTAACAACAACACGACTGAAACACAGTTTTTTTTGTAAAAACTGTGGGATGAGCTTATTTAACACAGAATTCCTCTGAGGAATTAAACATTTAATCCTGAAGACAGAACACCCTCATGTGATACATACTCAATTCAGAAAACCTAAAAATATATAAAGTATCTGTTTAAACCTGCACTGTCCAATATGGTTACCATTAGCCACACTGGCTATTGAATGCTTGAAATTGCCCAGTCCAAGTTAAGAGTGTTGTAAGTGTAAAATACATATCAGATTTGGCCAGGCACAGTAGCTTGCGTCTGTAATCCCAGTACTTTGGGTGGCTGAGGTGGGTGGATCACAAGGTCAGGAGTTCGAGACCAGCCTGACCAACATGGTGAAACCCCATCTCTACTAAAAATACAAAAATTAGCCTGGCTTGGTGACACACACCTGAAATCCCAGCTACTTGGGAGGCTGAGGCAGGAGAATTGCTTGAACCTGGGAGGCTGAGGTTGCAGTGAGCCGACATCGGGCCACTGCACTCCAGCCTGGGTGACAGAGCGAGAATCCTTCGCAAAAAAAAAAAAAAAAAAAAAAAATATATATATATGTAAATATATATATACATACACACACCAGATTTCAAAGATGTGTAATACTATTTTTTAAATATAAAATATCTCACTAATAATTTTATAATTGATAGCTTCTTAAAATAAGTTTTTGGATATACAAAGTGATTTAAATATATTATTGAAACTGGACATAAAAGATAGCAACAACAAACACTGGGGACTATGGGGAGGGGTGGGAGGGAGGGCAGAAAGATTTGAAAAGCTACCTCTTGGGTACTATGCCTACTACCTGGGTGATGGGATCAATTGCACTCAAAACCTCATGCAATTTACCCAGCATCATGTAGTATACCCATGTAACAAACCTGCACGTGTACCCCCAAATCTAAAATAAAAATTGAAATTACATAAAAATATAAATATTGACTTTTTTTAATGCAACTACTGCAAAAGGTAACACTACAAAATGGCTGTCATTTAAAACTTGTATTATCTCTTGATTGGACAGAATTGTCTAAAGACAATGTTATCCATTTAGGTGCTGTTCTGGGAGAATCCCAGAAGCAGAGAACACGGAGCATGATCTGCCAGTAATTAAGTTTCATGCTGTGAGTGGACTTGACAGAATGCATTTCTATGCATGATCTCCTTTGATCTTTACAACATCCCATTTTACAAAATCATTATTAACATCATTTTTAAGCCATTGAATGGCAGACAAATCATGCTTGGAATTGCCCTAGGCCTTCCATTTCAACAGAATGTAAAGGAATCTTTACTGCGTTAGGCACAAAACATTCAATGTTACTGTTTGTCTAGTCAAATATTTCTTAATGGAGTAAAACACAAGCTTCTGAGTTGAGAAAGCCTCAGTGAAAGGATAAAGTACCTGATTCCCAGTTTCTGTACAGTCAATGTCCCTAACCCAAGGTTACTTCTCATTTGGTACTAATTTTCCTTTTGCAACTTGCTGCAGTTCTGATAGTGGAGTATTGTAGATTATTGTCTCCTCACAGGGTATGCAGAAGTTAGAGAAAAACAACACTGAAACTGAAGCAGTAATTTGAAAGAAAAAAAATCAAAATGACCAAAAAAAGACCTATTATCCCAACAGAGAATTTCAAGAGAGGAGTTGAAGTGAAAAAGGGAAAATGGGGCACATGCACCTGAGTCTTGACTTTGCTGCCCATTTGCTTTCATTTTCAGTATTCTAGAGCCCCTCATGAATGTTTGATAAAATAATTCATATAGAAATACATATATTTCTTTTTTCCTGGATACAAACATGGAAACAGCTTAAGATTTGGAAATTCTAGACAAGGTTGCCAGGCTAAAGAAATGTCTTCTCAGCAAGAAAATTTAGAATGTTCTTGTAATTGGGCCTGGTGCGATGGCTCCTGCCTGTAATCCAAGCACTCTGGGAGGCCTACCTAGGCAGGTGGATTGCTTAAACCTAGGATTTAAAGACCAGCCTGGGCAACACGGTGAAACCCACAGTCTACAAAAAAAATACAAAAAAAAAAAAAAAAAAAAATTTAGCCAGGCATGGTGGTGCTCGCCTGTAGTCCCATCTACTCAGGGTGCTGACATGTGGAGTCACTTCAGCCTAGAGAGGTTGAGGCTGTAGTGAGCTCTGATTGTATAACTGTACTCCAGCCTGGATGACAGAGTGAGACCCTGCTTAAAAGAAAGAAAAGAAAGAAGAAAGAAAGAAAGAAAGAAAGAAAGAAGAAAGAAAGAAAGAAAGAAAGAAAGAAAGAAAGAAAGAAAGAGAAAGAAAGAAAGAAAGAGAAAGAAAGAAAAAAAAAGTTCTTACAGCACTTTAATAATGGAGTTGACTCAAGATACAAACCCGGGTTTTTCTAATTTCAAAATGTTTCTTGCATACACCACACCCCCATATATATGCTCATACAGTATAATAGTTACTTCACTGTATGTTTCTTTTTTTCATATTTCTTGTGATTTAAAAATAACCCTCGCCCAATACATATAAATAATATCAAATCAAAAATGACTTGTAAATGCCACAGCATATAGCACGTTGGAATTTCTTAGGTTTTAAAACTAATAACTTCCTAAGTTTAAGACTTTAAATAAGGACGGGCTTAGTGGCTCACGCCTGAAATCCCAGCACTTTGAGAGGCCGAGGCAGGTGGATCACCTGAGGTCAGGAGGTCGAGACCAACCTGATCAACATGGCGAAACCCTGTCTCTACTAAAAATACAAAAATTAGCCGGGCATGGTTGCGGGGGCCTGTAATCTCAGCTTACTTGGGAGGCTGAGATATGAGAACAGCTTGAACTCAGGAGGCGGAGGTTGCAGTGAGCCGAGATCGCGCCGTTGCACTCCAGCCTGGGCGACGGAGTGAGACTCCGTCCAAAAACTTTAAATAATTTATGTAATGAGAGCACTTCATGGAAGACTTCAGTGGAATATACAAAGGAGAGAGTGATACAAACATGTACATTACCTTTATCAGACTTTCAAAAACTCCCAAAAATTGGAGATATGTAAGCTTCTGGGATTGGCGTATAAGTGCTGTATAAGGGAGTGATAATTAGGCAGAACTCAAAAGATGCTGGCTGAAACCCAGGGTTGAACCAGGGAACTTTAAGATCTTCAGTCTAACGCTCTCCCAACTGAGCTATTTCAGCTACTCTAAGCACACACCCTTAGTCATTTCTTCAAAATATAAAAACGTCATTTGTAGAGTGAGTGTATTTTCTAATGCCTAATTCTGTTTTGTTCAATATCAATACAAAAATTAGCCAGGGGTGGTGGTGCGCGCCTGTAATCCCAGCTACTAGGGAGGCTGAGGCAGGAGAATTGCTTGAACCCGGGAGGTGGCGGTTGCAGTAAGCCGAGATCACGCCACTGCACTCCAGACTGGGCGATAGAGGGAGATTGTCTAAAAAAAATAAATTAAATAAATAAAATAAGTGACAGGAAAAGAAAGAAAAGAAGGATCTCTTATGTCCTCCAGTACATTCTATCTCTTCCTTAGAGTTTTTAAAATTGTGGTCTCCACACTGGTGCATAACAACTCTTTTTTGTTGTTGTTTTCGAGACAGGGTCCCGCTCTGTTGCGTGGGCTGGAGTGCAGTGGTGCAATCTCGGCTCGCGGCAACTTCTGCCTCCCCGGCTCAGTGGATCCTCCCACTTCAACGGAGGGAGAGGGAGTCTCGCTCTGTCGCCCAGGCTGGAGTACAGCGGCGCGGAGTAGCTGGGATTACAGGCGCGCGCCACCACCCCTGGCTAATTTTTGTGTTGATATTGAACAAAAAAGAATTAGGCATTAGGAAATACGCCCACTTTACAAATGAAGATTTTTATATTTTGAAGAAATTGCTAACGGCACGTGCTTAGAGTAGCCAAAATTGCTCAGTTGGGAGAGCGTTAGACTGAAGATCTAAAGGTCCCTGGTTCGATCCCGGGTTTCACCAGGTTTGTTTGGTTTTTTTAGTTCTGCCTAATTATCACTCCCTTATACAACACTTGCACGCCAATCCCAGAAGTGTATATATCTCAATATAAATTCTTACGTTAAGTCAAAAGTGTAAAAACATTGAACTTCTCTGGTTAGACATAGGAACAAATTCAGATGTTTACAGAATTTCGGAAACAACCCTCTCTGGAATGAGAAAATTGCTGAGGCCGACGATGATTTGCAAACTGAATTTTAATAAAACCTTTTCTATGTCTTAACAGTTTTCAAACTCAATCTCCTGAGAGTCGAGGCTTTCTATTTTTAGCCAAAATACGGTGGGAGGGTCAATTAGGATATATTTTTCAATTATTTCCTCAAAAAAAGTTTTAGATTCTCTTACAGACTTTTTTCTCCCCTTGTAAGGTCTGAGCCTTCTCAGACAGGAAACAACATTCCTCTACTCTAGTTTTATCCCCGCCACGCGTCTCTCCCCAGCTGAGTGCAGCCTCAGCCTATGGTGCAAAAATGTTTAAAGCTGAGCATACAGAGAAGGAAAAGAAGAAAAAAAAAATAGAAAGTGATGTGGAAAGATCTACATATGAATCACAACACAGTGTTTAAAATGTGCGTAAACGGGTCTAGGAGTGCGCTGCACTATTGTGAAAAGTTCATTCTGAAAGCTGGGCGCAGTGGCTCATGCCTATAATCTCAGAACTTCGGGAGGCCGAGGCGGACGGATCACTTGAGATCAGAAGTTGGAGACTATCCTGGTGAAAATGGTGAAACCCCGTCCCTACTAAAAATACAAAAATTAGCCGGGCGTGGTGGGGGGCTCCTGTAATCTCAGCTAATCGGGAGACTGAGGCAGGAGAATCGCTTGATCCCAGGAGGTGGAGGTTGCAGTGAACCGAGATCGCGCCACTGCACTGCAGCCTGGGCGACAGAGCGAGACTCCGTCTCAAAAAAACAAAAACAAAAAACAAAAACAAAAGCAAACAAAAAACAAAAACAAACAAACAAAAAGTAAACGGGAGGAGCCGAGCGCCAGCTTGCGGGGAGACGGAAGAGGCGGGGTGCCGTGAAGTGGAGGAAGCAAAGGACAAAAGGGAGAGAGGTAGAGGGCAAGGAAAAGCATCCTCAAGATTATTAGTACTTGGATAGACTGGATGGTAGAGTGAGTCTGATCGCCACATCTCTCCGTCCCTTCCTCTGGATAGGAGGGAAGAGAGGTTCCTTTTTGTCCCTAGGGGGGTAGGCTCGACCAGGAAGGGGACCTGGTTCGTTTCGCCCAGGCTGGCACGGCTTCAAGAGCGCCTCACCTCTCTTTACGTTGCTGGACAGACCAGTTGAGCTCTTTGGGTATGCACGTAATGTCGCATTTTTATTTTCAGTTCAGGAAATGCTGATATTGGAGCTTCTGAGGGAGCTGCAGTGATTTCCCGATTTCCTGCGCGCCTGTGTGGAAAGTTAGAAGCGGAATCTACCGGCAGCTTTGAGACTAAGCATGACGGTGGAAACAGCTAATTTTATTAGCTTTTGTCTGAAATGCAAAAGATGAGAAAGAAAATTCCCGTTTGTTTGCTCCACATACTTCTCTTAGAAGCCTATGGAAAGCCAACTTTCCCCCTGAAGAAACTCCTCCTGGCATTTGCAAAGAGCTCCTTTACTCCTCTTGTCCAGCTCTTCTCTCAAAAGGACTCTGCAGAGCTGGACAGCGGCTGCGGAAAGGCGAAGTTGTTGTACCCGAGCGAGTTAGAGAAATGCCACACTTTGAGACGAATTTAAGAGTCCTTTATTAGCCGGCGACCAAAAGAGGACTAACGCTCGATATTCTCTCGGCCCCGAGGAAGGGGCTTGATTTTCCTTTATACTTTGGTTTAGAAAGGGGAGGGGGAGCTTAGTTGCAGCAATTCTACAGAAGTAAAAGCATGCAAAAAAATTAAAAAGACAAATGGTTACAGGTAAACAAACAGTTCCAGGTGCAGGGGCTCTAAATCTATCATAAGGCATTAGGTATGGGGGTTCTGCCAGACACAAACTCAAGGCTTTATGGTGTTATCTCTTGAGTGAAATCCTGGGAACTTCGTGCATTGTTTGCTTCAGTACCTTATCAGTTAATTGGACTCTGATATGTTGAGAGTCAGCTTACACAAGTTAACTGCTTGAGGAAGGGGGTGGGTAAGGAGTCCTTGATGTTTTGTAAATGAAGGAGCCAAATGGAGTTCGTCCAGCTTTCTCAGCTAAGGGACAGCCTATTCATGTGGAAATAAGGCTAGGTGATTAACGGAGAGTCTAAAAACAACGTTAGGTATTACATTCCCCACTTGTGTTTTTGGGGAATCAAATCGTTGATTCCTCAGTTATAATAAGGGGGTCATATTGAGTTCTAAGATACATAAATTTGACAGAAGCTATGCGTTGTTTTACAAAGTTAAGAAACTAATTTAATATACACGGCCTGAAAATTAAGCTTAATAGTAGGATGAGGAGGGGTCCAACTAACCTAGTGACTAGAGTAGTTAGCCATGGATTCCAGTTAAACATGCTTTGATACCAGGGGATGTTATTTTCTCTTTCTTGTTGGCATCTATCTAGATTTTCTCGAACCTTTTGGAGAGTATCTTTTATGACTCCAGACTGATTGGCATAGAAGCAACAACTTTCTCCTAGAGCTGCGCATAAACCTCCTTGAGAGAGGAATAGTAGATCTAAGCCTCAGCGGTTTTGAAGAACTACTTCAGCTAGAGACTCTACCTGGGAATGTAACAAATCTACGACAGACTGGAGGTTACTTAAATTAGCATCTACCTGTTGAGATAGGGCCATTATTCCAGTTTCTCCTTGAACTAGGGCTGCTGATCTGGCTATGCTAAGGCTGGCCAAGAAGGGAACTAGGAGCAGGGCAGCTAGCGAAACCTGGGATCTAACTCAGGGGGAGAAATGAGAAGTTGTCCTTCTGGTCCACTGTACACGTATACCCAGGGAAGTACATGAACTTACATGCACAGGAGAGGTCCTGGTTCAGTTCCATTAATGCAGTGAGTGAGACTTGAAGTGCAGGCCAACCAGGTATTGTTAGGCACTTGGTAAGAGACTGAGGTGCTTATGGAAGTAAGCAGGGACTGATTACAAGTAGTCTGAAAGGGAGAAGCAGATAAGTTATACCCGGTACTAATTAGACAAGAAGCGTTTCCAGACACATCCCTTAGTGTGAGGGCACAGGGTCGTGCACGACAAGATAAAGGGCCACTTTTAAGTGTGGCCTCTACTCCTAAGCCTACATAATAAGGGGGTTTTGCTTTTAGACATAGCCAACAATCTTGGGCTAGTTTAGGCTGGGTGAGGTTAAGAAGGTGATGTACCCTGCCTAGTATGGACATCAGGCTGTGTTGAAGATATTGTTGCTGCAGCTGGGGTTTAGGAACTAGGAATGGTGGCGGAACAGTTAAATCGACCTTGTCAGGGTGTTTTTGGAACATAGGGTCGCCTAGATCAGTTAAAGGCCTGATTGGCTTGGGTGGGCTCCATGAGACCAGGATTTTCTTCTGGATGGCGAACATAGTCTTAACATCAAATCCTGGGATATAAAGCCTTAATCCTTATGACATGCCATAATACCATCGAGCTGAATTAGGGTCATGGACAGTTATAGTAAGAGGATTACAATTTTTTCTAGTACACAATCTAGGATGGGAAGCACGACTTATGGAAAGAGTTGAAGATCCGGTTGATCTCCCAGAGTTAAGTGTCTAAAGTTACACGTGTCCAATCAGGGCAGAAAAACTGGTAAATATCTCAACAGCTAGAGTCAGGGTGATTTCCAGGACAGAGGTAAAAGTCAACATTCTGAAGTCCTTTTTCCGCACCTTTGGAGCTCCCACATCCAGTCTGGCTCCCGGAGTGTCCAAATCCTGCCAAAAGGTCAACGCTTCCTGCCCCCTTGACTGTCAGATTGTGTTACTCTTTGTAGGTACGGGCTGGTTCTGGGAACAGTGCACATAAATCAACTGCAAAGGAGACTTCCTTGGAGGTTCCTGCCCTCCAAGTACTGTTTGCGAATATACGTCTTGTCATGAAATAGGTGAGAAGAAGGGAATAGGAAGGTGCAGAGGACATGACAGGCAAAAACCAAAAAGAGAAGTAAATAAAAAGAATTAATCTAATGGCTTCACCCGACTTAGGCACAGTTTTAAGGGGCCTGACCCAGGCTTGGGGACCTATGTTTCTTGCTGGGCTTTGTTGGCCTTTTTGATGCGGGAGTGACGAATCCAAGCAGGAATGCCATCCACCTTCAGAGCTGTTGGCATGGTGAGGATGACAGTATGAGGTCCTATGTAAGCAGGAGTGAGTCCTTCTCTCTGGAACTTTTTAACAAACACCAGGTCACCTGGCTGGAATGAGTGGCAGGGCCCCATCTGGTCAGGAACCGGATTGGGATGGGCTCCTCGGAAAAGTGGCTGGATGATATCTTGTACCTGTTGGAGAGACTTTAGCTACTGTAATAAATTAGCTTGTGATATTTCTGCCAAATTGGTATCCCTTAGCTTAGGCAAGATAGGTGGAGCCTTCCTATACATGATTTCAAAATGTGAAAACCTAGCCCAGTAAGGAGTGCACCTTACTCTAAGAAAGGCTAAAGGAAGGAGCCTTACTCAGTTCTCACCGGTCTCTAAGATTAACTTTGTAAGAGTGCTTTTTAGGGTGCGGTTCATGCGTTCTACCTGCCCAGAGCTCTGGGGTCGATAGGCACAATGGAGCTTCCATTGAATGTGTAATGCCTTACTGACTGACTGAGCTATGGACGAGGTGAAGGCCAGTCCGTTATCAGACCCTATGGCAGCAGGCAGCCCATGTCGAGGGATGATTTCATTGAGTAAAAACCTAACTACCATGGTGGCAGTCTCATTCTTGGTGGCAAATGCCTCAGTCCATACGGAGAAGGTGTCTACTAGTACTAGAAGGTATTTGTACCTAGCCCGGTGTGGTTTTATTTCTGTAAAGTCAACTTCCCACCTTTCTCCTGGCAAGTTTCCTCAAAGACGGTGGCCTGGGCTGGGTTTAGCACCTTGCTTGGCGTTTACCTGGGCACAAGTTGTACACCGGAGAGCTGCTTGATCTGCTAAGCTTTGAAGATAGGGAATCTTAAAATGGCTCTAGAGGAGCCGGGCCAGTTTTGCTCCTCCTAAATGGGTGGTAGAATGCAGGCGACTGATTAAAGTTTCCCCGAGAGAGCTCGGGGTATGAAGATTCTGGAGTCAGGAAGAATCCACCAACCTTCCTGATTTTTATTGGCCCTGAGATCTGAAGCTAGTTTTTTTTCTTCCGTTGAGTACGCGGGATTGTAGGGCAGATCTGGCTGTGGAAAGGAGACTGTGGGTAATAAGTTTAGAGGCATGACTGGAAGTCTGGCTGCATCCCGGGCCGCTGAGTCAGCTTTCTGGTTACCACGGGCAATGGCCGTGTTTTCTCCTGGATGTCCTTTGCAGTGGATTACAGCCACCTGCTGAGGGAGCCATACGGCTTCAAGCAGGGCTAGAATTTCTTCTTTGTTTTTGATAGTCTTTCCTGCTGAGGTGCCCACGCTCCTGATAGATGGCTCCATGTACATGTACAGTAGTTAAAGCATACCTGCTGTCAGTGTAAATGTTAATAAGTTTATCCTTACCCCATCGGAGAGCCTGAGTGAGGGCGATCAATTCAGCTTTTTGTGCCGAGGTATTTGCCGGTAAAGCCTGGGCCCATAGCACATCTGTCTTTGTAGTAATGGCTGCACCAGCCTTTCGTACTCCCTGTTTTGAGAAAGCTGCTACCGCCTGTAAACATGGCGGCGTCCACCTTCTTTAGGGGCACATCTTGGAGATCAGGTGGGCCAGTTTCTGTAGTTTCTAACAGTTCCTGGCAGTCATGGACAGGTGTAGTGAAGTCTGGATCAGGGAGTAAAGTAGCTGGATTTAAACACCTTCTGGGAGAGAAAGTCAAACGAGGCTGATCTAACAGTAAACTCTGATACTGCAGGATGCGAGCATTTGACATCCATTTGCCAGAAGCACTTCGTAATAAAGTCTCTACGGCATGAGGAGCGGTAAAGGTTAAATTTTGACCTAGAGTTAACTTATCAGCCTCTTAGACTAGGCTTGCTGTTGCCACTATGACTCGCAGACAAGTTGGCCATCCAGAGGCCACAGGATCCAGCCTCTTAGACAAATAGGCCACTGGGCATCTCCAGGGTCCTAAAGTCTGAGTAAGCACCCCCTTAGCAACTCCCTGGCTTTCGTGGACAAACAGGTGAAACGGCTCTGGGATATTTGGGAGGGCTGGAGCAGGGGCTTCAGTTAATGCCTTTTTCAGATTTTGAAAAGCCTGTTCTTCTGTGTCCATCTAAACTAGCCGGCTATTCCCTCCTGTAGCAGTGTACAGGGGCTTCGCAATCTCCGCGAACCCCGACATCCATAGGCGACAGTATCCTACGGCCCCCAGGAATTCACGTACCTGTCTCTTGGTGGTGGGAGTGGGGATTCGTAGGATGGCTTCTTTCCGGGCACTGGTGAGTGCCCTTTTTCCTTGGCTTATGTCGTATCCTAGGTAGGACACTGTGGGAAGACAAAGCTGGACCTTCTTGGCTGAGACTCGATACCCGAGCTCCTGAAGGAGGTAAAGTAGGTCCCTAGTATGTTGCAGGCAACTGTCTTTAGTTTCAGTAGCTAATAAAAGGTTGTCCACCTACTGAAGAAGAGTACAGTTAAGGTGACTAGCTTGGAATGGTATAGGATCCTGCTGGAGGGCCTCTCCAAAAAGGGTGGGGGAATTTTTAAAACCTTGAGGTAACTGAGTCCAAGTCAATTGGGTAGTGTCTCCTGAGCTAGGATCTGTCCATTCAAAAGCAAAGATCAGTTGGCTCTTGGGGGCCAGAGAAATAGCAAGGAAGGCATCCTTTAGGTCAAGGACAGTGTATATACTGTAAGTTCTGGCGGGAGCAGGTTGAGTAGAGTATAAGGATTGGGGACAGTTGGATGGACAGTAACAGTCTGTTTGTTAACTTCCCTTAAGTCCTGTACCGGCTGGTAATCATTCGTTCCGGGTTTCTGGACCGGCAAAAATGGAATATTCCAGGCGGACTGACACGGTGTGAGTATGCCAGCTTGTAACAGTCATTGAATATGGGGATTAATCTCCTGTCTAGCCTGCTGACTCATAGGATATTGCTTTACCTGGACAGGCAAGGCAGTGGCCAGGAGTTCTACAACCACTGGTGGATGGTGTTTAGCCAGTCCTGGGGGGTTTGACTGGCCCAAACTCTGGGAAAGAGTGTCTGTAAGTCCAACAGGAGAGGATTAGTATTATTTTCCAGTGGTTGTGATGGTGACACTAAAAGATTTTCCTCTGACAGAGGGGTAGTTAGCAGGAGTTGGGCAGTGGGGGGCGCTGTATTTCCTAGCATGACGTTAGCCTGCTGGGCTGAGAAGGAGATAGAGGCCTGTAACTTATGGAGCAGATCTCCTCCGAGGAGAGGAAAAGGACACTCTGGAACCACAAGAAATGACTGTCTCACTCTTTTCTGTCCCAAGCTCACTTCTCGTGAGTGTGTGACAGGATATTCCTGAATAGCTCCAGTAGACCTTTGTACAGCCACTCTTTTATTAGAGACACTGCCCAAGGGGGTCTGTAGTACCGAGTGCTCCGCCCCGGTAGCTACTAGGAAGCGTACAGGCTGGCCCCTCACTGTAGCGGTCACCGTGGGCTCCTGGGGGCCAAGAGAGAGGGAGTCCTGGCTCCATCAGTCATCAGACTCTTCCGTTGCGGGGAGGGTGAGGGCCTTTTTCTTTTCTGATTTTTCCTCTGGCCGTAGTGGGCATTCCTTTTTCCAGTGCCCAGTCTGCTTGCAATAAGCACATTTGTCCTTTTCTAGGGGAGCCTGTTCTCCTCTTTTGCCCTTCTGGTAGGGACCTGAGGTTCCCTGGCTATTCCTCTGTGATGGGGGCCTTCCCTTCTTGACCTCTCCGATGGCCGCAGCTAAGATTTTTGCTTGTCTTTTGTATGCTTTATCAGCTGCTGCCTGTGCTGTTTGTTTTCTTTTTTCAAACTCTCGATTGTCAAAAACTTTTTGGGCTATCTCTAAAAGCTGAGTGATATTCATCCCAGGAAATCCCTCCAGTTTTTGGAGTTTTCTTTTAATATCAGGGGCTGCCTGAGCCACAAATGCCAAATTAAGAGCACGGCTATTTTCGGGAGCCGCCGGGTCAAAAGAGGTGTAAGTCCGATAGGCCTCCTGGAGGCGTTCTAAAAACGCTCCCGGTGACTCATCAGGCCCTGTGCGACTTCAGTCATCTTAGACAAGTTTATGGGTTTCTGAGCAGCTCCTTTGATACCTGCAAGGAGATACCGGTGAAAATCGTCCAAAGCTTTCTTCCTACCCGAGGAATTCGTGTGCCAGTTAGGCCGGGTAGAGGGAAAGACCTCCTCAAGAAAGTCTCTAGCTTCCTCCTCTGGCCTATTGGCTGATGTGAGGAAATACTTTCTGGCCTCTCTTCGGATATGTTCCCTCTCTTCAGAGGTAAAAAGGGTCAAAAGGAGCTGCTGACAGTCATCCCAGGTGGGCCGATGGGTCCGGAGCACAGACTCCATCAGTGAGATCAAGACCTGGGGCTTTTCAGAGAAGGGAGGATTATGAGCCTTCCAGTTACAGAGGTCAGAAGGAGAAAAAGGGACATAAACCAAGAATGGGGCTGAGCGCTCATCACCCGGAGGGACTTGTGCTTCTTTCCGCGGTAGAGGGGGGGCTACTTCCTCCTGCCGCGGCCGCAATCGAGAGGCAATAGGCGGCGAGCCTACAGGGGATGTAGTCGAGGAGACAAGGGAAGATTCTAAGGGAGCAGGACGGTTATAAGGCGGCGGAACTGAGTGGGGGAGACTCTCCTCTTCTTCAGAGGGAGGCAGTACAGGGTGAGCCGAACAGACTGAGGGTCCAGGCGGAAGTGCGGTCTGGCTCAAAACGACCTTGGAGGCAGAATTATGAATGGCGCATGAGCGGAGCCATGGTGGGGAGCTTCTGACCAAACTCAGCCATTGATCAATGTGGGGAAACTGATCGGGGTGGCCGGGAGTTCCAGCAACAACCCGCCACACAGCCTGAACAATTGCTAGGTTCAGTGACCCTACTGGGGGCCATCCGACTCCAAACTTTGGCCATTCTACTTCGCAGAGTGTCCGGAGTTTGCCTTTTTAAAGGCGGACCCCATAATCCTCTGAGAAGCCTAGAGAAAAATTCTGCAGCATACATTGGAGGGGGCTCCAATCCTTACAGGGCCGGGAAGAGGAGTTTCCCATTTTTGGAGGCAGTTTGACAAGGTTTGAGCAGGGATATCAAACCCAGCACGGACAGAAAAACTCATTCCCTAGGGGGCTGGAGTATCGGAAGAACAGAATTAACATAACCAGAAGGAGCCGAAAGACAACAATAGCTCACACTACTTGCCACAGGACGGTTAACTAGCTTTAAGATTGAGGGAGGTCGGGCGCAGTGGCTCACGCCTGTAATCCCAGCACTTTGGGAGGCTGAGGCGGGCGAATCACGAGGTCAGGAGATCGAGACCATCCTGGCTAACACGGTGAAACCCCGTCTCTACTAAAAATACAAAAAATTAGCTGGGTGTGGTGACGGGTGTCTGTAGTCCCAGCTACTTGGGAGGCTGAGGCAGAAGAGTGGCCTGAACCTGGGAGGCGGAGCTTGCAGTGAGCTGAGATCGCGCCACTGCACTCCAGCCTGGGCGACAGAGAAGACTGTCTCAAAAAAAAAAAGAATAATTATCCAAGATTGAGGGAGGAGGACTAGAGGCCAACCTTAGGTCTCCTTGGCTGGATGGACCTAGGCGTCCTCCCTCTTTCCCTGGACCTGTAGCCTAAATACTTTTGGTGTCTCCACGACTCAAAGGCAAATAGCTCAAATTCGGCCTTTTCTTTTAAGAGTTTGAGGAGTGAGAGCAGAGCCAAGTCCTGGAGACGCTGAACTTGCTGTGACACGGGAAAACGAGATGTACGGGGTAAGTGGTAGGGATGAGGAGGAAAAAGGGCCACTCGGATCTTTCCTAGGGTAGGAGAGTAGCCACAGAGGAATAGAATAAGGGTTTAAACGAAGTAAAGTGGTACGGGCGTAGGTTTCTCTGCACAGTGCCGTATTTAAGGGCACAGAAAAAGTTACGGGATGACAAAAGAGGTGAGCAAGGAGGTCTGCAGGGTGGCTATTTTGAACCTACCACCGGTTTAGTCTGGAGGTGGCCCAGTCACTTGGACATGGGGTATGACAATCTAAATGCCAGCAATCTTCATGGTGCCAGAAATCCCAAACAGGCGAATGTTCCTCACACTCGTTCCCGTTCCCGTAACAACACCTGATTTGTTTCTGACAGAAAAGGCAGGACTGGGATGGCCAGCCTAAGCGATTGATGAGAAATTTAACCTCCTGTGATAAAAAATCAACACTAAAGACCTTGAAGAAGTTCCTGCCCAGACGTCTTGGGCAGTATCGATGACCTGACATACGAAACTTTGACAACCACTAAACAGGACAATAGACACCGAGCAGGACAACAAACACAAAACAAACAATAGACCCTTGGGTATATAAACAATTATGGTAGGTTTTTATTAGACAGACAAGGGGAGGGGGTCCCATGATGGGATCAGTCAGATGCCTGCCTGGCCGCTCCCCCTGAGGGGACTTGGGCTTCTCTTAGCATTGGCAGGCAGGTATAAACCCCCGGCTCGGATGGAGCTATGCCCGATGCTGCCTTAAGCCTTATGAGGTCGCCACGGAACGGCAGGTGAGGGCCCACTCGAACTCCGTAGCTTTCGCCGTGGAGCTACAAACTGGGGATCCAGAGGCAGGCCCCTGGACTCCTCAGTCGTGCACACATTCACAAAGAGTTTATAACAATTTTTGTTATTTCCCGTTCTAAACAAAGGTCCCAGAAGACCTGAACGAGAGGAGGAGAAGAGATAGAGCAAGGGGGAGAGAAAGAAAAAGAGGAGGAGAGAGTGAGAGACTAGTCTTAATGGAGAGGCCGGCCTGCCAGAAACCAGGGCTCTATCCTCCAGCGTCCTGGAGTATGGATAGAGTCAAAGAGAGGGACACCGTCGTCAGGGCTGCCTCCCTCTCACCAAACCAGAACCAAAAGGCGCCTAACAGAAAAACCAGGGCTCTGTCCTCCAGCGCCCTGGAAAAGCGGGCAGTGTCAAAGACAGGGATGCCCTCGTCAGGGCTGCCTCCCTCTCACCAAACAGAAGTCAAATCTAACTTACCTGACCCCGGGGTCAGAAGCTGAGGACTCAGAGGTTGAATTTTGTGGGCACACACACACGGTAGTCGATCCGCTGTCCTCCGGAAGACGGTCGCCTTTCGGGGACCTGGAAAATTTTTTTTCAGGTGGCTCCTCGCCTATAAGCCGGCCGTCCCTCCGGGGGAGCCCGGAGCTAGCCCGGCTCTCGCCCAGTGGCGAATATATCTCGCTGGGGCTTCCAAATGTTGTACCCGAGCGAGTTAGAGAAACGCCACACTTCGAGACGAATTTAAGAGTCCTTCATTAGCCGGCGACCGACAGACGACTAACGCTCGAAATTCTCTCGGCCCCGAGGAAGGGGCTTGATTTTCCTTTATACTTTGGTTTAGAAAGGGGAGGGGGAGCTTAGTTGCAGCAATTCTACAGAAGTAAAAGCATGCAAAAAAATTAAAAAGACAAATGGTTACAAGGAAACAAACAGTTCCAGGTGCAGGGGCTCTAAATCTATCATAAGGCGTTAGGTATGGGGGCTCTCCCGGACACAAACTCAAAGCTTTATGGTGTTATCTCTTGAGCGAAATCCTGGTAACTTCGTAAATTGCTTGCTTCAGTACCTTATCAGTTAATTGGACTCTTTGATATGTAAGAGTCAGCTTACACAAGTTAACTGCTTGAGGAAGGGGGTGGGTAAGGAGTCTTTGACGTCTTGTAAATGAAGGAGCCAAAAGGAGTACTTCCGGCTTTCTCAGCTAAGGAAGAGCCTATTCATGTGGAAACAAGGCTAGGCGATTAAGGGAGAGTCTAAAAACAAGGTTAGGTACTACAAAGTCGCGGTAAAATCGGTGTTAACTACGTGTGCAGCCACCTTTTCCTTAGTGCTATTCCTGAAGGAAATAATGTATACAGTGATCTATTTCCAAGACAAAGTGCCTTAAATTGGCTTAGGTCAGCAAAGTACAGAAGAAACAGGGTATACTAGGTCCCTGCTTGGATAGCGGATGCCTGCTTGTCGCCCCCCTCTTTCCTCCCCCTTCCCATCCCCCATCCTTGGTGGCCTTCACCCAAACAAAAACAGTTTAGTCTAAGATATAAGTTTACTAGTCTGCAAAATAGCTCACTTTGTCTGTTCTTATCAGCCTGCCCAGCTACTTAGGTCATAAGTCAAACACTTAAAGAGCCCTTGAGCTAACCAGGATTGCAATGCATTGTGGGCTGCAACAAAATGCAGCAAGACAACCCTAAAAAAGAGACACCTAAAGCCTTTGCCTAACAATCAGTAGGCAAACGCCGAGAAAATTGTAACCCCATAGCACTCAGCCTATGAGGAACCTGGGGAGGGACTTGCGCACTAGGGGACAAATTGCTTGTTGAAACTGTTCTGGGTGTGCCTGCACGCCAGACACCCGATCTTGATCTCTCAAGACCGTCATTAAAAGTCTCACTTTCGCTGTTCTCCGGGTCTCTGAGTCCATTCTTTGGGTTTAGATGGATGAGTTTATTTTCTCACATAACAGCTGCAGAGGTGGTACAGGTGAATCCCTCTCAAGTCAAGTGGGTTAACCTCAAAATTGACTTAAGGGGTGGTTTGTGATCGCCTGGTAGATGGTGGACGGTTACAGCTTTTAGAAAGTGAGTAAAAGAGATGATGCATACAGAAGCCCCACTGGGTTGCTTAGCTTCTGCACATGGAGAAAGAGGCTGCTTTTCTGCCTTCTAGGTGTTTAGTAACTTAATTTTTAATCCTTTGATGAAATAGAGTGGAAAATAAAAGGAGATTTTCTTTTAACAAAATAGTGTTAAGATGCTTGCCAAGTATCCCCCTGTGAATTTCTGCTTAGCACTGTGATATCAGAATTAGAAATTGTGCAGGGTTCTAATCTGGAGATATGGGATGTTCAGTAGCTAAGAAGGAAGTTATTCCTTGAAAGTAAGTACAGTGAGGTAGAAAAGGATCCATTGGGATTGGGAGAATAAAAGTTCATTATTTTTATTTATTAAAAAAAACAAAACAAAACAAAGAAATGAGGTTTTGGCTGGGTGCAGTGGCTCACGCCTGTAATCCCGGCACTTTGGGAGGCCAAGGTGGGCAGATCACGAGGTCAGGAGATTGAGACCAGCTTGGCCAACATGGTGAAACCCCATCTCTACTAAAAATACAAAAAATTAGCCAGGCGAGGTGGCAAGTGCCTGTATTTCCAGCTATTCAGGAGGCTGAGGCAGGAGAATTGCTTGAACCCAGAAGGCGGAGCTTGCAGTGAGCCAAGATCGCTCCACTGCAGTCCAGCCTGGGCAACAGAGTGAGACTTCATCTCAAAAAAAAAAAAAAAAAAAAAAAAAAAAAAAAAAAAAAAAGAAAGAAAGAAAAAAGAAAAAAAAAAGAAGAAACGAGCTTCTACCCTAGATGGATCTTGGACTCTGGAGTTCAGAGAGCTTGCCATTTCAGACCAGAAACTTCCTTAAAGAACCAAGAGAAGTAATTTTCTCCCTGCTAAATTTCAGCTGAGGTGATTGAGATCTTTTCCTCATTTGTCATTATATTTGTCATTTGTCCTTATGTTTGTAGTTAAATAGCTTGGATTAAGTTTCAGAATTTGTCGGTCTCTAATGGAAAAAGTGACCACCAGCACATCACCAGCAATCATCAGCCACTTGTAGTGGAATCTTTTAGTGAAAGCTTGCAGGACTTTTGCAACCTGGGTGAGGAAGCAGTTAGAAGAAAGTAAGAAACGCAAAAGAACTTGAGCCTTAACCTTCTGATCTGAAATCAGACTTAGGTCACAGAATTCAATGGTTTCTGACTATTTTATTTAAACTGGAAATCGGCGGGATGGCAAGGAATACTACTTGCTTCTATAGTGTGTGATCCACATTAGTGATTTGTGGAACTAATTAGGACAGGGGGATAATTCTAAGCAACAAAGAACTGTAAGTGAATGAACACGAATTATCTCCCTGTATGAGAGAGAAATGCAGAGGCCAACACAATTCCCTTGAATAGGTGGGGAATATCATGGAGAACTTCCTAAGGTGGCTCATAGGAAAAAAAAGAGTGGAAATACTGGAAGTTGAACGCAGGACCTCACGCATGCTAACCACGTGCTCTGTCCCTGAGCTATACCCCCGCAGGAGATCAGGAGCTTGGGAAAATGTTTTGGTGATCTCCGTTGCCTGAGTCTGTGCTCTGTGTCATCAAGACAATCACTGTATGTTTCCAATTCCACTGTTTATGAATTCCCGACACTAAGCGCCCTCTCTCTCTCTCTCTCTCTCTCTCTCTCTCTCTCTCTCTCTCTCTCTCTCTCTCTCGGGCATGGCTACACCAGGAGAAAGATATCTTGTGGTAAAAACAAAGGCATTGTTCCTGATGTTCCTGATTTGTGGTCAGTCCAAGATCAACTCACCCCAAAGTGGTCTCCCCATCATATTAGACTTTCTGGAGCATAATTCCATTCTATCCCTTGAGTGACCTCCGGCATACAACATTCTCTTGCAAATTTTCTGATTATAACTTTTTTCTTTTGACTCTGGGAAGCATCTTAGTGTTTCCCATAGTCAAAAAATAAAACTCAGGTATGTGTGAAAATACCCTAAAATTCAGTACAAATAGAGGCAAATTAACTGCATTTCAAAAGAATAACATAACCACATTGAAGAGGAAAGAACTGATATAAGAAAATGGTTTACACAGATTGTTGTTCTAATTGTGAGATCAAAAAGAACATCGAACAAATCTTAAACTCTATGTATCAGGATTATTTTTTGTAGAGTGAGGGCTGTAGCAATTCTGATATTTTGTGTGAATTTTAGGATTGGGAAATCGAGTGTCTGTTGTTGGAAACAGACTCTCACTGTGGGAGAAGAAGGAAGGTAAAGAATAGTCCTGTTGATACTGATGGGAATTAGAGGCATCAGTATGAAATTGTACATATGAAATTGTAAAATTTCCCCACAGATCTATCTGCTAACTGGGCCTAGAAGAAATGATACCTCAGAAGCAATGAGCAAAGATAACTCTGTATCTTGATTTTCAAATACCATTCCCTACTAAAAGGAACCAGAGATACTAATAGAAAGTAGCTATTAGTGTCAACTACACAGACTCCAGGACTGTGCCAGGGAAACTGCAAAATGAACCTAAGATATCTTGCCTTGCCAGAATGTAAGTGCTCAGAAATGACGGGGGTGATTTAAAAGGACACAGAAGCCAGCTTGAAGGGAATCTCACTGGCCAAATCTGACACACTTTTAGCATCAGTGATGACAATAACTGATTATCATTCTTGGGAACTTAAACAAATAAATATGGAGGACGGGACGATTTTCCTTACAGTGGTTTGCCAAATGATAAATGTGAAAGTGAGTGCCGGGCGCAGTGGCTCACGCCTTTAATCCCAGCACTTTGGGAGGCTGAGGCGGGTGGATCACGAGGTCAGGAGATCGACACTATCCTGGCTAACACGGTGAAGCCCCCTCTCCACTAAAAATACAAAACCTTGGCCGGGCGTGGTGGCGGGTGCCTGTAGTCCCAGCTACTCGGGAGGCTGAGGCAGGAGAATGGCGTGAACCCGGGAGGCGGAGCTTGCAGTGAGCCAAGATTGCGCCACTGCACTCCAGCCTGGGCGACAGAGCGAGACTCCGTCTCAAAAAAATGAACAAAGAAACAAAGTGAGGATAAAATTTAAAAATCCCCATTTAAACAATACCATCAGAATGATGATAGATGCAGGCAAAATTTGTAAGTTAATGTTAAAGTATAGGTAAAAATTTGATGAGGATCAGGATATTTACGTAGTCTCAGAGTATTTCCCTGTAGATTATTTATTAATTACAATGAGGAAAATGATAATTTTTCAGGGAAGAAACAGTAATTACAAACTTAAAATCAAGTGATCAAGCTAACTTCAGTCAGCTCATGCCTCTTGGTGTGAGAGAGGGTAATAACGTGATTTCTGTGACATTTCTCCCAAATTCCATAACCCGATGTAATCTTATCATGGCTAATACAGATTAAGAAACGTTGCACAAAACCACTGGAAAAACTCTTCAAAAACATGTCGGTGTTGTGAAAGACAAGAAGATTAAGAAACTGTTCCAAATTAAAGGGCACTAAAGAGTCAAGACAACTAGATTCATATGTGATTCTGAAATGGATCCTAGCTTGGAAGAGAAATTTCTATAAAAGTTTTTATTGGTACAATTAGACAATTTTTAATAGACTTTATATTAGACTATATTCACATTTATCAATGTCAAATTTACTGAACTTGATAATTGTGTTGTGTTAAGGAATTGACCTTTTTCTTAAGAAATACACATTGAAGTATTTAAGAATAAAAAGATATGATGTCTGAAAATCATTATCAAATAGTTTAGAGAAATAATCTTTGTCTGATATATATATATAATACATACTACATATATATGATATGTATTCCAGTATTGTTGATTTGTCATTGAGGAAAAGATGTTTTGAAATTATCCCAAGATTTGAACAATATATGCTTCTCAGATGGTCCCACTTTATTTTAAATGTTGCAAGGCAGAGACAAAGGTACAAATTTCTCAATTTGTATTAGAATTTAGAAGGTGTTTTATTCTATTTTCCTTGTCACACTCCTTGCTTGTGAGTCAATCAACTAAGGACATCTGAAAGAGACAGAGTTTCTTTCTCAGAGTCAGGAGGTAATGAGGGGCTGCTCTGGTAGGGAAAGAAATAGTGAAGTTCTTTTTTGGAGAAAAGCAGCAAAAAAAAAAGAGAGTGACAGGAGAAAAAGAAAGAAAGAATGGAAGGAAGGGAAGGAGGAAAAGAAACAGTAAAGTTGACAAACAGAACTCCCTTCCCTCTTTATTAGTCTTCAGGAAATATAGAGTTTGAAACTATCATAGCCCAGGAAACCCTTTAAATAGGGCCATCAGTAGGCCAGAAATTTTGATTAGTGCCTTGAAAATAAAAGCATAGCCGGGCGCGGTGGCTCACGCCTGTAGTCCCAGCACTTTGGGAGGCCGAGGCGGGCGGATCACGAGGTCAGGAGATCGAGACCATCCTGGCTAACACAGTGAAACCCCGTCTCTGCTAGAAATGCAAAAAATTAGCCTGGCGTGGTGGCGGGCGCCTGTGGTCCCAGCTGCTCGAGGAGGCTGAGGCAGAGAATGGCGTGAACCCGAGAGGCGGAGCTTGCAGTGAGCTGAGATCGCGCCACTGCACTCCAGCCTGGGAGAGAGAGCGAGACTACGTCTTAAAAAAAAAAAAAGAAAAAAGAAAGAAAGTAAAAGCAGAAGTGATTAGACGGACAGGAAACAGCAGAGGAAATGGCTGCTGTTTCACTACAGTTAAAATGTCTTACACATCTGTGAACTATTTGTCCTCTTCTCAGAGGAGGGACACTTTTTTAGGTACTAAAAAAGAATTGTCTGGCACTTCATGGCAGCAACATGTTTGATGTTAACTGACATTTCCAGACATCCAGGTATGATTTTTATTTAGCGACTTTAAAAGAAGGATGAGAAAAAAAACAAAAAAACAAAAACAAACCATGAGCCAGGCGTGGTGGCCTGCATCTATAGTCCCAGCTACACCTACTCAGGAGGCTGAAGAGGAGGCAGGAAAACAGCTTGAGGTCAGGAGTTGGAAGCCCCAGTGCTCTACGATTGCCCTGGTGAATAGCCACTGCACTCTAGTCTGGTCATCAAAACAAGATCCCGTCTATTAAAAATAGAAAGAAAATAAAGGAAGAAAGAAAAGAAAGGAAGGAAGAAAGAAGGAAGGAGCGAGAGAGAAAGAAAGGAAGGAGAGAGGGCAAAAGGAAGAAAGGAATGGAGGGAGGGAGAGATTGACAGAACAGATTAGAAAACATAATCCAACTATACACTATCTAAAAGAAACTCATTTCAAATATAATTATATAAGCAGGCTGAAATTAAGGGGATAAAATATATTACATGCAAAAGTTAATCAAAAGAAAGCAAAAGTGACTATATTAATATAAACTTAAGAACAAAGAAAATCCACCAAGAAGGCATAACAATCCTAAATATGTATACACCAAACAGCAGAGCTGCAACATGTAAAAAAAAAAAAAAAAAAAAAAAACAGGACCGGGCGCGCTGGCTCACGACTGTAATCCCAGCACTTTGGAAGGCCGAGGCGGGCGGATCACAAAGTCAGGAGATTGAGACCATCCTGACCAACATGGTGAAACCCCATCTCTACTAAAAAAAAAAAAAAAAAAAAAAAAAAAAGCTGGGCGTGGTCGTGCGCCCTGTAGTCCCAGCTACTCGGGAGGCTGAAGCAGGAGAATTGCTTGAACCTGGGAGGCGGAGGTTGCAGTGAGCCAAGATCGTGCCACTGCACTCCAGCCTGGGCAACAAAGTAAGGCTCTGTCTCAAAACAAAACAAAACAAAACACCCAGACAGGGCGCAGTGGCTCACGCCTGTAATCCCAGCACTTTGGGAGGCCGAGGTGGGCGGATCACCTGAGGCCAGGAGTTGGAAAGTAGCCTGGCCAACATGGTGAAACCCGTCTCTACTAAAAATACATACATTAGCCGGGCATGGTGGTGCAGTGGCGTGCACCTGCAGTCCCAGCTACTAGGGAGGCTGAGGCTCGAGAATTGCTTGAACCCGGGAGGTGGAGGTTGCAGTGAGCCGAGATGGTGCCACTACACTCCAGCCTGGGTGACAGAGCGAGACTCTGACTCATAAATAAATAAATAAATAAATGTAATACATAAATAAATATTTTAAAAAACAAAAAAGATAGAATTAAAAAAATCGACAAATGCAGTTACATTAGAGACTTCACTTCTCTCTCTCTCTTTTTTGTGAATTTGTTCTTATTGGGGAAGACGGCACAGGGTGGGAAATGTCGCCTTGGGCTATGGTATGCCCCACCTCCCAGAGAATGTCCATTTGCATTCTAATCTTCCTGGGATGCTTTATGGAACTTTTTCTTCTTCTTGGAGCTGCTCTTGCCAGCCGCCTCTTCAGGCCCACTGCTGACCAGCTCCTCTTTGGAGAATTTCCTCGTTTTCTTGGAGCCACTTCTGTGGCCTGACTCTTCGGTGTCATTAACTGTTTCCTCCTTGGGTGAAGACTTCTTCCTCTTGGGAAGACTGGTGCTGCCAGCGGTCTCTTCAAGATCGCTACTCATCAACTCCTCCTTGGAAAAAGATTTCTTTTTCTTGGGTTTGGAGAAAGAGATAGATGGGTCTTCCATTCCATTCTCCTGATGAATCTCCTGGGGCTTTTGCTTTTTCTTCTTTTTGGGTTTTTCAATCGTCTCCTCACACGCTCTGTCGCCCAGTCTGGAGTGCAGTAGCGCAATCTTGGCTCACTGCAAGCTCCGCCTCCCGGGTTCACGCCATTCTCCTGCCTCAGCCTCTGCGTAGCTGGGACTACAGGCGCCCGCCACCACGCCCGGCTAATTTTTTGTATTTTTAGTAGAGACGGCGTTTCACCATGTTAGGCAGGGTGGTGTCCATCTCCTGACCTGGTGATCCACCCGCCTCGGCCTCCCAAAATGCTGGGATTACAGACGTGAGCCACCACGCCCGCGCCATTTCTCTCATAATAACAGAAAAACTACACAGAAAATCTGCAAGGATATTGAAGAACCCCAAATCATCTTCAGGCAACAGAATTCAGTCACCATGTATAGAACAGTCCACACAAGAAAAGCAGAACACGCATTCATTTCAAATTCATACGTAACGTAGATCAAGATAGAACATACCTCATACCTTGGGCCTCAACAAATTTAAAAGAATTGACTGACATAGTATGATCCCTAACCACAATGAAATCAAACTAAAAATCAGTCACAGAAAGACAACAAAAATATCCAAACACTTGGAAAATGAACAACACACTACTAAATATTCCATAGGACAAAGAGAAAGCCTTAGTAGAGATCAAAAAAATAAATTAACCTGAATAAAAATGAAAACACAATGTATCAAAATTTCCAAGACAACTTAATCTCTGAGAGAGAAATTTACAGCACTAAGTGCATACATTAGAAAAGAAAAAAGTCGGCCAGGCGCGTGGCTCACGCCTGTAATCCCAGCACTTTGGGAGGCCGAGGCGCGTGGATTACAAGGTCAGGAGTTGGAGACCAGCCCGGCCAAAAAAAAAAAAAAAAAAAAAAAAAAAAAAAAAAAAAAAAGAAAGAAAAGAAAAAAGTCTCAAATCAGTCCTTTAAGCTCTTACTTGAAGAACTCAGGTGGGGGAAAATAACCCAAAGCAAATAGAAGAAAGGAAATGAGCAGAAATAAACGGAACTGAACACACACGCACAAAATAGAAAAACAAACAAAAAGCTAGTTCCTTTAAAAGATCAATAAAAGAAGACCTCTAGGAGGACTGATAATTTTTTAAGAAGAGAGATGACACAAATTGCCAATATCAAGAATAAAAAGAAGAGTATATCACTATAGACTCTGCTGACATCAAAAGGGTAAATGAATACTATGAACAACACTTTACACACAAATTTGAAAACTTAGATGAGATGGACTAATTCCTTGAAAATCACAAACTATCACAACTCACTCAATATGAAATATATTTTTCTATAACCTTGTAACTACTAAGGAAATTAAATTTGTGATATAAAAACTTTAAAAAAAAAACAGACTCTTCAGGTTCAAGAAAGTTTCACTGTATAATTCGTCGCCCCCGCCCTCCACCCCCTCCCCCAGAAGGAGTCTTGCTGTGTTGCCCAGGCT
This sequence comes from Homo sapiens, assembly GCF_000001405.40. NCBI lineage: Eukaryota > Metazoa > Chordata > Mammalia > Primates > Hominidae > Homo > Homo sapiens. The sequence goes on from NC_000006.12 coordinate 28,785,443, forward strand.
GGAATGCAGTAGTGCAATCTGGGCTCACTGCAACCTCCACCTTCCAGGTTCAAGCGATTCTCCTGCCTCAGCCTCCCAGGTAGCTAGGATTACAGGCACGTGCCAGCACGCCCGGCTAATTTTTGTATTTTTAGTAGAGATGGGGTTTCACCATGTTGGCCAGGCTGGTTTCCAACTCCTGGCCTCAGGTGATCCGCCTGCCCCGGCCTCTCAAAGTGCTGGGATTGCAGGCATGAGCCACCGCCTATGCCAATGTAGGCATATCTTAAAAGGATACATGACCTGGGGATACTTTGAGTATTCAGATTAATTAATTTTTAAAGTGTTTTTTAAATTCTCCCTTCTTACATCTTCTTTTCCTTCTGCCTTCAAGGGCTGTCACACGAAGAGTAGCGTAGGTGGATAAAAAAACAGAATGGTCAGTACCGCCTGGGGGATTTAGGTCCAGGTGAGGAGGTGAGAAGGTGGAATTCCCAGCTCTTAGAAATGAAGACCCAGGAAGTGGGTCGCTGCCTGTCCTTACCCTCGCCAGCCCCTGGGCCGGCACCGTGGCTGAAACCCAGCATGGATTTCATCTTGGGGACGTTGTGGCTCCAGTTTTGAGACTCAAGTAACGATGGATGGAGAGGAGAACAAGGACCACCTGAGCTCGACCACAAGAGCTCGAGGAGGGAAGCAGGGACGCGGTGGGGTGCGCACCTGCGGCTGCGGCAGCAAAGGCGGAGGAGGAGCGAAGTGGACGAGCACCCGAGGCTGCCAGAGGATCTGGGCAGCCTGGGTGCCCATCTCTGCTGCGTTTCCTCGGTGTCCACGATAGGTGAGAGGGCTCATTCCCTGTAGGAGAAGTGAGCTGAAAACACTTTCCCCGCAAGATCTCCCTCGTTTTACTCAAGGTAGTCGCGGCGTTGAGAACGCCTCGCAGCTCCTTTACTGGCTGGGGTACTGGGGAGCAGGGGTACCCTTGAGTTTTGGTACAGGCGGGTGGTATTGGTGGCTTCCGAGGAAAGGACAGAGAAGCCGCCTATTTCCAATCCCTACTGTTCGTCAGGGGGAGAGTGTTGAACCAGGTCTCTCTAGACCCTCCTGCTTAAGCCCCTTTGTTATAGGTAGGAGAGTGTGTTCTGTTTTGGTATTTGAGTGTGTGTGTGTGTGTTTAGCTTCTTGAGCTTGGAATATGTCATGAAATACAAGAAAGATCAGGGAGTCTCAGTATATTTTAAACTTAAATTGGTTTTCAGAAGTACTTATACCTTGTTCCTAAGGAATTCAGGGTGTCCAGATTTCAACCTGCCTAGCAGTGCGAAGCTCTATGAGTCGAATATCCTAGGCTTTCTTCCATATCAGCAAGCCTCTGAAATTTAGGTTTCTTTCTGGAGAATATCACCCACACTTTGGCAGTGGGCTCCTACATTGCCTACATCCAACTCTTGGAAGCAAGAAGAGTGGGCAAAACCAAGGTCACCACACAAAAGTATATCCCTACACGAGATAAGTGGAAATAAAGCACTGGCTTAGGTGTGGAGAGGAAGAGACAAATGTGAAAACGCAGAAGGTAGACAGACAGAGAACATCTTCCAAGGAGGAAGAGTCTCCTAACCACAAGGAACTCTCTACTTAATGCTGCGAAGATATTTTAATTACATTTTATGCATTAGATTGCTTTTTTTGTTTGTTTTTGTTTTTTGTTTTTGATGGAGTCTCGTTGTGTCACCAAGCTTGAGTGCAGTGGTGCCATCTCGGCTCACTGCAATCTCCGCTTCCCAGGTTCAAGGGATTCTCCTGCCTCAGCCTCCCCGTAGCTGGGACTACAGGCATGGCCATCATGCCCAGCTAATTTTTTATTCTCCTGCCTCAGCCTCCCCGGCCACCATGCCCAGCTAATTTTTGTATTTTTGGTAGAGACGGGTTTCACCATGTTGGCCAGGAATGTCTCGATCTCTTGACCTCGTGATTCACCCGACTTGGCCTCCCAAAGTGCTGGGATTACAAGCATGAGCCACCGCCCCCAGCCACATAGACTGGGTTTTTAACAACTGGATCTTAGACCAGAATATTGGCAGAATTGGTGGGGGCTTGACAGAGAGCAGGGTGAATTCCAACCCTGAGGGTGGAGCAAGAATGATTACAGTGTCTTCCTCAGAGCTTAGAAACTTCCAAGCTCTAAGGAAAGGCCTTAGGTTTCAAATTGAAAGGCCAAAATAGCTTGAGATGGCTCCAGGTATTTTGGCTGGAAAGAGTCTCCTGGCTCTAAAGAACCCCTGTGAGTTCTTCTACAGGAAAATCAGAGGCTCTTGTGTGTGATCTCTAGTCATCTAAAATATTGAAGGTCTCAAAGAGGTAATAAATCCACTCTCATCCTGATGTAATGCAAATACGTCACTGGCTTTCCTACGTGGTTTGAGTTTTTTATTGAAAATAGGCAGGGAACCCCGGGAGCAACTCTTTCTCCTTAGCAAGCATCTGGCCCTGAACTCCTTCTGAAACTTCTAGAGCAGTGCTTCTCAAACTTTAGCATCAGAGTCACTTGAGGGCTTATTCAACACAGGTGGCTGGGTCCCACTCTCATCAATTCTGATTCTGTAGATCTGAGGTTGGGCCTGGAATTTGACATTCCACTAGTAGCACCCTAATCCCTCATGCCTTGCTCTCCTGTGCAGCATCCTTTGTGGCAAACATGACACTATTTCCTTAAAGTGCCTGGAGAGAACCAGTAGATAGTAGGGGGGAAATATTAAGAAATGAAAAGAAAATATATGGCATCTCTTCGTTACCTGTCTCCAAAAAATGCATCTTGAAACAAACATATGATTGGCCTGGGGGCACACAGCCAATCCTCAGCTAAGCAGGTTTCACCAGACAGTATCCCTCCTGGATACTGGTTATGGATATTTTCACCGGATAAAAGAATCAAGAAGTGAGGACATCCCAGCCTGATAGAGTGTTAGACTGGTGGATGGTGACAAACATCATACTCTGTTGCCTCTCAAAGATGCTTTGATTCAACAGCAAACATGTACAGAGGACAGCAATTTTGAAACATACAACATTGGAAACCCCTAAAAGGTATCATCAGTGAATAGGATTTCCTGGGAGTTCCCTGGTCATGCAATGCAATTGTGATGGGATTGACAGAGAAAGAACAAAAAAAATTTGTTTTCTTTTGTTTTTACCTGAGGAAGTGCTCAACACACCTGCGATCCACTCACCTTTTACTTTGCGTCTATTTTCCATTGTGACAGAAAAACTTTTCCTACTTTTTCACATGAGTCCTCCGTTGGCTGTTAACAGAGGTTTCCAGGCAATGTTTTATTTTAACAAGGAAAATGGAATGGCTGAGGAAATACAGGAAAATGAATCAATTGTATCAGTAGGGAATGTTGATCCGTATTGGTTTCTGCTCCTCTCATGTTGAAGGTCTCTTATTCCCTGACAGTCTTTGTTCGGTCATCCAGCGTCCTTCCACTCCCATCTCAAGCGGCTGGAGAGCCACAGCAGTCCTTGTCTCAGTATTGGATTACACTTGTGGCTGTGCTTTCTGCGCAGGTTGACAGGGAGAGACTGGAGGAGAAATCAGTGGACAGATGCTTTCGCTCTGTTCTTTGGCCCAGAAAACAAAACTAAAGTAAAAAAAAACAAAAAACAAACAAACAAAAAAGATGATGCTGGGAGCGGTGGCTCACGCCTGTAATCCCAGCACTTTGGGAAACTGTGGCGGGTGGATCACCTGAGGTCTGGGGTTCGAGACCAGTGTGGCCAACATGGTGAAACCCCGTCTCTACTAAAAATACAAAAATTACCCGGGCCTGATGGCACGCACCTGTAAACCCACCTGCCGAGGCAGAAGAATCGCTTGAACCCGGGAGGCAGCGGTTGTAATGAGCCAAGATTAAGCCACTGCACTCCAGCCTGGGCTACAGAGCGAGACTCTGTCTCCAAAAAAAAAAAAAAAAAAAAAAAAAGAATGGCCGCGGGGCGCTTTTCTCCCTTCTTCTTTGTCTTTCCTTCTCTTTAATCATAGCACAAAATGAGAGCAAATGTGAACCTCCCGTGGATGTGCACACTTTTGTTTGGGTTCAAGAGACCCTGTTGGGATCCCATTCTTCTTTCTTCCTCATTTCTTTTTCACCTTCCTTCTGCCGTCACAATCGCCTTCAGTGATGTCGAAGCTCACGGCATAGAAATGGGTTATAAATGGAGGCAACCCATTGGGTTACGTCTTTACTCTCTATATGTGCAGAAATAGGACAGAAAAAGGTGCGGAGGCAGAAGTAAGTCTATGTTGCTTGAGAATTAGGTTTGAGCACTACCAGAGCAAAAAGTCACCGTTTGGAGGTGCCGGGGATCGAACCCGGGACCTCATACATGCAAAGCATGCGCTCTACCACTGAGCTACACCCCCTTCCTGAAAAAAATCCTTCTTGTAATAATTTCCAGGAGGTAACTTTCTTTTTCTGAGTATTGTGGAGCGTCTGCAGCTGCTGTGAGTAGAAGATACTAGGTACTAACGGGGGATACAAATTATTTAGAATACAGTATACGACTTGAAATGGAAGGCGCCTGTAATCCCAGCTACTGGGGAGGCTGAGCCAGGAGAATCCTTGAACCCGGGAGGCGGAGATTGCACTGAGCCGACATCGCGCCACTGCACTCCAGCCTGGGCATCGGAGCGAAACTCAATCTCAAAAAAAAAAAAAATCACTTCCTAGGTTTCAGACTGTAAATAATTTATTTAATGTCAGCGCTTCATGGAAGACTTCACTGGAATATGCAACCAAAGCAGAGAGTGATGCATATATATATATATGCGTGTGTGTGTGTGTGTGTGTGTGTGTGTGTATTACCTTTATCGGATTTTCAACAGCAAAAAATTGGAGTTCTATACACCTTTCTGGGATTGGCATGCAAGTGTTGTATAAGGGTTGTATCAGCCGAGCGCTGTGTCTTACGCCTGTAATCCCAGCACTTTGGGAGGCCGAGGCGGGCCGATCACCTGAGGTCGGGAGTTCGAGACCAGCCTGACCAACATGGAGAAACTCCGTCTCTACTAAAAATACAAAATTAGCCAGGCGTGGTGGCGCATGCCTGTAATCCCAGCTACTCGGGAGGCTGAGGCAGGAGAATCGCTTGAACTCAGGAGGCGGAGGTTGCGGTGAGCCGAGTTCGCTCCATTGCACTCAGCCTGGGCAACAAGAGTGAAACTCCGTCAAAAAATAAATAAATAAACAAAATAAGGGTTCTATTAGGCAAAACTGAAAGAAAGAAAGAAAAAAAAAAAACCCTGCCGAAACCCGGGATCGAACCAGGGACCTTTAGATCTTCAGTCTAACGCTCTCCCAACTGAGCTATTTCGGCTTCCCGAATTTGTTGTTTTAGGTGTTTCTTCAAAATATAAAAACTCATTTGTAGGGTCAGTATATCTTCCAATTCTGTTGTCTTCAATATCACCTGTCATTCACTCACCCCTTCACCCCCAAAATATAGATTCTTCCCCAATTTATGTCTGAAAACAGGACCCAATTTTAAGGACAATGAATGGGTTAGCAAAAGCCAGGGAAAGAAAAGGCAAAAATGAAGAATAGAGCAAAGTAAGAACATGCTCCCCTACATGGTCACTGCTCAGAATACCAAGGGAATTCAAAAGAAAATTTTCTAGGCTTTTCCTTTTCTCTGGGCTCTTGTTTTTCTGTCTTGCTCTTCAACGATATGGCAAAAAGGAACAGAGGATTATTGGGCACGTTAATGTGGTGGCAGGTTTATAGCTTCTGACTAAGGAAATCCTGAGCGAGAAAATTCATTTTCGCTATTCCCTTCCTTTCACTCGTCTTGTGCTGACACATCCACCTTGGGTGGTACAGAGACCCAGGGAGTGGAAATGGAAAGTATAATATGTTTATTTTAGTGTGACCACGCAAGGCATGTTTTTAAAAGGAGAAAAGTACAGAGTGGCGAGAATTGTGAAAAACAGATGAACATGTATGCTTTTGAACTCTGTGCAAGGCAAGGACACACTACCACTGAGCCACACCTCTCTCGCTACAGAAACATCGTGAAGATCTTTTTTGACGCATTAGTCATATTTCTGAGAGGTCTTCAAAAATATGGTAAGTTGGCCGGATAGAAAATCCACTGTCTCATATCTCACTATTTCTTACCTCTAAACTATATCCCCTGAAGCTGCTAGGAGAAATGTAAGAGAATCACAGACCAGAACACAGTTTCTGCTTTTGGAACATTTCATCCCATCAGTTTATTCTGAGGTTTCCTCTCCAGCAAACTGCCTGGGGGCATTTTCTCCCACAGCCAACAGGTAAGATGTCCAGATGGAACTTCCTCTGGGGTCTTCAACCTGTCTGTCTCCATTTCTTCTCTTTCATCTGCTTACAAAGTTTTTCAAGCCCCATCCTCCTTAAGAAAAGATGATGAGCCACAGTCTAGGAGAAGATATTCCAATACTTATATTTTACTAAGGATCTTTATCTGGAATATGTTAAGAACTTCTACAAAGCACTAAGAAAAAGACTAAAACTTCAATAAGAAAGAGCAAATTAATATGAACTTCACAAAAAATCGCTATTGAGTAAAATAAAATATGCTCGACATCTTTTGCTATAAAGGAAATGCAAATTAAAAACACAACAATGCTGGACACAGTGGCTCACGCCTATACTCCCAGCAGTTTGGGAGGTCGAGGCGGGTGGATCACTTGAGGTTAGGAGTTCAAGACCAGCTGGCCAACATGGCGAAACCCGGTCTCTACTACAAATACAAAAATTTAGACGGCCACATGCCCCTGTAGTCCCAACTACTCAGGAGGCTGAGGCATGAGAATCTCTTGATCCTGGGAGGCAAAGGCTACAGTGAGCCAAGATTGTGCCGCTGCACTCCAGCCTGGGCAGCACAGCAAGACACTGTCGAAAAAAAAAACACAAAATAATATTGCTCTTCATTGGAATCATTTAACCCAAAAAGTGGATAATATCAAGTGTTGCTGAGTATGTGAAGCAATTGGAACGTGCATACATGGCTGATGAGACTGTAAACTGCTATATCTACACTGGGAAACTATCTGAAAATATCAACTAAATATATATATATATATATATATATATATATATATATATATATATATATGCTATGACCCCAAAACTAGACGGTTACATTTATACCCAAGAGAAGTGCATGAGCATCTCCCTTGAAGGACATGTATCAGAATGTTTACAGCAGCATTAGACATTTCAACCAAAAACGAGGGGTGCTGCAAATGTACTTGGACAGTAAAATGAATTAATAAATCATGATGTACAGTATTCAGACAATAGAATACTCGAGAGCAACAGAAAATAACTACTGTTACTAGCAACAATATATAGAAAATGAAGGCTGGGCACGGAGGCTCACGCCTGTAATCCCAGCACTTTGGAAAGCTGAGGCGGGCAGATCACGAAGTCAGGAGATCGAGACCATCCTGGCTAAAACAGTGAAACCCTGTCTCTACTAAAAATACAAAAAATTAGCTGGGCGTGGTGGATGGCACCTGTAGTCCCAGCTACTCGGGAGGCTGAGGCAGGAGAATGGCGTGAACCTGGTAGGCAGAGCTTGCAGTAAGCCAAGATCGCGCCACTGCACTCCAGCCTGGGCGACAGAGCAAGTCTCCACCTTGAAAAAAAAAAAAAGAAGAAAAAAGAAAAGAAAATGAATCTAATTTTTTTAACAAAAATTAAGTGAAAGAATCCATACTCAAATGAGTACAGATTTGCTGTGGTTTGAAAGTGTCCCCTCCAAAGCTTAGGTGTCACCATGTGATAATTATCAAGACATAGGGCCTTTAAGAAGATTAAGCCATGAGGGTTCCTTCCTCATGAATAATATTAGGTACCCTTATAATAAGAGTTGACAAAGGAAGTTCATCTCTCTATTGCCTTCAGTTTTCTGCCATGTGAGAACACAACAAAAAGGCCATCACCAGACATGAGAGCCAGTGACTTGATCTTGAACTTCCCAGCCTCCAGAACTGTGAGAAAATGTTTCTGGGCCTGGTGCAGTGGCTGTCTCCTGTAATCCCAGGGTTTTGGGAGGCCAAGGTGGATGGATCACCTGAGGTCAGGAGTTCGAGACCAGCCTGGCAAACATGGTGAAACCCCATCTCTACTAAAAATACAGAAAAATTAGCTGGGCGTGGTAGCATTCGCCTGTAATCCCAGCTACCCAGGAAGCTGAGACAGGAGAATTGCTTGAATCCGGGAGGCAGAGGTTGCAGTGAGCCAAGACTGAGCCACTGCACTCCAACCTGGGCAACAAGAGTGAAACTCTGTCAGGAAGTGAAGGGAAGGGAAGGGAAGGGAAGGGAAGGGTTCTGTTCGTTACAAATTACCAGTCTTGAGTGATTTTGTAGCAGCCCAAAATAGACTACGATGATATTATATGATCCCATTTATATTATTTAAAACATAAGAAAAATAATCTATGGAGGTGGAGGTCAGAGAGTTAGGATAATTGAAATGAGGCAAAAGGCAGCTGTTGGTTGCTGAAAAATTCAGTATCTTGGCCTGAATTTTGGTTATATATAATAAGCCGTAAGCTGAATAGGTTTCATGTGTTTTATTTTATATAAATGAAGGCTTAAATTTAAATACAAGAAAAAAAAAGGTTTTCCTAAGTACTTCCTATCCTCCAGTACATTCTCTCTCTTCCTTAGGGTTGTTTTGTTTTGTTTTGTTGAGACGGAGTCTCGCTCTGTCGCATCCTCATGATTATTAGGACTTGGATGGACGGGATGGTACAGTGAGTCTAAGCGCCACATCCCTCCGTCGCTTCCTCTGGATATGAGGGAAGAAAGGTACTTTTTTTGTCCTTAGGGAGGAAGACTCGACCAGGAAGGGGACCTGGTTCGTTTCGGCTTCAAGAGCGCCTCTCCGCTATTTCCGTCGCTCAGCAGACCGGCTGAACTCTTTGGAGGAGAGAGTGATACTGGGTTTTGGTTTGCCCTTCAGGAACCGCTGATACTGTAGCTTCTGAGGGAGCTGCAGGGATTTCCCGATTTCCTGCGTGCCTGTGTTAAAAGTTAGAAGCGGGATCTGCTGGCAGCTTCGAAACTGAGCATGACGGTGGAAACATCTAATTTTATTAGTTTTTGCTTGAAATGCAAAAGATGAGAAAGAAAGTTTCCGTTTGTTTGCTCCACATATTTCTCTTAGAATGAAGCCGATTGAAAGTTAACTTCACCCTGAAGAAACTCCTCCTGGCGTTTGCAACGATCTCCTGTATGTCTCACGTCCAGCTTGACTCAAAAGGACTCTAAAGAGCTGGAGAGCGGCTGCGGAAAGGCGGAGTCACGGTACAATCGGTGTTAACTACTTGTGCAACCACCGCCTCCTTAGTCCTATTAGAGGCGCAGAGGCAGTATAGCTGAATCCCTCACAAGTCGAGTGGGTTGACCTCAGATTGACTTTAGCGATGGCTTGTGACCACCTGATAGATAGTGGCCGTTACAGCGTTTAGAAAGTGAGTAAAAGAAAGGATGCATAGGGAAGCCCACAAGTTTGCTTGGCTTCTGCAGATGGAGAGAGGTCGCTTTTCTGCCTTCTGGATGTTTAGTAACTTATTTTTTATTTCCTTTGTTGGCATGAAATAGAGCTGAAAATAAAAGCAGATTTTCTTTTAACAAGATAGTATTAAGATGCTTGCAGAGTATTTCTCTGTGGATTTCTGCTTGGCACTGTGATACCACAAAGAGCTCTAATCTGGAGGTATGGGTTGTTCCCTAGCTTAGAAGGAGGTCAATCCTGGAGAGTAAGTACTGTGAGGTACAAAAGGATCCTTTGGGATTGGAAAAATAAACGTTCATTACTTTTATTTATGTAAAACAGCAAAATGAGCTTTCTCCTATACTGATCTTGGTCCCTGGAGTTCAGAGTGTTTGCATCTCAGACCAGAAGCTTCCTCAGAGGACCCAGAGAAGTGCTTTTTACTTCCACCAAATTTCAGCTGAGGTGAATGCTGTCTTTTCGTCATTTGTTGTGTGTTTGTAGTTAAGTAGTTTAAGTTTCAGAGTTTGTGGGTCTCCAATGGAAAAGGTTACCACCACACATCAAACCATCAACCCCTGGCAGTGTAATCTTTTAGTGAAAGCTTGTAGGGCTTCTGCAACCTGGTTAGGAGGAGTTAGAAAAAGAAACAGAAAAAGACTTGAGCCTTTTAGCTTCTGATCTGAAATCAGACTTGGGCCACACAGGTCTATGGTTTCTGATGATTTCATTTACAGCTAGAAATTGGCTGGATGGCCAGGAATACTACTTGCTTCCCCCGTGCGTGGTCCATGTTAATGATTGATGGGACTGCTTAGAAAGAATAGGCGGATAATCCTAGGCAGCAAATAACCTCAAGTGAATGAACACGCATCACCCTCTGTATGAGAGAGAAATGCAGAGGCCAACACAATTCACCTTGACAGACAGAAAAATTTAAAGTTGGGGAATATCATGGACCGCTTCTTACTGGTGTCCCGGGGAAGAAAACACGGCCTGGAGGTACTGGGGATCGAACCCAGGACCTCGTGCATGCTAAGCACGCGCTCTACCACTGAGCTATACCCCCTCTGGACTCAGGGCCTTCGGAAAACGCTTTGGTGACGGCCAATATGTGAGCCTGCCCTCTGTGTCAGGATAATCACTATATGTTTCCAATTCCATTGTTAATTCCCTACATGAAGCGCTTCCTCTTTTAGGCACGGCTGGGCCAAAAGAAGAGTAGCTTAGCCGGGTGCAGTGGCTTATGCCTGTAATCCCAGCACTTTGGGAGGCTGAGGCGGGTGGATCACGAGGTCAGGAGTTCAAGACCAGCCTGGGCAAGATAGTGAAACCCTGTCTCTACTAAAAATAGAAAAATTAGCCGGGCGTGGTGACAGGCGCCTGTAATCCCAGCTACTCTGAAGTAGAGAATTGCTTGAACCCGGGAGGCAGAGGTTGCAGTGAGCCGAGATCGGGCCACTGCACTCCAGCTTGAGCGACAGAGCGAGACTCCGTCTCAAAAAAAGAAAGAAAGAAGAAAGAGAGAGAGAGAGAGAGAGAGAGAGAGACAGAAACAAAGAAAGAAAGAGAGAAATAAAGAGAAAGAAAGAAAGAGAAAAGAAAGGAAAGTAGCTTAGTGGTAAAAATAAAGGCACTGTTCCTGATTTGTGGTCAACCCAAGATCAACTCACCCCAAGGTGGACTCTCCATCACGTTAGACTTCCTGGAGCATACTTGCATTCTATCATTTGAGTGTGTCCCGGTATACAACATTCTCTTGCAAATTTTCTGATTATAACTTTCTGTATTCTTTTGACTCTTGGAAGCATGTTGGTGTTTCACATAGTCAAAAAATAAAACTGACTCAAGTGCGTGTGAAAATACCTTAAAATTCAATACGAATAGAGGCAAATTCAAATGGCGTTGTCTATCGCTTCTCGGCCTTTTGGCTAAGATCAAGTGTAAAATTGCATTGTGAAACAATAACATACTCCTACTTGAAAAGGAAAGAACTGATCTATGAAAATGGTTTATACAGTTTGTTGTTCTAATTGTAAGATTAAAAAGAATTGCAAACAAATCTTGAACTCTGTATCAGGGTTATTTTTGTAGAGCTAGGGCTGTAAGAATTCTGAGATTTTGTGTGAATTTTAGGATTGGGAAAATGAGTGTGTGTGACCGGGTGTGTTGGAACCAGGCTGTCACTGTAAGAGAAAGAAGGTAAAGAATAGTCCTGTTGGTGTTGATGAGAATTGGAGGCGTCAGTATGAAATTATACATATGTAATTTTATAGGCTGGGCGCAGTGGCTCACGTTTGTAATCTCAACACTTTGGCAGGCCAAGACGGGCAGCTCACTTGAGGTCAGGAGTTCGAGAACAGCCTGGCCAACATGGTGAAACCCCCGTCTCTACTAAAAATACAAAAATTAGCCGGATGTGGTTGTGCGTGCCTGTAGTCCCAGCTACTCGGAAGTCTGAGGCAGGAGAATCGCTTGAACTCAGGAGGCAGACGTTGCAGTGAGCCAAGATCCTGCCACCGCACTCTGGCCTGGGTGACTTAGACTTTGTCTCAAAAAAAAAAAAAAGTAAAATTTCCCTGCAGATCTGTCTGCTAACTGGGCCTGGAAGAAATACCTCAGAAACAATAAGCAAAGATAACAATATTTTGATTCACAAATACCATTCCCTACTAAAAGGCACCAGAGATACTAATAGAAAGTAGCTACTAGTGTCAACTACACTGACTCCAGGACTCATGCCACTGCACTACAGCCTGGGCGACAAAGCGAGACTCTGTCTCAAATAAATAAATAAATATGGAAGATGGGAAGATTTTCTTTACAGTGGTATGCCAGCTAATAAATGTGGAAAGAAGGATAAAATTTGCAAATCCCCATTAGAAAATTAGAAAATCTGGACACCATCAGAATGCTGATAGGTGCAGGCAAAATTATAAGTCAATGCTAAAAGTATAGGTAAAATTTTGATGAGGATCAGGATATTTATATAGTCTCAGAGTATTTCTCTAGAGCTTACTTATTGATTACAATGAGGAAGATGATACTTTTGCAGGGAAGAAATAGTAGTTACAAACTTAACCAAATGATGAAAGCTAACTTCACTAATAATGGGGAAAATTGGCATCACATGCTTCTTGGTGTGATAGAGGATAATATGATTTTTTGTGACATTTCTTCCAATTTCCATAAACTTAATCTTACCATGAGTAGGACAAATTAAGAAATATTCCACAAACCACTGGCATATACTCTTCAAAAACATTATCAAAGTTGTGAAAGACACAATTGAGCAACTGTTCTAAATTAAAGGAGACTAAAGAGTCAAGACAATTAGATTCATATGTGTCTGTGAAATGGATCCTAGCTTGGGAGAGAAATTTCTATAAAAGATTGTATTGATACAATTAGTTAAATTTTTATAGATTGTATATTAGATAATGCTATTTTATCAATGTTAAGTTTACTGAATTTGATAATTGTGCTGTGTTAAGGAACTGATCTTGTTTTAAGAAATACACATTGATGAATTTAGGGATTAAAAAGATATAATGTCTGAAAATCATCAAATAGTTTAGAGAAATAATCTTTGAGATCTCTCTCTGTGTCTCTCTCCATATATATATATGGAGTGTATATATATATATATATATATATATATATATGGAGTATATATATATATATATATATGGAGTATATATATATATGGAGTATATATATATATGGAGTATATATATATATATGGAGTATATATATATATATGGAGTATATATATATATATGGAGTATATATATATATATGGAGTATATATATATATATGGAGTATATATATATATGGAGTATATATGTATATATATATGGAGTATATATATATATGGAGTATATATGTATATATATATGGAGTATATATATATATATGGAGTATATATATATATATATGGAGTATATATATATATATATTCCATTGTTGCTGATTGTTTGGTTGAAGAGGCAAGATGGTCTGAAATGATCCCAAGATGTGGACAATATGTGCTTCTCATGTGGTTCCCATTCCATTTTAAATGTTTCCAGGCAGAAACAAAGATACAAATTTCTCAATTTGTATTCAAATCTAACAGGTGTTTTATTCTATTTTCCTGTTCACACTCCCTGTTTGGGAGTCAATCAACTAAGGACATCTGAAGGAAACAGAATTTAATTCTCAGAGTCAGGAGGTGATGAGAGACTGCTTTGGTAGGGAAAGTAATAGTAAATTTGTTCTTTCTTGGTTAAATAAAGAAGAAAAAGAAAGAAGAGAGGGAGGCAGGGAAAGAAATAGAAGACATAACAATCCTAAATATGTATCCACCAAACAGGAGAGCTGCAACATATGTAAAGATAAAAAAACAGAACTTTAAAAAAAAATAGACAAATCCACAATTACTTTGGAGACTTCAAAACTTCTCTCATAATGATTGATAGAACAACTAAACAGAAAATCAGCAAGAATGTTGAAGAACTAGGCCGGGCGTGGTGGCTCACACCTGTAATCCCAGCACTTTGGGAGGCCGAGGCGGGCGAATCATGAGGTCAGGAGATCAAGACCACCCTGGCTAACACGGTGAAACCCCATCTCTACTAAAAAATACAAAAAAATTAGCCGGGCGTGGTGGCGGGTGCCTGTAGTCCCAGCTACTCTGGAGGCTGAGGCAGGAGAATGGCGTGAACCCGGGAGGCTGAGCTTGCAGTGAGCCGAGATCGCGCCACTGCACTCCAGCCTGGGCAACAGAGCAAGACTCTGCTTCAAAAAAAAAAAAGAGTGTTGAAGAACTCAAACATCTTCAGCCACCAGAATTCAGTTAACATTTATAAAACAGTCCACACAGGAAGAGCAGAACACACTAGTCAAATCCACACTGAATATAGGTAAAGGTAAAACATATCCTGGGCCATAAAACAAACCTCAACAAATTTAAAAGAATTAACTAATATGGTATAATCCCTGACCAAAATGAAATTAAAGTAAAAATCAGTCACAAAAAGACAGAAAAATGTCCAAACGCTTGGAAAATGAACAACACACTACTAAACAGTTCATACAACAAAGAGAAAACCTTAGTAGATATCAAAAAATAAGGTAGCATGAATAAAAATGAAAATACAATATATTAAAAATTCCAAGATATCCTAAAGGAGTGCTGAGAGAGAAATATACAGCACTAAGTGCATACATTAGAAAAGAAAAAAGTCCCAAATCAGTCCTCTAAGCTCTTACTTGTAGAAATCAGGTGGGAAAAAGAGCAAAATAACCCAAAGCAAATAGAAGAAAGGAAATAATAAAAAATAAAAGCAGAAATCAGTGAAATGGAACACACGCACACACACACACACAAAAATAGAAAAACAAACAAAAAGCTAGTTCCTTTCAAGGATCAATAAAAGAAGAACTCTAGCAAGATAGAAATTTTCAGCAGAGAGATGACACAGTTTACCAACATCAGGAATAAAAAGAGGACATCACTGTAGACTCAGCTGACATCAAAAGGATGAAGGAGGCTGGGAATGGTGGCCCACGCCTGTAATCCCAGCACTTTGGGAGGCCGAGGTGGGTAGATCACTTGAGGTCAGGAGTTTGAGACCAGCCTGACCAATATGTCAAAACCCCGTCTCTACTAAAAAACAAAAATTAGCTGGGCATGGTGGCAGGCGCCTGTGATCCCAGCTACTCAGGAGACTGAGGCAGGAGAATCGCTTGAACTCAATAGGCGGAGGTTGCAGTGAGCCAAGATTGCACCACTGCACTTCAGCCTGGGTGACAGAGCAAGACTCCCTCTCACAAAAACAGAACAAAACAAAACAAAAACAAACAAAAAAGAAATGGTAAATCCAACCCCACCCCTGACATAATGCAACTACAAACCCCACTGGCTGTCCTACGTGGTTTAAGTTTTTGATTGAGAATAGGCAAGGAACCCCAGGAAAAAATCTTCCCCCTCAGCAGCCACCTGATCCTGGGACCTCCTTCTTAAACTTCTAGAACAGTGCTTCTCAAACTTTAGCATCAGAGTCACTTGAGGGCTTATTCAAACACAAGAGGCTGAGCCCCATGCTCAGCAGTTCTGATTCAATAGATCTGAGGTTAGGCCTGGAATTTAGCATTCTGCTTGCAGCACCCTAATTCCCCACCCCTTGCTCTCCTGTGCAGTGTCCGCTGTGGCTGACATGCCGCTGTTTGCCTGGAGAGAACCAATAGATGCCAGGAAATTAAAAAAGAAAAAGTATGAAACACAAAGAAAATACATGACACGTGGGTATTACCTTCCTCCAAAAAATGTATCTCAAAACAAACATGTGATTGGCCTGGGGGCACACACACAGCCAGTCCTCAGCTAAGCAGGTTTCACTAGACCGTATCCCTCCTGGATGCTAGTTATAGATACTTTCACTGGACAAAAGAATCAAGAAGTAAAGACATGCCAGCCTGATAGAGTGTTAGGCTGGTGGACTGGGAATAAACATTGTAGTTTCTTGTCTCTCAAAGACACTTTAATTCAACAATAAATAAATAAATATGTACAGAGAGAACAGCAGTTTTGAAACTGTATACCATTGGAAACCTTTAACAGGTACCATGAGTGCATAGAATTTCTTGGGAGTTCCCTTTTCAAAAAAAGCAGTTGTAATCAGATGGATCGAGAAAGAACATGAAATGTTTGTTTGGTTTTTTCCAAGGCAGAAAGCGCCCACACAATTGCGATCTACTTACCTTTTACTCTGCATGTATTTTCCATTGTGACAGAAAACCTTTCCCTGGTTTTTTCTTATGGGCCTCTGTTTGCTGTTACCAGAAGTTCCCAGGCAATATTACAGTGACTGAGGAAATGCAGGAATATGAATATGAATCAGTCTTATGGAATATCAGTAGGGAATGTTGATCCGTATTAGTTTTTGCTTCTTGCATGTTGAAGGCCTCTAATTCCCGGACAGTCTTCGTTTGGCCGTCCAGCGTCCTGCCACTCCTATCTCAAGTGGCTAGAGAGCCACAGCAGTCCTTGTCTCAGTATTGGATCGCACTTATGTCCCTATGTAGGTTGACAGGGAGAGACTGGTGTAGAAATGAGTGGACAGATGCTTTCGCTCTGTTCTTTGGCCCAGAAAACAAAAATAACTTAAAAAAAAAAAGATGCCCACTGGCATTTTTCTCTCTTCTTGGTCTTTGCGTCTCTTTAATCATAGTACAAAATGGAAGGCCGGGCGCGGTGGCTCACGCCTGTAATCCCAGCACTTTGGGAGGCCGAGGCGGGTGGCTCACGAGGTCGGCAGTTCAAGACCAGCCTGACTAACATGGTGAAACCCCGTCTCTACTAAAAATACAAAAAAATTAGCTGGGCGTGGTGGCGGGCGCCTGTAATCCCAGCTACTTGGGAGGCTGAGGCAGGAGAATCTCTTGAAACCGGAAGGCGGAGGTTGCAGTGAGCCGAGGTGGTGCGACTGCACTCTAGCCTGGGCAACGAGAGCAAAACTCCGTCTCAAAAAACAAAACAAACAAACAAAAACAAAACAAAACAAAACAAAATGGGAGCGAACGCAAGCCGCCTGTGAATGTTCATGCTTTTGTTTGGGTCAGGAGACCACTGTTGCGATCCTGTTCTTTCCCCCTCGTTACTTTTTTGTCTTCCTTCTGCTGTCGCAATCGCCTTATGTGATGTTGAGGCTCACAGCATAGAGGTTGGAGATAGTTCAAGGCAATGCATTGGAGTACATTTTTACTTACTATATGTGCAGAAATAGAATAGAAAAATGTGAGGAGGCAGAGGTCTGTCGCTTGAGAACTGCCAGAGGGAAACCATCACTTGGAGGTGTCGGGGATCGAACCGAGGCCTCATACATGCAAAGCATGCGCTCTACCACTGAGCTACACCCCCTTACTATAACACCCATTTGTAATAATTTTCAGGAGGTAACTTTCATTTTCTGAGACTCCGTGAGCATGCTGGTAATAGTGGTCAGTACCATAGAGCGTGGAGAGCTACTCTGAGCAGGAGATACTTGGTACTAATGGGGGATACAGATTCTTTAGAATACTGTGTAGGACTTGAAACGAAAAACGAAAGATTAGAAAAGTGTCAGATAATAACCACAAGAAGTTTCCTTTGTGGCCTGAAGACGTTGAGTTCTTAGGGTCTGCTTCTATTATGCTTGGCAAGAATCAAGTTCTGATTTTCGTTTCTTTTGATTTCTTCCAGATATAACACAAAGCCATTGAAATTCAGCCTTTTCCTGCCTAAAACGCTTCATAATTGTTGTTTGCTCAGTCGGAATATCAAAGGTAAGATTTGATAGAGGAAAGCCATGATCAGAAGAAAACCTGAGAGCGGTGCACTCAACATTTTTTCACAGGGGTCCTTAGCTGGCGTGGTGTCTTACTCCTGTACTCACAACTCCAGAGGCTGAGGCACGAGGATCGCTTGAACTTGGGAGTTAGCGATTGTAGGGAGCTATGATTGCACCACTACCCTCGAGCCCGGACAATGGAGTGAGAAAAGCAAGCAAGCAAGCAAGCAAGAGAAAGTGGGAGTGAGGGACGGAGGGAGGGAAAGAGGGAAGGAAGGGGGGAAGGAAGGGAGAAAGGAAGGAAGGAAGGAGAAAGAGGGAGGAAGGGAAGGAAGGAAAGGAGAGAGAGAGAGAAGAAGACGGGAGGTGAGGGGAGGGAATTCATAAGGCATAAATGAAAACCAGCTTTGGGGGTGGAGATGAGGGTTGAATTATGAGAGTAAGACGAAAGATAAATAGAAACAGGATTGAAGAGTAGTTCAGAAAAACAAACATGCTATTGCCAAAGACAAGCAGGCACAGAAAAGGGGAGGTTTTAACAACTCTTTCAGGAATGGGAGAAAGATTGAAAGATGGAGAAGATGAGTTAGTTTGGCTCATGCTAAATTTAAAATATCTGTGGGGCACGCCTGTGAGGATATTACACAGAGAACTCAGGCAATTAACTCCGTCTCCAGCCTGGGGTTTGTAAGCATTAGTAGTAGTAGACACATTACATGGAGGTGGATAAAGACTAAAAAGTGTACTTTGAGATATGGAAATTACAAACCTATTCGTGATATTTGTAGGCAACAAACAAGTTTTCTTCTAACTAGTTCTCGAATCTTGGGACTTATCACGGTGAGACTGGATTCTTTGAACTATATAAGAAGATGAGAAGAAAACCCATTTCTCGGAACCAAATTTCTGGTGACGATTAACTCTTTCTCATTCTGGTTTGCCCATATATGAGCCTTTGCCAATGTTAATAAAATAACATTGATCCATTTTAAAATTGGCAGATTGCAAGTTGTATGGCAGACTTGGCTTTTCAGTTGGCTGACGGGATTTCTAGAATAAAAATAGGAAACTGAGTAATAGGTTTCACTGAATGAGAGACTAGAGAAGCGTTACACACAAAATTCATATGTATTCATGTGTGTGCGTGTCTGCCTGTCTGTGTCTGTTTGTGTGTGCATGTAAATGCTTGGGAGGATTATCTTGACTCTTTGATGCTGTAAAAGCAATATTAGGACAGTTTGCAGAAACACTCCTTCATCCTTATGTCATGTCACAGCCAGAGAAACCTGGCTGTCTATCAGATTCTTGGGAATTCATAATAAGAAGATATGCTTTTTTGTTTGCCACATGAAAGGGGGGAATTTAAAATAATTAAATATCCATATCTATCTTCAGGCTATCTACCAACAACATGATTGAAACACTTTTTTTTTTGCGTATAATGTGTAGGATGAGCTTATTTATCACAGCATTCTTCTGAGGAATTAAACATTTAATTTTGAAGACAGAACACCCTCACGTCATACATACTCAGTTCTGAAAACCTAAAAATATATAAAGTACCTGTTTAAATCTGCACTTTCCAATATGGTTACCATTAGCCACATTGGCTATTGAATGCTTGAAATTGCCCAGTCCAAGGTAAGATGTGTTGTAAGTATAAAATATATACCAGATTTCAAAGATGCAATATCATTTTTAATATAAAATAACTCACTTATAATTTTAAGATGGATTACTTAAAATAATGTTGTTATACAAGGCCATTTACGTATATTATTAAAACTGGACATAAAAGACGGAAACAGTAAACATCGGGGACTACTAGGGAGTAGCTGGGAAGGGGAAAGGCTTGAAAAGCTAACTATTGGATACTATGCTCACTACCCGGGTGACAGGATTAATCCCACCCCAACCCCAGCATCATGCAATATACCCATGTAAGAATCCTGCACATGTACCCCCTGAATCTAACATAAAAGTTGAAATTATTTTTAAAATAATATAGAGACCGGGCTCGGTGGCTCACGCCTGTAATACCAGCACTTTGGGAGACCGAGGTGGGCGGATCACCTGAGATCGGGAGTTCAAGACCAGCCTGACCAACATGGAGAAACCTCGTATCTACTAAAAGTACAAAATTGGGGCCGGGCGCGGGGTCTCACGCATGTAATCCCAGCACTTTGGGAGGCCGAGGCGGGCGTATCACGGGGTCAGGAGATCGAGACCATCCTGGTTAACACGGTGAAACCCCAATTCTACTAAAAAATACAAAAAATTAGCCAGGCGTGGTGGCAGGCGCCTGTAGTCCCAGCTACTCGGGAGGCTGAGGCAGGAGAATGGCGTGAACCCGGGAGGCGGAGCTTGCAGCGCGCGCCACTGCACTCCAGCCTGGGCGACAGAGCGAGACTCCGTCACACACACAAAAAAAAAATTAGCTGGGGTGGTGGCGCGTGCCTGTAATCCCAGCTACTCGGGAAGCTGAGGCGGCAGGAGAATCGCTTGAACCCTGGAGGCAGAGGTTGCGGTGAGCCGAGATCGCGCCATTGCACTCCAGCCTGGGCAACAAGAGCGAAACTCCATCTACAAAAAAAAAAAAAAAAAAAAAAAAAAAAGATATAGAATAAATATTGCCTGTTTTTTTTAATGTGACTACTAGAAAATTTAGAACTACAAAAGTGACTCGCATTTATGACTTGTGTTTTTTTAATTATTTTTATTCCGGAAGATAAAGTAGAAGACTTGTATTATCTTTTAATTGGACAGCATTGTCTAGAGATGATGTTATCTCTTTAAATGCTGTTCTGGGAGATTCCCAGAGCCAGAGAACATGGAGCATGGTCTCCCAGTAATTAAGTTTCATGCCTTGAGTGTTCTCGACAGAATGCATTTCTATGCATAATCTCCTTAGATCTTTACAACATCCAATTTAACATAATTATTATTAGCTACATTTTTAAGCTATTGAATAGAAGACAAATCATGCTTGGAATTACCCTAGACCTTCCCTTTCAACAGAATGTAAAGGAATCATTACCGTGTTAGGCAAGAAAACATTCAGTGCTACCATTTGACTAATCAAATATTTCTTAATGAAATGAAACACAAGCTTCTGAGTTGAGAAAGCCTCAGTGACCTAAAGGATAAAGTATCTGATTTACAGTTTCTGTAGAGTCAGTGTCCTCACCCTGAGGTTTCTTCTCATTTGGTACTAATTTTCCTTTTTCAACTTGCTGCAGTTCTGATGTTGAAGTACTGTAGATTGTTTAGTCTCCTCACACAGTATGCAGGAGTTAGGGGAAAATAACTCTCAAAATGAAACAGCAATTTGAAAGAAAAAAGGAGGGAAAAAAAAGACCCATTACCCCCAACACAGTATTTCAACAGAGAAGTTGAAGTGGAAAAGGGAAAATGAGGCACATGCACCTGAATCTTGATGACTTTGCTGCCCATTTGCTTTCATTTTCAGTATTCTAAGGCCCCTCATGAATGTCTGACAGAATAATTCATATACAAGTACTTGTTTTTGTTCTTTCCTGGATTCCAACACAGAAATTAGTTAAGATTTGGAAATTCTGGACAAGGGTGCCAGGCTTCCTGTCAGTAAGAAAACTTAGAATATTCCTGTAATTAGGCCTGGTGTGGTGGCTCAAGCCTGTAATCCCAGCATGGTGAGAGGCAGAGGTGAGCCAGGATTTCCAGAAGAGCCAGGGCAACATGGTGAAACCCAGTCTCTACCAAAAAAATTAAAAAAAAAACAAAACCAAAAAACAAACAAACAAACAAAAAGCCAGGCTTGTTGTTGCATTTCTGTAGTCTCAGCTACTCAGGAGGTTGACATAGGAGGATCGCTTGAGTCCAGGGAGGCTGAGGCTGCAGTGAGCTGTGATCATACCACTGCATTCCAGCATGGGTGACAGAGTGAGACCCTGCCTCAGAAAAACAAAACAAAGCAAAAGTTATTTTTCCAGCAGTTTAACTGCGGAGCTATGGAGTTGACTCAAGGTACAAACCCGGTTTTTTCTAATTGCAAAATGTTTCTTGAATATACCACCACCACATATATACACTCATACAGTATAATAGTTCTTCTTCTACAGGTTTCTTCACATTTCTTGTGATTTAAAAACACCCCCGCCCAACACACATAAATAACATCAGATCAGAAATGAATTGTAAGTGCCACAGCATATAGCATATTGGAATTTCTTAGGTTTTAAAAGTAATAACTTGCTAGGTTTAAGACTTTAAATAATTTACGTCCTGTCAGTTAACACTTCATGGAAGTCTTCAGTGGAGAGAGTGTTACAAATATATATATATATATGTGTTTGTGTGTAAATATATATATATAGATGTGTGTGTGTGTGTGTGTGTGTGTGTGTGTGTGTATACATTACCTTTATGGAATTTTCAGAAAACAGCCAAAAAAAAGAAAAAAGAAAAAAGAAACAAAAAAACCACAAACACCTGGAGTTATATATAGACCTCTGGGATTGGTGCGCAAGCGCTGTGTTGAAGGAGTGACAATTATGCTAAAACCAAAATGCAACTGCCGAAACCCGGGATTGAACCAGGGACCTTTAGATCTTCAGTCTAACGCTCTCCCAACTGAGCTATCTCGGCCACCGTGATCCTACTGCTTTTGTCATTTCTTCAAAATACAGAAACTGCCATTTGTAGGGTCAGTGTATCTTCCAACGCCTAATTCTGTTGTCTTCAATATCACCCGTCATTCACTCACCTCCCCTCCACCCAAGAAATATAAGTTCTGCTGCAATTTATGTGTGAAATAGGATCCAATTTTCCCCAGCAAAAGATGGGAAAGAAAAGGCGAGGAATAGGTCAAATGAGGAAGATACTCCCATGCTTGGTCACCGTATAAAACACTGCTCAGAAAACTAAGGAATTCAAAATGAAATTATGTAGGCATTTCCTTTTCTCTTTTTTCGGATTTTCTTTTTCTGGCTTGCTCTTCAATGGCATGTCATAAAGGAACAGAAGATTAGTGGACACTTTAACACGGTAGTGGGCTTATAGCTTCCGAAAAAAGACATCCTGAGCGAGGTAGTTCTTTTTTTCTATTTTCTTCCTTTTACCAGTCTTGTGCTCACACATCCACCTTGGGTGGTACGGAGACCCAGGGAGTGAAAATGGAAAGTATAATATGTTTGTTTGTTTGTTTCTTTGTTTCTTTGTTTTGAGATGGAGTCCCGCTCTGTCTCCCAGGCTGGAGTGCAGTGGCACGATCTGGACTTAGTGCAACCTCCGTCTTTCAGGTTCAAGCGATTCTCCTGACTCAGTCTCTTCCAGTAGGTGGGATTACAGGCGCGCCCCACCACGCCCAGCTAATTTTTTTGTATTATTAGTAGAGACGAAGTTTCACCATGTTGATCAGTCTGGTCTCGCCTCGGCCTCCCAAAGTGCTAGGATTACAGGCTTGAGCCACCGTTCCCGGCCTATTCCTTGGAGTTCAGAGAATTGTGGTCTGCACATTGATGCATAAGAATTGTTTTTTTTTTTCCAGCTGGGTGCAGTGGCTCACGCCTGTAATCCCAGCACTTTGGGAGGCCAAGGCGAGCAGATCGCCTGAGGTCAGGAGTTGGAGACCAGCCTGTCCAACATAGTGAAACCCCATGTTGTCTCTACTGAAAACACAAAAATTAGCCCCGCGTCGAGGCGCGCCCCTGTAGTCCCAGCTACAGAATCTCTTGAACCCAGGAGGCAGAGGTTGCAGTGAGCCGAGATCACACCACTACACTCCAGCCTGGGTGACAGAGCAAGACTCCATCTCAAAAAAAAAAAAAAAAATTGCTTTTTACATACACATCTGTAATCATGAGATTGTATTTATTTATTTTTATTTTGACAGTGTCCCACTCTGCCAGACTGGAGTGCAGTGGCAATCTCCTCTCACTGCAACTTTCACCTCCTGGCTCAATCAGTTCTTCCACCTCAGCCTAGAAGTTTTATATCAATTCAAAAGTGTCAAGACATTGGACTCCTCTTGATAAATAACTTAAGAACAATTTAAGACGTTTACAGAATTTCAGAAACAGTTCTCTCTGGAATGAGGGAATTGCTATGGCCAATAATTACTTGCAAACTGAATTTTAATAAAACCCTCTCTATGTCTGGACAGTTTTCAAACTGAGTCTCCTATTCTGAAAGAGTCAAGGCTTTCAGTTTTAGCCAAAATTTGATGGAAGGGTCGATAAGAAATTGTTCTTGAAGCCAGGAGTGGTGGCTCACGCCTGTAATCCCAGCACTTTGGGAGGCAGAGGCGGGTGGATCACCTGAGGTCAGAAGTTCGAGACCAGCCTAGTCAACATGGTGAAACCCCGTCTCTACTAAATGCACATAAATTAGCCAGGCATGGTGGCGGGCGCCTATAATCCCAGCTACTCAGGAGGCTGAGGCAGGAGAATCGCTTGAACCCGGGAAGCAGAGGTTGCAGTGACCCGAGATCGCACCACTGCGCTCCAGCCTGGGCAACAAGAGCGAAACTTCGTTTCCCCCCCAAAAAATTGTTTCTGGATGATTAGATGATTTCCTAAAAATTAAATAAATAAAATTTATAAAATTATGTTCGCTTTCAGTCTTTGTCTTGTCCTCCCGCTTGTAAGGTCCGAGCCTTCTCAGACAGGAAACAACATTCCTCTGGGTTTATCCCCTCCGCCTCACGTCTCTCCCCAGCTGGGCGCAGCCTCAGCCTATGCTGCAGAAATGTTAAAAGTTGAACATACAGAGAGGAAAAAAATGGAACGTGATGCGGAAATTAAAACAGCAGCTACATATAAATCTCAACACAGTGCTTAAAATGTGTGTAAATGGTTCTAGGACTGCGCTGCACTATTGTGAAAAGTTCATTCAGAAGTAAATGGGAGGGAAGGTGGAGAGGAGCTGAGCGCCAGCTGGCGGAGAGAGGGAAAAGGAGGGGTGCCGTGAAGTGGAGGAAGAAAAACACAAATGGGAGAGAGATAGAGGGCAAGGAAAAGCATCCTTAAGATGATTCGGACTTGGATGGACGGGACCGTAGAGTGAATCTAAGCGCCACATCTCTCCGTCGCTTCCTCTGGCCGTGAGGGAAGAGAGGTGTCCCTAGGGAGGTAGGCTGGACCAGGAAGGAGACCTGGTTCGTTTCGCCCAGGCTGTCACGGCTTCAAGAGCGCCTCTCCGCTATTTCCGTCGCTCGACAGACGGGCTGAGCTCTTTGGAGTGATGTTGGGTTTTGGTTTGCGCCTCAGGAACCGCTGATACCGTAGCTTCTGAGGGAGCTTCAGGGATTGCCTGGCTTCCTAAGTGCCCGTGTTGAGAGTTAGAAGCGGGATCTGCCGGCAGCTAAGAGACTGAGCATGACGGCGGAAACATCTAATTTTATTAGTTTTTGCTTAAAATGCAAAAGATGAGAAAAAGTTACCGTTTCTTTGCTCCATATATATCTCCTAGAATAAAGCCAATCGAAAGCCAACTTCACCCTAAAGAAACTCTTCCTGGCGTTTGCAACGAGCTCCTTTACTCCTAACGTCCAGCTCTTGGCTCAGGACCTGCAGAGCGTCACAGCTGTTGCAGAAAGGCGAAGTCGAGGTACAATCGGTGTTAACTACGTGTGCAGCCACCGTCTTCTTAGTCCTGTTACAGGTGCAGAGGCAATATAAGTGAACCACTCACAAGTCGTGTGGGCTGACCTCAGATTGAGTTTAGCGATGACTTGTGACCACCTGGTAGATGGTGGACCGTTACAGCATTTAGAAAGTGAGTAAAAGAAAGGATGCATACGGAAGCCCACACGCTTGCTTGGCTCCTGCAGATGGATAGAGGTCACTTTTCTGCCTTCTGGGTGTTTAGTAACTTATTTTTTTTTTTGCTTTGTTGGCATGAAATAAAGATGAAAATAAAAGCAGATTTTCTTTTAACAAGTTAGTATTAACATGCTTGCAGAGTATTTCCCTGTGGATTTCTGCTTAGTACTGTAATACCAGAATCAGAAACTCTACAAAGAGCTCTCTAATCTGGAGGTATGGGTTGTTCCCTAGCTTAGAAGGAGGTTATTTCTGGAGAGTAAGTACAATCAGGTAGAAAAGGATCCGTTGGGCTTGGGAGAATAAACGTTCATTACTTTTATTTATGAAAAACAACAAAATGAGCTTTCTCCTATACTGATCTTGTTTCCTGGAGTTCAGAGTATTTGCATCTCAGACCAGAAACTTCCTTGAGGACCCAGAGAAGTACTTTTTACTTCCACCAAATTTCAGCTGAGGTGACTGCTATCTTTTCATCATTTGCCTTGTGTTTGTAGTTAAATAGTTTAAGTTTCAAACTATGTGGGTCTCTAATGGAAAAAGTGACCACCAGCACATCAAATCATCAACCACCGGCAGTGTAATCTTTTAGTGAAAGCTTGTAGGGCTTCTCAACCTGGTTAGAGGGAGTTAGAAGAAGAAACAGAAAAGGACGTGAGCCTTTTTAGCTTCTGATCTGAAATCAGACTTGGGCCACACAGTTCTATGGTTTCTGATGATTTCATTTACAACTAGAAATTGGTTGCATGGCCAGGAATACTGCTTGCTTCCCTCGTGCGTGGTTCATGTTAGTGATTGGTGGACTGCTTAGAAAATATAAGTGGATAATCCTAAGCAGCAAATAGATTCAAAGGAATAAACACGAGTCACCTCTGTGTATGAGAGAGAAATGCAGAGGCCAACACAATTCACCTTGACAGACAGAAAAATTTAAAGTTGGGGAATATCATGGACCGCTTCTCACTAGTGCCCGGGGAAGAAAACAAAACCTGGAGGTATTGGGGATTGAACCCAGGACCTCGTGCATGCTAAGCACGCGCTCTACCGCTGAGCTATACCCCCTCTGGAAGACTTGCCTTTTAGAGAATATTTTGATGACTATTATTGTCTGAGTCTGGGCTCTGTGTCATGATAATCTTTATGTTTTCAATTCCACTCTCAATTTCCTACAGGAAGTGTTTCCTCTCTTAGGCCCTGCTACACCAAAAGAAAGGTAGCTTAATAGTACAAATAAAGGCACTGTTCCTGATTTGTGGTCAGTCCAAGATCAACTCACCCCACGGTGGGCTCCCCATCGCGTTAGATTTCCTGGAGCATACTTGCATTCAATCATTTGAGTGTGTCCTGGCATACAACATTCTCTTGCAAATTTTCTGATTATAATGTTCTGTATTCTTTTGACTCTTGGAAGCGTGTTAGTCTCACATGGTCAAAAAATAAAACTGACTCAAGTGTGTGTGAAAATACCCTAAAATTCAACACAAATAGAGGCAAATTAAAACTGCATTGTGAAAGAATAACATAACCCCATTGAAATAACTGATTTAAGAAAATGCTTGACAAAGTTCGTTGTTCTAATTGTAAGTACAAAAAGAAGAGGAAACAAATCTTAAACTCTATGTATGAGGGTTTTTTTTTTAGAGCTAAGGCTGCAGGAATTCTGAGATTTTGTGTGAATTTTAGGATTGGGAAAATGAGTGTGTGTGAGCGCGTGTGTTGTTGGAAACAGGCTGTCACTGTAAGAGAAAGCAGGTAAAGAATAGTCCTGTTGGTGTTGATGGGAATTGGAGGCATCAGTATGAAATTATACATATGTAATTGTATAGGCCGGGCGCGGTGGCTCACGCTTGTAGTCTCAGCACTTTGGGAGGTTGAGACGTGTGGATCGCTTCAGGTCAGAAATCGAGAACAGCCTGGCCAACATGGCAAAACGCCGTTTCTCCTAAAAATACAAAAATTTGACGGGTGTGGTGGCCGCCCCTGTAGTCCCAGCTATTCGGGAGGCTGAGGCAGGATAATCGCTTGAATTCGGGAGGCGGACGTTGCAGCGAGCCAAGATCGCACCACCGCACTCCAGCCTGGGCGACTAAGACTCTGTCTCAAAAAATAAAAATAGTACATTTTCCCTACAGATCTGTCTGCTAACTGAGCCTGGAAGAAATACCTTAGAAACAATGAGCAAGATGACTCTATATTTTGATTTTCAAATACCATTCTCTACTAAAAGGAACCAGAGATACTAATAGAAAGTAGCTACTAGTGTCAACTACACTGACTCCAGGACTGTGCCAGGGAAACTACAAGATGAACCTAAAATATCTTGCTGTGCCAGAATGATGGGGATGATTTAAAAGAACACAGAAGCTCCGGGGTGGCTCACGCCTGTAAACCCAGCACTTTGGGAGACCGAGGCGGGCGGATCACCAGAGGTTAGGAGTTCCAGACCCGCCTGGCCAACATGGTGAAGTCCCGTCTCTACTAAAAATACAAAAAATGGCCTGGCATGGTGGCTCATGCCTCTAATCCCAACTACTTGGGAAGCAGAGGTAGGAGAATCGCATGAACCCGGGAGGCGGAGGTTGCAGTGAGCCGAGATCGCACCACTGCACTCCAGCCTGGACGACAGGGCAAGACCTGTCTCAATAAATAAATAAATAATAAAGTACATGAGAAAAATAATAGTGTGTGTGTGTGTTTAGCCGTAAAGAGAGAGGAGAATCATTGTGGCAAAATATCGGGAATTGGTAAATATGAGTAACTTGTGTGTGGCAGTTCTTTGTATCATTTTTGCAACTTTTCTGTAGGTTTGAAATAATTTCAAACTAAAAAGGTTTTTCTAAATTCTCCCTTCTCAAATTTCTTTTCCCTCTTCCTTCAAGGGCTGTACTCTTCTATCAAGAGTAACGTAGATGGATACTAAAACAGAAGGGTCAGTACCGTCTCGGGGGATTTAGGTGCAGGTGAGGAGGTGAGAAAGTGGAATTCCCAGCTCTTAGAAACGAAGACCCAGGAGCGTGGGTCGCTGCCCGTCCTTACCCTGCCAGCGCCTGGGCCAGCACCATGGTCGCGAAACCCAGCATGGATTTCGTCTTGGGGACGCTATGGCTCCAGTTCTGACACTCAAGAAACGATGGATGGAGAGGAGAACGAGGACCACCTTCGAAAAGAGTTCGAGAGGGAAGCAGGGACGCGGTGGGGTGCGCACCTGCGGCGGCGGCGGCAAAGGCGGAGGAGAAGCGAAGTGGGCGAGCGCCCGAGGCTGCCAGAGGATCTGGGTGGGCCGGAAGGCGGAGTGCAGCCCGGAAGCCCATCTCCGCTGCTTTTCCTCGCTGTCCGCGATAAGCGAGAGGGCTCATTCCCTGTTGGAGAAGTGAGCTGAAAACACTTTCCTCGCAAGATCTCCCTCGTTTTGCTCAAGGCAGTCGCGGCGTTGAGAACGCCTCGCAGCTCCTTTACTGGCTGGGGCACTGGGGAGAACGGGTACCCTTGAGTTTTGGTACAGGCGGGTGGTATTAGTGGCTTCCAAGGAAACGACAGAGAAGCCGCCTATTTCCAATCCCTACTGTTAGCGAGGGGGAGAGTGTTTAACCGGGAAGAGAGACCCTCCCGCTGAAGCATAGGGTCCTTTGTTATAGATAGGAAGAGTGTTCTTTGCTTTTGTTTTTGTTATAGCTTGTCAAGCTTGGAATACAAGGCATGAAAAACAAGAAAGGTAAGGCAGTCCCAGTATATTTTAAACTTACGAGGGTTTTCAGAAGGAGTACTACCTTGTTTTTATGGAATTCAGGGTGTCCAGATTTCAACCTACCTAGCAGAGTGAAGCTCTATGAGTCTAATATCTTGGCTTTCTTCCACATCAGCAAGCCTCTGAAATTCGGGTTTCTTTCTGGACAATATCACCTACATTTTGCAGTCGGCTCCTATATTGCCTGCATCCAACTCGTGGAAGCAAGAACAGTGGGAAAAGCCAAGGTTACCACATAAAAGAAGATCCTTACATGAGACAAGTGTAAATAAAGCAGCAGCTGAGGTGTGTGTAGAGGAAGAGACAAACGTGAAAATGTAGAAAGTGGATACAGAATTTTTTCCAAGGAGGAAGAGGAATGGTCTGCTCACAACGAGGAACTCTCTACTTACTGCTGCAAAGATACTTTTATTACATTTCATGCATATGCTGGATTTTAACAACCAGAACATTGGTAGACTTGGTGGGGGCTGGAGAGACAGCAGTCACTCCCAACCCTGAGGATGAGTCCTCACCCTGAGGGTGGAGAGAAAATGATTACTCTCTGCCACAGGGCTTAGAATCGTCCAAGCCTGGGTTTCAAATTGCAAGGCCCAAATAGCTTGAGAGAGCTCCAGGTATTTCAGCTCAAAAGAGTCTCCTGGTTCAAGAGAATTCCTGTGAGTTCCTCCACAGGAAAATCAGTCTGTTGTGTGTGACCTGAAAAGTTGCATAAATATTCAAAGGGTCAAAGAAATGGTAAATTCAACCCCATCCCTGACATAAGACGAATACAAACCTCACTGGCTTTCCTAGGTTTGTGTTTTTGATTGAGAATAGGCAGGGAACCCCAGGACCAACTCTTCCTCCTCAGCAGGTGCCTGACCCTGGGACTTCCTGAAACTTCTAGAGCAGTGCTTCACAAACTTTAGCATCAGAGTCACTTGAAGGCTTATTCAAACACAGGAGGCTGAGCCCCATCCATACTCAGCAGTTCTGATTCAATAGACCTAAGGTTGGGCCTGAAATTTATTATTCTGATTGCAGCACCCTAATCCTCCACCCCTTGCTCTCCTATGCAGTGTCCACTGTGGCTAACATGCCACTGTTTGCCTGGAGAGAACCAATGGATACCAGGAAATTAAAGAAGAAAAAGTATGAAACAAAAAGAAAATACATGGCATGTGTGTATTACCTTCCTCCAAAAAATGTGTCTCAAAACAAACATATGATTGGTCTGGAGGCACACACACAGCCAGTCCTCAGCTAAGCAGGTTTCATCAGACAGTATCCCTCCTGGATGCTGGTTATAGATATTCTCACTGGACAAAAGAATCAAGTAAGGTCATGTTAGCCTCATAGAGTGTATCTATCATGCCAGCCTGATAGGCTGGTGGACTAGGAACAAACATCATACTCTCTTGCCTCTCAAAGACACTTTAATTCAATAGGAAATATGTACAGAGAGAACAGCAGTTTTGAAACCATACACCGTTGGAAACCATAAAAGGTTTCATGAGTGCATAGGATTTCTTGGGAGTTCCCTCTCCAAAAAAAGCGATGTAATCAGGTGGATCGAGAAAGAACATGAAATGTTTGTTTGTTTTTTCCCAAGGCAGGAAGTGCCCAACACACCTGCGATCTACTTATCTTTTAGTCTGCATGTATTTTGCATTGTGACAGAAAACCTTTTCCTAGTTTTTCATATGGGGCCTCCGTTTGCTCTTACCAGAAGTTCCCAGGCAATATTTTATTGTAAAGAGGAAAATGGAGTGACTGAGGAAATACAGGAATACAAATCAGTCTTATGGAACATCAGTAGGGAATGTTGATCCGTATTGGTTTCTGCTTCTCGCACGTTGAAGGCCTCTAATTCCCCGACAGTCTTCGTGTGGTTATCCAGCGCCCTGCCACTCCCATCTCAAGCGACTGGAGAGCCACAGCCCTTGTCTCAGTACTGGATCACACTGGTAGCTGTGTTCTCCGCGCAGGTAGACAGGGAGAGACTGGTGGAGAAATCAGTGAACAGAGGCTTTCGCTCTGTTCTTTGGCCCAGAAAACAAAAATAACTTAAAAAAAAATAGATGCCTTCAGGGCGCTTTTCTCCCTTCTCCTTTGTCTTTGCGTCTCATTAATCATAGTACAAAATGGGAGTGAAAGCGAGCCGCCTGTGAATGTGCACGCTTTTGTTTGGGTTCAAGAGACCGTGTTGCGATCCCGTTCTTCTTTCCCCCTCATTTCTTGTTTGTCTCCCTTCTGCTGTGGCAATCGCCTTTGGTGATGTCGAGGTTCACAGCATAACCAGTGGAGATAGTTCAAGGCTGAACATTGGGCTACACTTTTACTGTCTATATGTGCAGAAATAGGATAGAAAAACGTGAGGAGGCAGAAGTCTGTCGCTTGAAAACTACCAGAGCAAAACCATCGCTTGGAGGTGTCGGGGATCGAACCCGAGGCCTCATACATGCAAAGCATGCGCTCTACCACTGAGCTACACCCCCTCACTATAAGGTCTCTTTGTAATAATTTTCAGGAGGTAACTTTCATTTCCTGAGACTCCGTGAGCATGCTGGTAGTAGTGGTCAGTATTATGGAGTGCGGAGAGCTGTTCTGAGCAGGAGATACTTGGTACTAATGGGGGATACAGATTCTTTAGAATACTGTGTAGGACTTGAAACGAAAAACGAAAGATTAGAAAAGTGTCAGATAATAACCACAAGAAGTTTCCATTGTGGCCTCAAGACGTTGAGTTCTTAGGGTCTCCTTCTATTATGCTTGGCAAGAATCAAGTTCAGGTTTTCGTTTCTTTTAATTTCTCCCAGATACGACACAAAGCCATTGAAATTCAGCCTTTTCCTGCCTAAAACGCTTCATAATTGTTGTTTGCTCAATCGGAATATTAAAGATAAGATTTGATGGAGGAAAGCCACAATCAGAAGAAAACCTGACAGCGATGCACTTAGCATTTTTTCATAAGGGTCCTTAGCTGGCGTGGTGTCTTACGCCTGTACTCCCAGCTACTCTAGAGGCTGAGGCACGAGGATCGCTTGAGCTCGGGAGTTAGTTGTTGTAGGGAGCTATGACTGTGCCACTGTCCTCCAGCCTGGGCAACAGAGAGAGAAGGGAAGGGGAGGGGAGGGAAAGGGGGAGAAGAGGGGAGACGAGGGGAGAAGAGGGGAGGGGAGGGGAAGGGATTCATAAGGCGTGAATGAAAAACAGCTATGGGGATGGAGAGAAGGGTTGAATTATGAGAATAAGACCGAAGATAAATACAAACAGGGTTGAAGAATGCTTTAGAAAAACAAACACAGCAGGTGCAGAAAAGGGGAGAGGTTTTAACAGCTCTTTTAGGAATGAGAGATAGACTGGAAGATGGAGAAGATGAGTTAGTTTGGCTCATACTCAATTTAAAGTATCTGTGGGGCACACTTGTGAGGATGTTTCTCAGAGAATTCAGGCAATTAACTCTGTCTCTAGCCTGGGATTTGTAAGCATTAATAGTAGTAGACACATTACATGGAGGATGGATAAAGACTAAAAAAGTGTACTTTGAGATATGGAAATTACAAACCTATTCGTGATATTTGTAGTGAACAAACAAGTTTGTTTGTTCTTGAATTCAAAAGTTCTTGAATCTTGGGACTTATCGTGTGTCCTTTGAATTACATAAGAAGATGAGAAGAAAACCTATTTCTCAGCACCAAATTTCTAGTGACTATTAACTCTTTCTCATTCTGGTTTGCCTATATAAGAGCCTTTGCCAATGTTAATAAAGTAACATTGATGGCTTTCAAAATTGCCAAATTGCAAGTTGTATGTCAGACTTGGCTTTTCAGTTGGCTGATGGGATTTCTAGAATAAAAATAGGAAACACTGAGTGATAGACTTCACTGAAGGAGAAACTAGAGAATTGTTATAGACAAAATTGATGTGTATTCATGTGTGTTTGCCTGCCTGACTGTGTCTGTGTGTGTGCATGTAAATGATGGGAAGGATTATCTTGGCTCTTTGATGCTGTAAAAGCAATATTAGGACAGTTTGCAGAAACTCTCCTTCATCTTTATGTTGTGTTACACCCAGAGAAACTTGGCTGTCTATTGGATTCTTGGGAATTCATAATAAGAAGGTTGCCTCATAAAAATGGGAGAATTTTAAATAATTAAATATCTGTAGCTATCTTCAGACTATCTACCAGCAACACGATTGAAACATGTTTTTTGTGTGAAATCTGTAGGATGAGCTCATTTAACATAGCATTCTTCTGAGAAATTAAACATTTAATTTTGAAGACAGAACACCCTGTCATACACACTCAATTTCGAAAACCTAAAAATATATAAAGTATATGTTTAAATCTGCACTGTCCAATATGGTTACCATTAGCCACATTGGGTATTGAGTACTGAAAATTGCCTAGTCTAAGTTAAGATGTGTTGAAAGTGAGAAATATATACCAGATTTCAAAGATGTAATTTTTTTTTCATGGAGTCTCGCTCTGCCACCTAACCTGGAGTGCAGTGGTGCAATCTTGGCTCACAGCAACCTCCACCTGTTGGGTTCAATCCATTCTCCTGCCTCAGCCTCCTGAGTAACTGGGACTACAGGCGCGCACCACCATGCCTGGCAATTTTTCTTTTTCTTTTTTTTTTTTTTTAGTAGAGACAGGGTTTCACCATGCTGGCCAGGCTGGTCCCAAACTCCTGACCTTGTCATCTGCCCTCCTCGGCCTCCCAAAGTGCTGGGATTACAGGCATGGGCCGCCGCACCTGGCCAGATGTAATATCATTTTTTAAACATAAAATGTCTCACTGATAATTTTAAGATTGATTACTTGTTAAAATAATATTTTGGACATGCAAGGTGATTTACATATATTAGTAAAACTGGACATAAAAGATGGAAACAATAGACACTGGGGACTACTAGAGGGGGAGGCGAGAAGGGGAAAGGCTTGAAAAGCTAACTATTGGATACTATGTTCACCACCCAGGTGATGGGATTAATCTCACCCCAACCCCAGCATCATGCACTATACCCATGTAACAAACCTGGACATGTACCCCCTGAATCTAAAATAAAAGTTGAAATTATTATTATTAGTATTATTATTTTGAGACAGAGTCTTGCTCTGTCTCTCAGGCTAGAGTACAGTGGCGCTATCTGGGCTCACTGCAAACTCCTCCTCCAGGTTTCAAGTGATTCTCCTATCTCAGACTCCCAAGTAGCTGAAATTACAGGCATGCACCACCACACCCAGCTAATTTTTGTATTTTTATTAGAGACAGGGTTTCACCATATTGGTCAGGTTGGTCTTGAACCCCTGACCTCAGGTGTTCCGCGCACCTCGGCCTCCCAAAGGGCTGGGATTACAGGTATGACCCACCTTGCCTATCTAAAAGTTGAAATTGTTAAAAAATTATATAAAATAAGTATTGCCTGTTTATTTTTTAAATGTGACTACTAGAAAATTTAAAACTACAGAAGTGGCTCTCATTTAAGATTTGTATTAACTTTTTTAAAAATTCTTTTTATCCCAGAAGCTAAAGCAGAAGACTTGTAGTATCTTTTGATTGGACAGCATTGTCTAGAGACGATGTTATCTATTTAGGTGCTGTTCTGGGAGAATCCCAGAGCCAAAGGACATGGAGCATGGTCTGCCAGTAATTAGGTTTCATGCCGCGAGTGGACTTGACTAAATGCATTTCCATGCATGATCTCCTTAGACCTTTGCAACATCCCATTTTACATAATCATTATTAGCCTCATTTTTAAGGTATTGAATGAGAGACGAATCATGCTTAGAATTACCCTAGGCGTTTCATTTCAACAAAATGTAAAGGAATCACTACTGTGCTAGGCAAGAAAACATTCAATCCTGCCATTTGTCTAATCAAATGTTTCCTTTTTTTTTTCTTTTTTTAAGACAGAGTCTTGCTCTTGTTGCCTAGGGTGGAGTGCAATGTTGCGATCTTGGCTCACTGCAACCTCCGCTTCCCGGGTTCAAGGGATTCTCCTGCCTCAGCCTCTCGAGTAGCTGGGATTACAGGCATCCACCACCACACCCAGCTAATTTATTATTATTATTATTATTATTGTTATTATTATTATTTTGTATTTTTAGTAGTGACAGGGTATCACCATGTTGGCCAGGCAGGTCTTAAACTTCTGATCTCAGGTGATCTACCCGCCTCAGCCTCCCAAAGTGCTGAGATTACAGGCGTGAGCCACCACGCCCAGCCTATCAAATATTTCTTAATGAAATAAAACACAGGCTTCTGAGTTGAGAAAGCCTCAGTGACTTAAAGGGTAAAGTATCTGATTCCTAGTTCCTGTACAGTCAATGTCCCCACCCTGAGGTTGGTCTCTCATTTGGTACCAATTTTCCTTTCACAATTTGATGCAGTTCTGATGTTGGAGTACTGTAGTTTATTGTCTCCTCACACAGTATGCAGGTGTTAGGGGAAAATAACACTGAAAATGAAACACCAATTTGAAAGAAGAAAAGATATTAAAAATGACCAAAAAAAATCAGACAAAAAAAAAAAAAAAAAAAAACAGGACAAAAAAGGCCCATTATCCCAACACAAAATTTCAAGAGAGGAGTTGAAGTAAAAAAAAGGAAAATGGGGCACATCCACCTGAGTCTTGACAGAATAATTAATTTAGAAATACTTATTTTTGACTGGACGCAGTGGCTCACATCTATAATCCCAGCACTTTGGGAGGCCGAGGCAGGTAGATCACGAGGTCAGGAGTTGGAGACCAGGCTGGCCAACATGGTGAAATCCCGTCTTTACTAAAAATACAAAAATTAGTCAGGCATGGTGGTGGACGCCTGTAATCCCAGCTGCTTGGGAGGCTGCAGCAGGAGAATTGCTTGTGCCGGGGAGGCGGAGGTTGCAGTGAGCTGAGATCGTTCCACTGCACTCTAGCATGGGTAACATAGCAAGATTCTGTCTCAAAAAAAAAAAAAAAAAGAAAAAAGAAAGAAAGACTTATTTTTGTTCTTTCCTGGATACCAATGAGGAAATAACTTAAGATTTGGAAATTCTAGGCAAGGTTTCCAGGCTAAAGAAATGTCCTGTCAGTAAGAAACTTAAAAATATTCCTGTAATTAGGACTGGTGCGGTGGTTCCCACCTGTAATCCCAGCACGTAGGGAGGCAGAAGCGGGCAGGTTGCTTGAGCCCAGGATTTCAAGAACAGCTGGGGGAACATGGTGAAACCCAGTTTCTACAAAAAAAAAGTACAAAAGAGAGAGAGAGAAAGCCAGGCTTGTTGTTGCATTTCTGTAGTCTCAGCTACCCAGGAGGCTGACATGGGAGGATCGCTTGAGTCCAGGGAGGCTGAGGCTGCAGTGAGCTGTGATCATACCACTGCACTCCAGCATGGGTGACAGAGTGAGACCCTGCCTCAAAAAAACAAAACAGGGCCGGGCGCGGTGGTTCACACTGTAATCCCAGCACTTTGGGAGGCCGAGGTGGGTGGATCACGAGGTCAGTAGATCGAGACCATCCCAGCTAACATGGTGAAACCCCGTCTCTACTAAAAATACAAAAAATTAGCTGGGCGTGGTGGTGGGCGCCTGTAGTCCCAGCTACTCGGGAGCCTGAGGCAGGAGAATGGCGTGGACCCGGGAGGCGGCGCTTGCAGTAAGCCGAGATCGTGCCACTGCACTACAGCCTGGGCGACAGAGCGAGACTCCGTCTCAAAAAAAAGAAAGTTATTTTCCCAGCAGTTTAACTGCAGAGCTATGGAGTTGACTCAAGATACAAACCGAGGTGTTTCTTTCTTTTTTTTTTTTTGAGACGGAGTGTCGCTCTGTCACCCAGGCTGGATTGCAGTGGTGCGATCTCAGCTCACTGCAAGCTCCGCCTCCCGGGTTCACGCCATTCTCCTGCCTCAGCCTCCTGAGTAGCTGAGACTACAGGCGCCCGCCACCGCGCCCCACT
Organism: Homo sapiens; assembly: GCF_000001405.40. NCBI lineage: Eukaryota > Metazoa > Chordata > Mammalia > Primates > Hominidae > Homo > Homo sapiens. The sequence goes on from NC_000006.12 coordinate 28,822,757, forward strand.
AATTTTTTTGTACTTTTAGTAGAGACGGGGGTTTCACCGTGGTCTCGATCTCCTGACCTCGTGATCCACCCGCTTCGGCCTCCCAAAGTGCTGGGATTACAGGCCTGAGCCACTGCGCCCGGCCAAACCGAGGTTTTTGGAATTGCAAAATGTTTCTTGAATATACCACTACCACATATATACACTCATACAGCATAATAGTTCTTCTACAGGTTTCTTCATAGTTCTTGTGATTTAAAACACCCCTGCCCAACACACATAAATAACATCAAATCAGAAATGAATTGTAATTGCCACAGTCTATAGCATATTGGAATTTCTTAGGTTTTAAAATTAGTAACTTTCTAGATTTAAGATTTTAAATAATTTACATACCATCAGTTAACACTTCATGGAAGACTTCAGTGGAGAGAGTGATACAAATATACATACATATATATATACATTACCTTTATGGAATTTTCAAAAAGCAAAAAATGGGAGTTATATATAGACCTCTGGGATTGGTGTGCAAGTGTTGTATAAAGGAAAGACAATTATGCAACAACCAAAAGGTATCTGCCGAAACCCGGGATTGAACCAGGGACCTTTAAGATCTTCGGTCTAACGCTCTCCCAACTGAGCTATTTCGGCTACTCTGGAGCTGTCCCGTTGGTCATTTCTTCAAAATATAAAAACTGCAATTTGTAAGGTCAGTGTATCTTCCAACGCCTAATTCGGTTGTCTTCAATATCACCCGTCATTCACTCACCTCCTCCCAATCCAAAAATATAAATTCTGCTGTAATTTATGTATGAAAATAGGATCCAATTTTCCCCGGCAAAAGACGGGAAAGAAAAGACGAGACGGCCGGGCACGGTGGCTCACGCCTGTAATCTCAGCATTTTGCGAAGCCGTGGAGGGTGGATCACTTGAGGTCAGGAGTTCAAGACCAGCCTGGCCAACATGGTGAAATCCCTTCTTTACAAGAAATATAAAAATTAGCCAGGAGAGGTGGCGCACGCCTGTAGTTTCAGCTACTTCGGAGGCTGAGGCAGGAGAATCGCTTGAACCAGGGAGTTCGAGGCTGCAGTGAGCCGAGATCGCGCCACTGCACTCCAGCCTGGGCGACAGCGAGACTCTGTCTCTAAAAAAAAAAAAAAAAAAAAAAAGGCGAGGAATAGGTCAAATCAGCAAGATAGATGCTCCCATGCTTGGTCACCTTGGAAACACCGCTCAGAAAACTAAAGGAAACTATCTAAAACTAAAATGAAATTATCTAGACTTTTCCTTTTCTCTCCTTTTGGCTCTTTTTTGTTTTGTTTTCTGTCTTGCTCTTCAATGACATGGCAAAAAGGAACAGAAGATTATTGAACACGTTAACCTGGTAGTAGGTTTATAGCTTCCGACTGAAGAAATCCTGAGCGAGCCAATTCTTTTTCTCTGTTTCCTTCCTTTTACTGATCTAGTGCTAACACATCCACCTTAGGTGGTACAGAGAGCCAGGGGTGGAAAAGGCAAGCATATGTTTATTTTAGTGTGACCACGCTATATATATATATATATATATATATATATATATATATATATATATACACACACATATAAATATGAAATATATATAAATTAAAAATGTAAATATATTGTTGATATAGATATTATATATAATATAAAATATACATGTATCTCTCTCTCTATATATATATATAGAGAGAGAGAGAGAGAGAAGATTCCAGCGAGTGAGAGAGAGAGAGAGAGAGACAGGGTCCCACTCTGCCAGCCTGGAGTGCAGTGGCAATCTCCTCTCATTGCAACTTTCGCCTCCAGGCTCAATCCGTTCTCCCACCTCAGCCTAGAAATTCTTATATCACTTCAAAAGTGTGAAAACATTGGACTCCTCTTGTTAAATAACTTAGAAACAATTTCAGAGTTTACCGAATTTCAGAAACAATCCTCTCTGGAATGAGGAAATAGCTACAGCCAACAACGACTTGCAAATTGAATTTTAATAAAACCGTCCCTATGTCTGGACAGTTTTCAAACTCAGTCTCCTATTCCGAGAGAGTCCAGGCTTTCTGTTTTTAGCCAAAATTTGTTGGGAGGGTCAATTAAAATATTTTTTGAATAATTTCCTCAAAAATTTTAGATTCTCTTACAGGCTTTTTTCTTTTTTTCTCTCCCTCTTGTAAGGCCCGAACCTCCCCAGACAGGAAACAACATTCCTCCAGGTTTATCCCCGCCGCCTGACGTCTCTCCCCATCTGGACGCAGCCTCAGCCTATGCTGCAGAAAACGTTTGAAGTTGAGCATATAGAGAAGGAAAAAAAAAAAAAGGAAAGTGATGTGGAAATTAAAACAGTGGCTACATATAAATCTCAGCACAGTGCTTAGAATGTGTGTAAATGGTTCTAGGAGTGCACTGCACTATTGTGAAAAGTTCATTCAGAAGTAAACGGGAGGGAAGGTGGAGAGGAGCCGAGGGCCAGCTGGCGGAGAGAGGGAAGAGGCGGGGTGCGGTGAAGTGGAGAAAGAAACATAAAAAGGGAGAGGGGTAGAGGACAAGGAAAAGCATCCTCAAGATTATTAGGATTTGGATGGACGGGATGTTAGAGTGAGTCTAAGCACTCACCTCTCCGTCGCTTCTTCTGGATATGAGGGAAGAGAGGTAGGGAGGTAGGCTAGACCAGGAAAGGGACCTGGTTCTTTTCGTCCAGACTGCCACGGCTGCGAGAGCGCCTCGCCGCTCTTTCCATCGCTCGATAGACAGGCTAGGCTCTTTGGAGGAGCACGTGATGTTGCGTTTTTTGTTTGCGGGTTCGGGAACCGCTGATACTGATAGCTTCTGAGGGAGCTGCAGGGATTTCCCGATTTCCTGAGTGTCTGTGTTGAGAGTTAAAAGCGGAATCTGCCGACAGCTTCGAGACTGAGCAGGACAGTGGAAACGTCTAATTTTATTAGGCTTGAAATGCAGAAGATGAGAAAGAAAGTTCCCGTTTGTTTGCTCCACATGTTTCCTTTAGAATGAAGCCGATTGGAAGTCAACTTCACCCTGAAGAAATTCCTCCTGGCGTTTACAATGAGCTTCTTTACTCCCCAAGTCCAGCTCTTGGCTCAAAAGGGCTCTGCAGGTTGGTACAAAGGCTGCGGAAAGGCGAAGTCGCGGTACAATCGGTGTTAACTACATGTGCAGCCACCGTCTTCTTAGTCTTATTACAGGTGCAGAGGTAATATAGGTGAATCCCTCACAAGTTGAGTGGGTTGACCTCAAAATTGACTTTAGCGATGGCTTGTGACCACCTGGTAGGTGGTGGACCATTACAGCGTTTGGAAAATGAGTAAAACAAAGGATGCATACGGAAGCCCCACTAGCTTGCTTGGCTTCTGCAGATGCAGAGAGAGGTCGTTTTTCTGCCTTCTGGGTGTTGAGTAACTTAATTTTTTATCTTTTGTTTAAATGAAATAGAGCTGAAAATAGAAGGCGATTTCCTTTTAACGAGATAGTATTGAGATGCTTGCAGAGTATCCCCGCGTGGATTCTGCTTAGCTCTGTGATACCAGCATCAGAAACTGTGCAAAGAGCTCTAATCTGGAGGTGTGGGTTGTTCAGTAGCTTAGAAAGAGGTTATTCCTGGAGAATAAGTGCAGCAGGTAGAAAAGGATCCATTGGGATTGGGAGAATAAAAGTTCATTCATTATTTTTATTGATGGAAAACAAAGAAATGAGCTTTACCCTATACTGATCTTGGTTCCTGGAGTTCCGAGTGCTTGCATCTCAGGGCAGAAACTTCCTTAGAGGACCCAGAGAAATATGTTCCCCCTACCAAATGTCAGCTGAAGTGACTGTGATCTTTTTCTCATTTGTCATTATATTTGCCATTTATTGTATTCTTGTAGTTAAATAGTTTACATTAAGTTTTAGAGTTTGTGGGTTTCTAATGGAAAAAGTGACCACCAGCACATCAGGTCCTCAGCCACTGGCAGTGAAATCTTTTAGTGAAAGCTTGTAGGGCTTCTGCAACCTGGGTTAGAAGAAGAAATACAAGGCCAAGCATGGTAGCACACGCCTGTAATCCCAGCACTTTGGAAGTCTGAGGTGGGCAGATCACCTGAGGTCGGGAGTTCTAGACTAGCCTGACCAACAGGGAGAAACCCCCATCTCTACTAAAAATACAAAATTAGCCAGGCATGGTGGTGCATGGTTGTAATCCCAGCTACTCAGGAGGCTGAGGCAGGAGAATCACTTGAATCCGGGAGGCAGAGGTTGTGGTGAGCCAAGATTGTGCTATTGCACTCCAGCCTGGGCAACAAGAGTGAAACTCTGTCTCAAACAAACAAACAAACAAACAAACAAACACCACACGCAGGAAAGGACTTGCGCCACGTGGTTCTATGGTTTCTGATTATTTCATTTACAACTAGAAATAGGCTGGAGGGCCAGGAGTAGTACTTGCTTCCATAGTGCGTGGTTCACCTTAGTGACTGCTGGGACTGCTTAGAAAGAATAGGTGGATAATCGTAAGCAGCAAATAACCTTAAGTGAATGAACACGAATTACCTCTCTGTATGAGAGAGAGATGTAGAGGTCAACCCAAATATCTTGACAAGGCAGGACATTCTGGACAGCTGGGGAAGGTCATGGAGCTCTTCTTACAGTGCCACAGGGAAGAAAATGGACCTCTGGAGGTACTGGGGAATCAGCCCAAGACCTCGTGCATGATAAGTACACTCTCTACCACTGAGCTATACCCCCTCATACCTCCTGTGTATTTGGAAAACTGGTGACCACCATTATCTGAGTATGTGCTCTATGTCATAAAGACAATTACCATGTGTTTCCAATTCCACTGTTTATGATTTCCCTATATCTAAGTGCCCCCTCTCTTAGGCACGGTTACATCAAGAAAAGGTACGTTAACAGTAAAAAGAAAAACACTGTTCCTGATTTGGGATCAGCAAATCTATTTCCAAATAGAGCATTTCAAAAGTATAACATAACCACATTGAAAATTCAGGAAAGAATTGACCTAAGAAAATGGTTTATACATTGTTCTCATTGTAAAAAGAAAAAGAACAGCAAGCATATCTTAAACTCTATGTATCAGGAATATTTTCTGTAATGCTAAGGCAATAGCAATTCTGATATTTTGTGTGAATTTTAGGATTGGAAAAATGAGCATGTGTGCGCCTGTATGTTGTTGGAACCAGGCTCTCACTGTGGGAAAGGAGGAAGGTAAAGAATAGTCCTATTGGTGATGATGGGAATTAGAGGCATCAGTATGAAATTATACACTTAATTGTAAAATTTCTCCACAGATCTCTCTGCTAATTGGGCCTAGAAGAAATGATACCTCAGATGCAATGAGCAAAGATAATTCTATATATTGATTTTCAAATACCACTCCCTACTAAAAGGAACCAGCGATACTGATAGAAAGTAGCTACTGGTGTCAACTACACTGACTCCGGGACTGTGCCAGGGAAACTACAAGATGAACCTAAGATATCTTGCTGTGCCAGAATGTAGGTGCTCAGAATTGATGGGTATGATTTGAAAGGACAGAGAAGCCAGCTTGAAAGGGATCTCAATGGCCAAATCTGACACATTTTGAGCATTAATGATGACAATAAGTGATTATCAATCTTGGGAACTTAAACACATAAATATGGAAGATGGGAAGATTTTCCTTACAGTTGTGTGCCAAGTGATAAATGTGGAAGTAAGGATAAAATTAGAAAATCCTCATTTGGGCTGGGCGTGGTGGCTCACGTCTGTAATTCCAGCACTTTGGGAGGCCGAGGCAGGGGGATCACCTGAGGTTGGGAGTTCGAGACCAGCCTGACCAACATGGAGAAACCCCGTCTCTACTAAAAATACAAAACTGTGGTGAGCCGAGATCACACCATTGCACTCCAGCCTGGGCAAGAAGAGCGAAATTCTATCTCAAAAAAAATAATAATAATAATAATAAATAATGAGAAAAACTGACATCACATGCCTCTTGGTGTGATAGAGGGTAACATGATTTCTGTGACATTTCCATGACCTGAATGTAACCATGACTACACAAATTAAGAAACATTCAACAAAACCACTGGCATATGCTCTTCAAAAACATATTCATGAAAGACAAGAAGATTAAGAATCTGTTCCAAAGTGAAGGAGACTGAAAAGTCAAGACAACTAGATTCATATGTGATTCTGAAATGGCACCTAGTTTGGGAGAGAAATTCCTATAAAAGATTTTATTGATACAATTAAAATTTTTATAGACTGTATATTAGAGAATACTATTTTATCAATGTTAAGTTCTCTAAATTTGATAATTGTGCTGTGGTAAGAAATTGACCTTGTTCTTAGGAAATACACATTGAAGTATTTAGGAATAAAAAGATATAATGTCTGAAAATCATTATCAAATAGTTTAGAGAAATAATTTTTGTCATATGTACATATACATATATATACACACACACATACACACACACACATATATATTCCACTGTTGCTGATTGGTTGTTGAGGTGAGGAAGAGGCAAGACCGTGTTCTGAAATAATGTCAAGATTTGGACGATATGTGTTTCTCAAATGGTTCCCATTCCATTTTAAATGTTGCTAGGCTGAGACAAAGATACAAATTCCCCAATTTATATTAGAATTTAGCAGGTAGTTTATTTTGTTTTGTTTTGAGACAGAGTTTTGCTCTTGTTGCCCAGGCTGGAGTGCGATGGGAGGATCTTGGCTCACTGCAAACTCTGCCACCTGGGTTCAAGCAATTCTCCTGCCTCAGACTCCCAAGTACCTGGGATTACAGGTGTGTGCCACCACTCCCGACTAATTTTGTATTTTTAGTAGAGATGGGGGTTTCACCATGTTGGTCAGGATGGTCTCAAACCCCCAACCTGAGGTGATCTGCCCGCCTCGGCCTCCCAAAGTGTTGGGATTACAGGCGTGAGCCACTGTGCGCAGCCAACTCCTTTATAATCTTATAAGACCACCGTAGGATATGTGGTCTGTGGTTTACTAAAATGTCAACATGTAGCACATTACTGCACTCATATCAGATTTTTGGCCTCCAGAAGTGTGAAAGAATAAATTTCTGTTGTTATAAGCCATCTAATTTGAGATAATTTGTTACAGCAGCCATAGGAAACTAATCAATGACAAGCTTATTCTACTCTGCCAACTGCCTTGAGTGGTTTTGAGGCTCATGAAGTCTAAATAACGTAATATTGAAATTAACATCTTGGCAAAATTCAACAGCCCTTCATGCTAAAAACTCTCAATAAACTAGGTATTGATGTGATGTATCTCAAAATAATAAGAGCTATTTATGAAAAACCCACAGCCAATATCATATTGAATGGGCAAAAACTGGAAGCATTCCCTTTGAAAACTGGCACAAGACAGGGATGCCCTCTCTCATCACTCCTATTCAACATAGTGTTGGAAGTTCTGGCCAGGGCAATCAGGCAAGAGAAACAAATAAAGGGTATTCAGTTAGGAAAAGAGGAAGTCAAATTGTCCCTGTTTGCAGATGACATGATTGTATATTTAGAAAACCTCATCATCTCAGCCCAAAATCTCCTTAAGCTGATAAGCAACTTCAGCAAAGTCTCAGGATACAAAATCAATGTGCAAAAATCACAAGCATTCCTATACACCAGTAACAGACAGAGAGCCAAATCATGAGGGAACTCCCATTCACAATTGCTACAAAGAGAATAAAATACCTGGGAATCCAACTTACAAGGGATGTGAAGGACCTCCTCAAGGAGAATTACAAACCACTGCTTAACAAAATAAATGAGGACACAAACAAATGGAAGAACATTTCATGCTCATGGATAGGAAGAATCAATATCATGAAAATGGCCCTACTGCCCAAGGTAATTTAAAGATTCGGTGCGATCCCCATCAAGCTACCAATGACTTTCTTCACAGAATTGGAGAAAAACTATTTTAAAGTTCATATGGAACCAAAAAAGAGCCTGCATTGCCAAGACAATCCTAAGCCAAAAGAACAAAGCTGGAGGCATCATGCTACCTGACTTCAAACTATACTATATGGCTACAGTAACTGAAACAGCATGGTACTGGTACCAAAACAGAGATATAGACCAATGGAACAGAATAGAGCCCTCAGAAATAATACCACACGTCTACAACCATTTGATCTTTGACAAACCTGACAAAAACAAGAAATGGGGAAAGGATTCCCTATTTAATAAATGGTGCTGAGAAAACTGGCTAGCCATATGTAGAAAGCTGAAACTGGATCCCTTCCTTACACCTTATACAAAAATTAATTCAAGATGGATGAAAGACTTAAATGTTAGACCTAAAACCATAAAAACCCTAGAACAAAACCTAGGCAATACCATTCAGGACATAGGCATGGGCAAGGACTTCATGTCTAAAACACCAAAAGCAATGGCAACAAAAGCCAAAATAGACAAATGGGATCTAATTAAACCAAAGAGCTTCTGCACAGCAAAAGAAACCACCATCAGAGCGAACAGGCAACCTACAGAATGGGAGAAAATTTTTGCAACCTACCCATCTGACAAAGGGCTAATATCTAGAATCTACAAAGAACTTAAACAAATTTACAAGAAAAAATCAAACAACCCCATCAAACCCCAACAAAAAGTGGGCAAAGGATATGAACAGACACTTCTCAAAAGAAGACATTTATGCAGCCAATGGACACATGAAAAAATGCTCATCATCACTGGCCATCAGAGAAATGCAAATCAAAACCACAATGAGATTCCATCTCACACCAGTTAGGATGGCAATCATTAAAAAGTCAGGAAACAACAGGTGCTGGAGAGGATGTGGAGAAATAGGAACACTTTTACACTGTTGGTGGGACTGTAAACTAGTTCAACCATTGTGGAAGACAGTGTGGCGATTCCTCAAGGATCTAGAACTAGAAATACCATTTGACCCAGCCATCCCATTACTGGGTATATACCCAAAGGATTATAAATCATGCTGCTATAAAGACACATGCACACGTATGTTTATTGTGGCACTATTCACAATAGCAAAGACTTGGAACCAACCCAAATGTGCCTTCTATATGTAAGGCACATGTCCATCAATGATAGACTGAATTTAACAAACGTGGCACATATACACCATGGAATACTATGCAGCCATAAAAAAGGATGAGTTCATGTCCTTTGTAGGGACATGGATGAAGCTGGGAACCATCATTCTGAACAAACTATCACAAGGACAGAAAACCAAACACTGCACGTTCTCACTCATAGGTGGGAATTGAACAATGAGAACATTTGGACACAGGGTGGGGAACATCACACACCGGGGCCTGTCGCGGGGTGGGGTGATAGGGGAGGGATAGCATTAGGAGAAATACCTAATGTAAATGAGGAGTTAATGGGTGCAGCACACCAACATGGCACATGTATACATATGTAACAAACCTGCACGTTGTGCACAGGTACCCTAGAACTTAAAGTATAATGATTAAAAAAAAAAATCTTAAAAAAAAAAGAGGCCGGGCGCGGTGGCTCAAGCCTGTAATCCCAGCACTTTGGGAGGTCAAGACAGGCGGATCACGAGGTCAGGAGATCGAGACCATCCTGGCTAACACGGTGAAACCCGGTCTCTACTAAAAATACAAAAAAAAAAAAAAAAATTAGCCAGGCATAGTGGCAGGCGCCTGTAGTCCCAGCTACTCAGGAGGCTGAGGCTGGAGAATGGTGTGAACCCAGGAGGCGGAGCTTGCAGTGAGCCGAGATCACGCCACTGCACTCCAGCCTGGGCGACTGAGTGAGACTCCATCTCTAAAAAAAAAAAAAAAAAAACAGAAATTAACGTCTTGGGGTCACGTGTTTACTTCTCATGTGACAGGCAACGAAAAGAGAGTAGGACACCTGAATGTGCTTTGTACTAAGGAGTGGTATTAAGAACTCGGAAACTGACCGTTGAAGGTTCTCGGGAGCTGAACCTGAGGCCTCCTATATGTAAGGCACACGTTCTATCACTGAACTACATCTCCTCATGCCAAGAGATATTTGTGTCGTCCTCCAAGTACTATTGCAGTATATGAAAACAATAAAAATATGGAAATAAAAAATAACTTAAAAATTAAAAAGGTGGCCGGGCACGGTAGCTCACGCTTGTAATCGCAGCAGTTTGGAAGTTGGAGGCGGTCAGATCATTTAAGGTCAGAAGTTCGAGGCCAGCCGAGCCAACAAGGTGAAACCCTGTCTCTACTAAAAATACAAAAATTAGCCGGGCGTGATGGCACGTGCCTGTAACCCCAGCTGCTCAGAGGTTGAGGCAGGAGAATCTCTTGAACCTGGGAGGTGGAGGCTGCAGTGAGCGGAGATGGCGCCACTGCACTCCAGCCTTGGGGACAGAGTGAGACTCTGTCTCAAAAAACAAACAAACAAAAACCCAAAAACCCTAAAAAGGTATTTCTCCAATCTAAAGATGTAAAAAATTAAATAAAATGAAAAATAAAGGAATATCTCGTTATATTCTGTGGGTCTCCATTCCTGTGTTCATTGTTTTAGCACTAAGTGTTGGGTTTAGAAGCAGGATTTGTGACCATTTTAAGTTGGAAGACCCCCAGCTGTGGGGGATATTGAAGTTTTGGCAAATAAAGCTTGAAATGGAACGCAGAATACTGGAAACTTGCGTTAGAAAACTGACCAGCTTTTTCCTGAATAAAGCACTTCTGCTATTGCTGTTTGCTTCACAGGAATGGTAAGAGCAAAACTTTGATGAGAAAACCCCAGGTGAGAATGAAAACCACATGCAACCTGTTATTCATTGCCAAGGGGTTCTTGATTGTACTACAGCATGAAGGCAACTGAGGAGGTTCATGGAGTAGCCCAGAATAATGTTCAAGACATGAAATAAATAGCAGATTCAAGGATGGAGAAAAACTTTGAAATTTTGAAAGCACATTCATAGGTAGCTAGACACAGGATTCAAAGACTTATTGGATTTATAGAGCAAGCCAGAAAGTGGGGAATCCATAAAAGAGAGCCTCAACAAACAGGAGGAAAAAAAGCAGAATAGAGATGCTTATTGTTCTTTGAAGGAATGGACAAGATATTAGGAGGAGGAGGTGAGTTTGTTTGGGAACGTGTTGAACTTACCATATTCTTCCGTAGGATCCTGCCCATTGGTGAAACACAGTGAACTTAGCCCAGTGCTCTGATCTGAATACGTGGAGGTGGGAGTGAGTAGAAGGCACCAATACAGTGTGAGTACAATGAGAACTCAAAGTGTCCTTTGAGATATGAAGATCAGAAACTTACTTACTGATAGTTGTGAAAAGCAAAAAAATGAACTTCTTCCTAGCTGATCTTCAACCCTGGAATTCACACTGGTTGTCACCATGGCCTTGAAACTTTCACAAAAGACCCAGAAAGTCTCATTTCCTGGCTAGTTTCCCAGTAGGTGTTATCTTTTCTCATTCATCTTCATTCTCATTCTCCTTATGTATGACTTTACCTATATTGGTAAGCATATTGCTGAGCCCCTTTCGAGGTTGGGAACACCTTATGGTTTGGCAGAATTTCTCTCTGTTGGCTCATAGGGATAGCGGAATAGGTAAGAGGAAACATAATGGCAGGTTTCACTGAAATTGGGTATTTAAGTGTCACCCACAAAACTCTACAAGCTCTGGTGTGTGTGTGTTTGTGCGCGCGCGCGCGCGTGAAAGTGCTGGGAGGATGTGAGAAAAATTATCTAGGCTGTTTTGGCCGGGCGCGGTGGCTCATGGCTGTAATCCCAACACTTTGGGAGGCCGAGGCGGGCGGATCACGAGGTCAGGAGACCGAGACCATCCTGGCTAACACGGTGAAACCCCGTCTCTACTTAAAAAAAAAAACAAAAAACAAAAAATTAGCCAGGTGTAGTGGAGGGCGCCTGTAGTCCCAGCTACTCGGGAGGCTGAGGCAGGAGAATGGCGTGAACCCAGGAGGCGGTGCTTGCAGTGAGCCGAGATCGCGCTACTGCACTCCAGCCTGGGCGACAGAGCAAGACTCTGTCTCAAAAAAAAAAAAAAAAAGAAAGAAAGAAAGAAAGAAAGAAAATTATCTAGACTGTTTGATGGTGTGAAAGTTGTTTCCAGAGTCATCATGTAATTATTCTCTAACTTGCACCTGAAGAAACCAAGATACCAGTTAGATTACCAGAAGTTCCCCACAAGGAGGTGTTTCTTTTTTTTTTTTTTTCTGTTTGCCCCAAAGTACAGAGAACACTGTGAGAATTGTTTAAGTTTCTGTAAGCATTCAGAAATATCTATGCATGGGGAGACATAGGATGAGTTCCAAATATATGAGATTTTTCTGATGAACCAACCATTTATCTCAGGAGATAGAACTCATTCATACTCAATTACTCTGCTCAGGGAGCCTGCAGACATGCGAATGACATCTCTAGACAATCTACAACCAGAGAGAAGATTGTAACTGGTTGAGTACTGTTTTCTTAAAGTTGACAAAAAGGTGGAGTAATAGTTTTCATGTAAGGAGCTCTTATATGATAATCTAGAAATTGAATTCACTCTATATTCTTTGGGATTTACATCTTGATTTGTTGACAGGGAGAGGGAGGTTTGATTACACTGTTGTAAGTCTCCCACCTTGATTGAATATTAAAAAAGAATTCCTGAACTAGACAGTAAAGGGTTAAATAATCTTTTTTCTTCAATTAAATATGTCTTTGAAAAGAATAAAACTCTACCTTTTGAGTCAGATTGACTACATGGCCTGATGGATTGTGTCTGCTTCCATATCACTGTGCAGCCAATGGTCCTGCCCACCTGCCGCTTCCCACACATTCACCCAGGGTCTCACGCATGGCCACGTCCTCATTCCTCTCAGAAGTCCTTAATTTTTTTTTTTTTTTTTTGAGATGGAGTCTCATTGTGTCACCCAGGCTGGAGTGCAGTGGCATGATCTTGGCTCACTGCAACCTCCGCCTCCGAGGTTCAAGCAATTCTCCTGCCTCAGCCTCCCAAGTAGCAGTGATTACAGGTGGTCGCCACCATGCCCAGCTGATTTTTGAAAGAGGTCCTTAATTTCTCTGTGGAGAAAAATTTTTTTAAAATATGATCTCATTGAAGTATACAACCCCAAAATAAAATATAGTTGAATTTCCAAAATTCATCTACAATGTACCTTAAAATGATTCACTATTGTCCTAGGCCAAAGATAGGCACTGTTTGCTCTCAAAGAAGTACTTCTATCTGTCATATGTCATTTGTTTTCATTGTCCCAAGATGTTTTTGAAATCTCCATCCTATATTTTCTATAGCTTTCTTATATTAAACTCTTGGTTTTTGCATCCTATCCATTTCTACCCTAAATTACAGAGGTGGACTTCCTTAAAGAAGTCTATTGTGGGGAGCAGAAAAAAATATTTCCATTTGGGCCTGAGCCCTAGCATAAAGCAATGGTAATAATTCATGATAATTTTCCTCATGCTTTTACTATATTCCTTTGCAAATTGATTCCCATGATTGAAGCCTGTGAATAATTTTTTTCTGCCACAGTGAGTATAAGTGGCAAAGAGACATTGTGGAACTGTACTTTGAAAATGAGAGAAGAGAGAGAAAAAATGTCAACAGAACAGAAAATTATCTATTTCCCACATCAAGAAAGTCTGGGTCCTCAGTACTAACTCTGAATCTTTCTTTAAAGAAGTAAACTGAAACCCAAGACATCTTAATCTGAGAAAGAATGACTTTTGGAACTTATTTTCTCCATTGAAAATTTCCTAATCACTTCACAGGGACAGAGGTGGCCTGATATTATATCGGAAACCAAGGATTTCCCAATTCTTGAGATATCCTTCAGCTCACACTTTCATTAGGGTTAGCAAAGGGTTTTGGATCTTTAAAATCTATCACAGGGCTTAGAATACAAAGTGGTGTTAATACAAAAGTTCTTGAAGATTTGGTGGTAGCTGATGAGAAGAGGGCTGTGTATTCTGGAATGATTACAAGGTCTTATTCTATTTAAAATGTTTCAGAGCAAGGATACAAACTTCCCAGTTTACATTAGAAGTTAGCACAGCCTTTATTGCAAAACTTGCGAAAAAGAAAATAAAGGCCGGGAGTGGTGGCTCATGCCTGTAATCCCAGCACTTTGCGAGGCGGGCGGATCATGAGGTCAGGAGTTCGAGACCAGCCTGGCCAATATGGTGAAACCCCGTCCCTAAAAAAAATATAAAAAATTAGCCGGGCGCGGTGGCGCGCGCTTGTTGTCCCAGTTACTCGGGATGCTGAGGCAGGAGAATCGCTTGAACCCGGGAGGCGGAGGTTGCAGTGAGTCGAGATCGCGCCACTGCACTCCAACCTGGACGACAGAGTGAGACTCCGTCTCAAGAAAAAAAAAAAAGAAAATGAAAACTTCACATCATATTCAATCATGAATAGTGATTCAAAAAATATTACTAAGTACAATATTGCCAGAGAGGCAAGGAACAGAGTCAATGATTAGAACACAAAAATGATTCAGCAATAGAAATATATATTTTTTGCAATTATGTTTTCTGTTAGAATAGAAAATTGGGGGAAAAAACACAGCCGCGTATTTATACTATACACCCTTACTCCATCCACGTCAAAGCACGTCATATTGCTTCTTAAATGTGCAAAAGAATCTCTTGTGGATCTTGTTAAATTGCTACTTCTGGTTCAGTACGTCTGAGGTGAAGCTGAGATTTCGCTCTTCTAACAAGCTCTCCGGTGCCACCAACTCTTGTGTGGACCAAGAGTCTGAAAGATATCCTTACGATAGAGGGCGCACCTGTCTTAGGTAAAATTACTTCTGTAACGTCATCTAAGGGAAGTCAAATTATCCGGCAGGAGTGAAGACAGAATAAAACTGGAAATCAGTCCGTGAACTTTGAGATCTTCAGCAGAGCATGCTTCCCAGTGGAGCTATTTCGGCAGAAGTGTGACGCCTCTACATTCATTGATGAAAATAACTTTCTCAATTTCCCAGTTTGGAAGGCTTTGCGTTTGTCAGGGCTCAGCCTGCGATGGATCATGGCTAAACAAGGACCAGAAAAAAAATAAAGGAAATCGGCTGGGAGCGGTGGTGGCTTACTCCTGTAATCCCAGCACTGTGGGAGGCCGAGGCGGGAGGATCACGAGGTCAGGAGATCGCGACCATCCTGGCTAACACGGTGAAACCCTGTCTCTACCAAAAAAATAGAAAAAATTAGCCGGGCGTGGTGACGGGCGCCTGTAGTCCCGGCTACTCGGGAGGCTGAGGCAGAAGAATGGCGTAAACCCGGGAGGCGGAGCTTGCAGTGAGCCAAGATCGTGCCACTGGGCGACAGAGCGAGAGACTCCGTCTCAAAAAAAAAAAAGTAATAAAGAAAATTGAGAGCTTACGTTTTTCTTTTATTAAATATTTCCACATTTATCTTTTATTTCCTACTTTTTAAATAACAATACTCCAAAGGTTAATGAGCTCGTCAATTTGGCGACGCCATTGAAGTTTTGGAATCCGGAGCCGTCTTTGTCTTCCAGCTCCATCTTTTCCACCTTTTGCTTAGGCAGTCCCCCGAGTCGTGTCAAGGCTGAGGAGTAGAAATGGAACAGCACTAATATTAATGGCAAAACCGTTGTGAAATAGGGTTACTTTCTGTTTAAGCAAGGAAAATAAAGTAAAGCAATGGGAAAAAAATTAAAAGCAAAAGGAATGGAGGTGCCGGGGATTGAACCCGGGGCCTCGTGCATGCTAAGCACGCGCTCTACCACTGAGCTACACCCCCGTACTGAAACGGTTCTCTCGAGAGTATATTCAAGATCAGAATCTGACCCTTTTGCTAGGTTTCAGAACCATTAGTTGTAATCAGCCAAGGTCTATTTTATTTAGTTATTTCTGATATCTCAAATTTAGGTTTTGCGTCCCTCTTTGCTGACAGCTGAGCAAACCGCATTCTACACCGAAGGCCCTCTATTGATGGCCCTGGGATTTTTCTGCTCGTCAGTCCGGAGTCACTTACCGGGCACCACTAGAAGAACCCGGGATGAAACATTTTCTCCCGTGTCTTGACTCTCTCCTTTCTTTCACCGCTGCTTTAAAGGGCTGCCAGAAAGCCACAAAGTACAAAGCGAGGCATTTAGAGACCATAGTAGATGCAGGTGGCGAGGGAAGACAGGTGGAGAAACGCAGACGGGTTCGTGTCGGTGCAGCCACTGCTTTGGACCCGAGCCTCCGTCCCGCCGGGGGCCGGGGTGCTGAGCCCAGCGAGGCGCGGACTGGGGAGCGAGGAAGAGGAGCACCCGCCAGATCGCGCCCCCTTTCGGGCAGAATCCGCTCCCGGTCCGGTCCCGATTGGCAGAAAACGATACGAGGGCGGTATACACTCAACACGCGCATGAACGATTCATCAAGCCCTCCGTGTGCCGGGTCTGGCTCACCAACCTCATCCTCTGAGCTCCGGGCTTCTGCCTCCCAGCCCAAGGAACCCACAGGGTCTCAGCCAACACTGGGAGAGTAGCTTAAATGGGCAGAAAGACAAGATAAGGGGATGTGGTGAATAACAGAATTATCCAATCCTATTATCAGCCCATCTGAGATTAAAGGGACGTCAATCATACTTGAATACTTTATTTAAAAAAAACAGTTTGCAGAGGGTCGCATACAAGAAGAATAAAGTGGTTTTTTTTTTTTCATAAAAATGTGGATTCAGGAGCATTACCGGAAATAATCAAGGAACGAGGAAGAGTGTGGCGAGAGAGTTCGGGTCCGGTATACCTCTCTCTCCGCACCACATTCTTTTGTAGTACCTGTGAAACATTCATGAAAACGGACCACAGAAGAAAACCTCAGTAAGTTCCAAAGTATAGAAATAACACAAACATCATTCTCTGACCATCATGCAATAAAACTAGAAATTGATAAAATAAAAAATAAAAGTCACTTCCACCTGAAAATTTTAAAGCATGCTATAATACAACTCGAGTCAAGAAGGAAATACAAATTTTAATTACATAATTTCTTGAAAGGGACAAAAGTGCAAATGTGACATAGAATCTGTGAGATAGAGCTAAAGCATTTATCAGAAGGAAATTTATTTCCTCACATACCTATATCGATAACAAAAAATAACAAATGAATCAAACACAGCTCAAGATGCTACTAAATGAACAACAAAATAAACCAAAAGAATGAGGAAGGAAGGGTTGTAAGGACAAATTCAGAGAATGAGTTAGAAACAAAGTATAACTAATAAAGATACAAAAAAGGTGGATATTTGAAAGTCAACAAAATAGACAAACCTCTAGCCAACAAAGAGAAAATTAGTGCAAATACACAAAATTAGAACTGGAGGAAATAATCATCAACACAGAAGACCTTTTTTGAAATCATCAGAGATAACATAACACAACTAGCAAATAACTGGCAAACTTAGTGGATTTTTTAGACAAATGTAGCATACTCAAACTAACCCTTGTAGAGACAGAAAGTCTAAACAGACCAGTTAAGAAAAATAGTTTAACAGGCATACTCAATAAAAAGGGCACCAAGCTCAAATACTTTCATAAAGAAATCCTACCAAACTGTCAAATATCAAAAAATCATGATGCTACTTAAATTATTCGAAGCATAGACACTAGCACTTTATAAAGTTAGTATAACATTTCAGTTTGCACTAAAAATGAAAACTACAGGTCAATTTCACATATGAAATATATGAAATGTAATGCCTAAATCTTAAATAAAATTTATAGCAAACAGAATACAATAGCACATTTAAAACAGTAATACAGGATGTCCAAGTAGGGTTTATTCCAGGAGTGTAAAGATCACTCATTATTAGGAAAGATATTAATATAATCCATTGTAATTGGAACTGGAGGTCATTATGTTAAATAAAGTAAGCGAGAAACAGAAAGACAAATTTCACATCTTTTCAGTCATATGTGGGAGTTTAAAAAGTTGATCTCATGGAGGTAGAGAGTAGAATCATAGATACCAGGGTCAGGGAAGGGTGTGTGCATTGGAGCTGCGTACAAAGGCAGGTTGGTCAATGTGTACAAACATATAATTAGATAGAAGGTATAGGTTCTTTTTTTTTTTTTTTTTTTTGAGTTGGAGTCTGGCTGTCTTGCCCAGGCTGGAGTGCAGTGGCACCATCCCAGCTCACTGCAACCTCCACCTCCCAGGTTCAAGTGATTCTCCTGCCTCAGTCTCCTGAGCAGCTGGGATTACAGGTGCCTGCCACCACAGCCAGCCTCTAATGTTGATAGTAGAGTAGGGTGACTATAGTTAGCAACAATGTATTGTATATTTCAAAGTAGCTATAAGAGATAACCTGAAACCAACACATAGAAATGATAAATACTCAAAGTGATGGATACCCCAAATACCCTGACTTTACTCATAATAAGTGAAAGACATACTAAATTAGATTGGATAGCATACTTTGTTGTCAAGGTTGCCGAGAAATTAGTCTTTTCATAGAGTACTGGTGGGAATGGAAAATGGTATAATTCCAAGGGCAGAAAATTTGCAGTATCTAGAAAAAATGTATAATTATTTACCCTTTAACCCACAAATTCCACTTCTAAAAAGCTATCCCTAATATATACTATCAAAATAAAAAGGGCCAGGCACAGTGGCTTACGCCTGTAATCTCAACACTTTGGAAGGCCAAGGCCGGCAAATCACTTGAGGCCAAAAGTTTGAGACCAGCCTGGTCAACACAGTGAAACCCTGCCTCTACTAAAAATACAAAAAGTAGTCAGGTGTAGTGGCGGGCACTTGTAATTGCAGCTCCTCAAGAGGCTGAGGCAGGAGAATTGCTTGAATCCCAGGAGGCAGAGGTTGCAGTGAGCCAAGATGTCACCACAGCACTCCAGCCTGGGTGAGAGAGCAAAACTCCATCTCAAATAATAATAATAATAATAAATACTAAATAAATAAAAAGGAAAACAGATGCATGACTATTCATCACAACTCTATTTGTAAAGCAAAAGAAGGAAACAATCCAGGCCGGGTGCGGTGGCTCATGCCTGTAATCCCAGCACTTTGGGAGGCTGAGGCAGGTGGATCACCAGGTCAGGAGATTGAGACCATCCTGGCTAACATGATGAAACCCCGTCTCTATTAAAATACAAAAAATTAGCTGGGTGTGGCGGCACGTGCCTGTAGCCCCAGCTACTAGGGAGGCTGGGGCCAAGATCATGCCACTGCACTCTAGCCTGGGAGACAGAGCGAGACTCCATCTCAAAAAAAAAAAAACAAAAAAAAGGAAACAATCCAAATGTCTGACAAAAGGGTCAATTTGAGAAAACTATGGTACATCAATATAATGTCACTGTAAAAAGGAATACTAAATGATCAGCTTCAATCTCTCCTTCCCCTATGAAGAAGGGCATATATGTATTTGAACTTCACTGGGACACTGGGTAATCACTCTCCTACAATTACCCCATGCTTATGTATGTTAAATAAATTTTGTATGTCTTTTTCTTTTATTAATCTGCCTTTGTCACTTCATTTTCAGCAAATTTCAGTGGGCAGAGAGGAAGCTTTTCCGCCACCCCTACATAGTTAATACTCTACCTTGAGCATGGCACACAGAGAATACTAAGGTGCTAATAGCTCTTACTGCGGCTTGTGAGGCAGTGGCTTCAAAACAGGAAATACAAGCCAAGAGGATTTCAGACTACTGCACTTCATCCACTGAGTGTTCAGCATCTAGAACTTTTCTTCCACAAAGAGAAACATGCAATTGTTACCACCTCTAGCTCCAGAGTCCTAGCTCAGAGATTTTTCCTATAGAAAGAAATGAGCCAGCCGGGCATGGTGGCTCATGTCTGTAATCCCAGCACTTTGGGAGGCCAAGGCGGGCAGATCACCTGAGGTCAGGAGTTTGAGACCAGCCTGGCCAACATGGCGAAAACCCATCTCTACTAAAAATACAAAAAAAATAGCTGGGCCTGGTGGTGTGTGCCTATAATTCCAGCTACTATGGAGGCTGAGGAAGGAGAATCGCTTGAACCCAGGAGGTGGAGGTTGCAGTGAGCTGAGATTGTACCACTGCACTCCAGCCTGGGCGACAGAGCAAGACTCCATCTCAAAAAAAAAAAAAAAAAAAAGAAGAAGAAGAAATAAATGAGCCAAAAAGTAGATAGCTTCCAATCCTTTCCCAAAATAACTGATTTAATTTGTAACATAGAATAGAGAAGTGGAAAGCTAAGGGCATTCTCAAGAATGGTGGAGATTTTGATGAAAGGTAATTGGGAGGAAATTTGTGAATCTAAGAAAGATAGATCTTAAACTGCAGTCTGGCTAGTATGCAGGAGAGAATCAGGAAATAAGACAGGTAGGAGGAACCCTTTTGGAGTCAGGACAAATATCAAATACTTACATCAGAAACTATTCCATTTAAGGAGCTACATTTTGATTGGATTTGTTCATAGAGGAATTTATACCTCAAGGCATTGTTGAAAACAATACAACAACTGGTCAGCAATAACTGAAACACAACAGTAGGGTGTGGTCAGAAAAAGAGTGAAAAAGAACATTGCCAGCACCACTGTCATCCCAGGGTGACTGGGGGCATACCAAAAACTGCATCACCACGAAGACTAATGTCAGAGGATTAGCACTCTTGGGAGTGAAATATCCAGGGTTATATAATACTCCATGTTAATAAAATGAATGGCAATAATCAAATATCATCTCAATTGAGATACAGAAAGGATTCAACAAAATTCAACACACTTTTATGAAAAAAGCACTCAGCGGCCAGGCGCGATGGCTCACGCCTGTAATCCCAGCACTTTGGGAGGCCGAGGCGGGCGGATCACGAGTTCAGGAGATCGAGACCATCGTGGCTAACACGGTGAAACCCCGTCTCTACTAAAAAAAATGAAAAAAATTAGCCGGGCATGGTGGCAGACGCCTGTAGTCCCAGCTACTCGGGAGACTGAGGCAGGAGAATGGCGTGAACCCGGGAGGCAGACTTTGCAGTGAGCAGAGATGGCGCCACTGCACTGCAGCCTGGTCAAGGGAGCAAAACTCCGACTCAAAAAAAGAAAAAAGAAAAGAAAAAAGAAAAAAGTACTCAGCAAACTAGGAATAGAATGAAACTACCTCAACTTAATAAAAGCCATACATGAAAAGCCCACAGGTAATATATTCAGTGGCCTTAGCTTTTCCTCTAAGATCTAGAACAAGGCAAGGATGCTTACTCTCACCACTACTGTTCAACATAGCACTAGAAGTCCTACTCAGAGCAATTAGACAAGAAAAAAAGCCCCAGTGCGCTGGCTACAGCCTGTAATCCCAGCACTTTGGGAGGCCGAGAGGGTGCACTGCTTGAGCCCAGGTGTTCAAGACCAGCCTAGGCAACATGGTGAAACCCCATAACCATAAAAATCTACAAAAACTAGCCGGGCATGATGGCATGCACCTGTAATCCCAGCTACTTGGGAGGCTGAGGCAGGGTTCACTTGAACCCGGGAGGTGGAGGTTGCAATGAGCCGAGATCACACCATTGTACTCCAGCATGGGGACAAAGCCAGACCCCGTCTTGAAAGAAAAGAAAAGGAAGGAAAGAACGAAAGAAAGAAACAAAAGTCATCCAAACTGGAAAAGAAAACTAAAATTATCTGTTTACAGATGACATGATCTTATATGTGGAAACCCTGAAGACCTTCCCACACACACACAAAAAAACCTGTTACAACTAATAAACAACTTTAGAAAAGTAGCAGGGTATAAAATGAACACACAAAAATCAGTTGCATTTCTACAAACTAGCAATGACCAACCTGAAAAGAAAATTAAGAAAACAATCCCATTTACTATAGCACCAAAAAGAATAAAATATTTAGGCATAAACTGAACCAAGGAGGTAAAAGACTTGTGCGGGAAAAACTACAAAACATTGCTAAAAGAAATCAGACAAGATACAAATAAATGGAAAGGCATCCTGTGCTTGTGGAGTGGAAGACTTTAATACTGTGAATAAGTACATATTATCCAACGTGATCTACAGATTCAATGGCATTCTTATCAAAAACTCAATGGCAATTTTGCAGAAATAGGAAAATATAGAAAAAAATCATCCTAAGACTCATATGGAATCTCCAGGGAACCTGAACAGCCAAAACAATCTTGAAAAAGAACAAAGCTGTAGAACTCATTCTTCCTGATTTTGAACCATACTAGAAAGCAACGCTAATGAAGATGGTTGTAGGGGCCAGGCGCAGTGGCTCATGCCTGTAATCCCAGCACTTTGGGAGACCAAGGTGGGTGGATGACGAGGTCAGGAGTTCAAGGCCAGCCTGGCCAGCATGGTAAAACCCCGTCTCTACTAAAAATACAAAAGATTAGCTGGGCATGGTGGCACGTGCCTATAGTCCCAGCTACTTGGGAGGCTGAGGCAGGAGAATTGCTTGAACCCGGCAGGCAGAGGTTGCAGTGAGCTGAGATCATGCCAATGCACCCTAGCCTGGGTGACAGGTGACAGAGCAAGACTCTGTCTCAAACAAAAAAGATGGTTGTATTACTGACATAAAGACAGGTATACAGACTAATGGAACAGAGAGCCCAGAAATAAATCCTTGCATATATGGATGAATAATTTTGACAATGATGCCAAGACTACACAATGGAGAAAGGACAGAGCCTTCAGTAAACAGTATTGGAAAAAGTGGTTATCTACATGCAAAATAATGAATTGGACCTTATCTTTATACATATACAAAAAAAATTCAAAATGGGTTAAAGACCTAAACATAAGACCAAAAACTATACAACTCCTCGAAGAAAACATGGAGGAAAAGCTTCAGGACATTGGATTTGACAGTGATTTCTTGGACAAGCCACCAAGAACACAGACAACAAAAGCAAAAATAGACAAATGGGACCACACCAAACTTAAAAATTTCCGCACATCAAAGGAAACAATCAAAAAAGTGAAAACACAACCTATGGAACAGGAGGAAAATGTTTGCAACTGATAAAGGGTTAATATCCAGCGTATATAAGGAACTTGTACAACTCAACAACAACAAAAAACAAATAACCTGATTTTAAAATGGGCAACAGACTTTAATAAACATTTCTTGAAAAAAGATATACAAATAGCCAATAAGCATATGAAAAAATGTTCAACATTACTAATCATTAGAGAAATACAAATCAAAATCATAATGAAATATAATCTCACATCTGTTAGGATGGCCCTATGAAAAGAATAGAAAATAACAAGTGTTGGAGAGGATATGCAGAAATTGGAAATGTGTGCACTGTTGGCGGGAATGTAAAATGGTGCAGCCATTATGAAAAACAGTGTGGAGTTCGTGGTCTATATACATATATATATACATGTATATATATAAGTTATAGGTTTTCATCCACAGTTACTGGTTCATAACTTCCATCTCCCTTGTTACAGTCTTTTGTTATAATGTTGTGTGTGTTAGGCCTCAGGGGCAGGCCTCAAGGAACAGAATCTACCTCCTGCCTTCCTTTCACCTGCCCCAAGGCAGAACTCTAATATTACCCCATCTTTTTCATTATGGGTCTTAAGACCCTCCCCTGGGAGGGTCCAGTCTCATACCCTGGAGGAAGGAATGCTTCCATACAAACCCAAGAAGACTGGGTTCAAAGACCTCCAGATAGCTGAACCCGTGAAGGTTGCTGGAGGGTGGCATGCCCAGGGAGGGCATGGAAGCTCCATACCCCTTCCACCATACCTTGCCCTGCCAGTCTATTCATCTGTGTCCTTTATAATAAACTGGTGAATGTAAATGTTTCCCTGAGTTCTGTGAGCCACTCCAGCAAATTAACTTAACCCAAAGAGGAGGTTGTAGGAACCCCAAATTGAAACCAGTCAGTCAAGAAGTCCCAGAGACCCAGACTTGCAACTGGTATCTGAGGCTATAGGGGGAAGTCTTGTGGACTGAGCCCCCAACCTGCAGGAACTGACATTACCTTCAGGTAGACAGTGTCAGAACTGAATTGGAGGACACCTAGCTGGTGTCTGCTGCTTGATGTGTGGGGAAAAACCTTCACACATTTGGCCACAGTAGTCTTCTATGTTGATGATTATTGTGGTGTAAGACTAGAGGAAAATGGTTGGTGAGAGTTTTCCCAACACAGGGTTTCTTCACAAAATTAAAATTATGATTCCCATATAATCCAGCAAACCTACTTCTGCAGGGGTTTCAAAAGAATTCAAAAGCATTCAAAGTAGGATCCTAAAGAGATAACTGTAGCATTATTCACACTAGCCAAGAGGTAAAAGCAAAACAAATGTCAATTGACAGATGAATGGATATACCAAATGTGGTATATACATACAACAGAATATTATGTAGCCTTAAAAAAGGAAATCCTATCACATACTACAATAATAGATAAATCTTGAGGACATTATGGCAAGTGAAGTAAGCCAGTCACAAAAGAACAGACACTGTATGATTCCACTAATAAGAAGTATCTAAAGTAGACACAATTATAGAAACAGAAGGTAGAAAGGTGGTTGCCAAGGACTGGCTGGAAGGGAGAGGAGAATTAGCGTTTGTTGGGCATAGAGTTTCAGTGTTGAAAGATGAAAGTGTTCCAGAGATCTGTTGCATAACAATGTGAATATACTTAATACTACTAAACTGTATACTTAAAAATGGTTAGGATGATAAATTTAATGTTATGTGTTTTACTTTTATTTAAAACAATTTAAATACGTTCAGATAAATAAAAATGAGTTCAGTCAGGCGCGGTGGCTCATGCCTGTAATCCCAGCACTTTGAGAGGCCAAGGCGGGCGAATCACTTGACGCTAGGAGTTGGAGGCCAGCCTAGTCACAAAACCATGTCTCTACAAGAAAATATAAAAAATTAGCTGGGTGTGGTGGCACATGTCTGTAATCCCAGCTACTGGGGAGGCTGAGGCATGAGAATCGTTTGAACCTGGGAAGGTGAGGTTGCAGTGAGCTGAGAATGTGCCACTGCACTCCAGCCTGGGTGACAGGGTGAGACTAGGTCTCAAAAAAAAAAAAAAGTACACAACAGCACAACATATCAAAATGTACTGGATACAGCTAAAACAGTGCTAAGAAGTAAATTTATAGCTGGGAATGTTTATGTTAGGAAAGACAAAAGATCTT